>NC_000001.11:42584138-42887168 GCF_000001405.40 Homo sapiens
TTCAATTCTGTTCTCTAAATCTTACACAAATATTATCTCCTGTGGCCCACTATAACCAGAAACTTACACAGAAGGAATTCTGGGAAACTAGACAAGTCAAAATGTTACAAAGCTACTCTATTAAAAATATATTTGTTAAACTATAGTTAATTCTATTTAGTTTAAATTAGGCCTGGCACCAGTGGCTCACACCTGTAATCCCAGCATGTTAGGAGGCTGAGGCAGGCAGATCACTTGAGGTCAGAAGTTTGAGACCAGCCTGGCCAACATAGTGAAATCCCATCTTTACTTAAAAATACAAAAATTAGCCAAGCATGGTAGCAGACACATGTTAACCCCAGCTACTTGGGAGGCTGAGGCAAGAAAATTGCTTAAACCCAGGAGGCAGAGGTTGCAGTGAGCCAAGATGGCGCCACTGCACTCCAACGTGGGCAACAGGGCAGGCTAAACAGGCGAGACTCCATCTCAAAAAAAAGAAAGTTTCGCTGTTATTATAATATTGGATGTTATTGTTGTTACTATTGTTGTCATTATCATCATAATCTTCTCAGTAAGATGAAGAAAGTTCATTTGGCCAGAACAAAACGTTTAGAGACAAGGAAAGTGGCAAGAAAATGAGGCTAGAAAGGTAAGCTAGACCTAGGTCATGTAGAACTTAACAGACCACACTGAGTTTGAACCTGTTCATGAAGGTATTGGTCTGTGGTTTTCCTATCATATAATATCTGTATCTGGTTTTGGTATTAGGGTAATGTTTGTCTCAAAAAATTACTTAGGAAGTGTCCCCTCTCCTTCAATTTTTTTTGGAAGAGATTGCAGAGAATTGGTATCATTTCTTTCTTAAATGTTTGGTAGAATTCACCATGAAATCATCTGGGCCTAGTGCTTTATTTTTTGGAAGGTAATTAATTATTGATTCAATTTCTTTAACAGATATAGGCCAACTTAGATTATCTATTTCTCCTTGTGTGAGCTTTCGTAGTTTGTGTCTTTCAAAGAATCAGTCCATATAATGTAAGTTATCATATTTGTAGGCAGAATTGTTCATAATACTCCTTTATTATCCTTTTAATGTCCATGGAGTTAGTAGTGGTGGCCCTTCTTTCATTTTGATATTTAAAAATAAATGTTTTATTTGTCAAATAGAGATGAGTCTTTGCTGTGTTGCCCAGGCTGGTCTCAAGTTCCTGCATTCAAGTGATACTCCTGCCTCAGCCTCCCAAAGTGCTGGGATTATAGATGTGAGCCATTGTGCCTGGCCACATTTTTTATATTATTAATATTTGTCTTCTCTATTTATTAGTTAGCCTGGCTAGAGGTTTATCTATTTTATTCATCTTTTCAAAGAATGAACTTTTGATTTCATTGATTTTTCTCTATTGTTTTCTTGTTTTCAATCCCATTGATTAATACTCTCATTTTTACTATTTCTTTGCTTCTGCTTGCTTTAGGCTTATAATGTTCTTCTTTCTCTAGTTTCCTAAGGTGAAAGCTTAGATTACTGATTTTATATTTTTCTTCCTTTATAATATATGCATGTAATGCTACAAGTTTTCTGCTATGTTGTATCCTATAAATTTTGTAAGTTGTATTTCATTTTCATTTAGTTCAAAATATTTTTAATTTATTGAGACCTCCTTTTTGACTCATGTATTATTTAGAAGTGTGTTGTTTATCCCAAATATTTAGAATTTTCCATCTCTCTTTTTCTTACTGATTTATGGTTTCATAATATCAGTTTAAACAGTTGTATGACATTGTTACATAGATATATCATACTTTATGTAATACTTACATCTTTTAGACTTTTTTGCTATTATAAAACTGTAATAAATATCTCTATACATAAGACTTTGCAACTGCAATGAAGTATGATGAAGTGTGGTAAGTGTTATACTAAAGGAGGTTTAGGTTGCCATGATAGTACATAACACGGATATCTATGGAGTGAGGGAGCTTAAGAAAGACTTCCTCAAAGAAAGTGGTTTAAGTTGAGAATGAAGTAGTTGGTATCAAGAAGCTAAATAGACAATAGTATGGAGGACCACTTTGAGGAAGTGAAAAAGTTCATTGGCTGAAAGAAAATGAGGTTAGGGACAGTGGTGAGAAAATGAGATAAGGAGGTGACGTAGGCCTAGCTCATGCAGAACCTTAGATTTTGTTTGTTTGTTTGTTCGTTTGTTTAGAGTCAGGGATCTTGCTCTGTTGCCCAGGCTGGAATACAGTGGCACAATCATGACTCACTGCAGCCCTGAACTCCTGGGCTCAGATGATCCTCCTGCCTCCACCTACTGAGTAGCTAGGACTATAGGCATACCCAACATGCCCAGCTAATTAAAAAAAAAATTTAGAGACAGGATCTCCCTATGTTGCTCAGGTTGTTTTAGAACTCCTGGCCTCAGGTGATCCTCCAGCCTCAGACTCCCAAAGTGTTAGGAGGTGTGAGCCATAGTGCCACAGATCCTCATGAGCCATGGTGCCCAGCTCTTGTGAGCCACAGTGCCCATTTCTCATGCAGAATATATCAAGCCATGGTGAACAGTTTGGACTTTACCTTAAGAGTATGGGGTTCCTGAATCAAGGAACAGAAAAAATATATATATAAGAAAGAGTAATGGGGAGCCACTATAGGATTTTAAGCAGAGGAAGTTATATGATTAGTTTGCAATTTAGAAAGAACACTCTGACTACTAAAAGAGGCTCAGGCTGCAGAGAATGCAGGGAGTCTTATCAGTACACCAATTTCTTAATTTTATTCATTGGCAGACCTGGTTTGTTAGTCTTTTATTTTTCAAACTCTATATCAATTAACTTCTCGCATATTCTTGAGTTGCTCTTTTAATTTTGACTTCCGAATTTGCTTTTTTTCTTTTTGTAGAGATGGGGTCTCACTCTGTCACCCAGGCTGCAGTGCAGTAGTGCGATCACAGTTCACTGCAGCCTTGACCTCCCAGGCTCAAGCACTTCGCCCACCTCAGCCTCCTGAGTAGCTGGGACTACAGGCGCATGCCACCATGCCTAATTTTTAAAAAATTTTTTATACAGATGAGTTCTCACTATGTTGCCCAGGCTGCTCCTGAACTTTTGGGCTCAAGCGATCCTCCTACCTTGGCCTCCCAAAGTGCTAGGATTATAGGTGTGAGCCACCATGTCCAGCCAACTTCCTACTTTCCAATTCTAGTTTTCAGCTCTCAAATTTTACTGCCAATAACTCAAGTGTTTTTAGTTTCAGTGGATCAAAACTTCTCTTTTAGTTTCAAGGCTTATCTCTTAGTCTGGAAATTGAGAGTGGAACCAAAAAGAAGTAGGCCATAATAGCAGGTATACAGTGAATTAGATGAAGGAGAGATGAAAGAGAGGATATTGCTGTAGAAGTGGATGTGAATGGTAGAAAATTAGCTATAGCAGTCCTTGGAGAGTCTGCACTTACATCCAAGAAACATAAGGAGAAGAACGAGAGGTGGAGGGATGTGAGCCCATGTCTCAAATATAATTGTCCCCCAATAACCTGTTGATTTCTCAGAATACTGAAGTTAGAGAAAACAAACTTAATTGTCGAATGTCAGGATTTTACTGCCCTAGCATGCAGGTGAGACTTTTGCCCACCAGTACTATTTCATTATCATCATCACAGTCTTCAAGATGAATCTCCTAAGTCCAGAGAACCTTGGTCTGAAATCCTCAGAAAACTCTTTTCACAAACTTTATTCTATTACTGAAATACCAGGGGTTTGGTCTAGGTCCCATTGCTTAGTGCACAGAAAGCCAATTACTGAGACAATGAGTATTGCCAGGGAAAAAGGCTTTATTAGGGTGCCGCAGTTGAGGAGAATGGGAGATCAGTCTCAAATCTATCTCCCTGACCAACTAAAATTTGGGGGGTTATAGCAGGGAAGGAATGTAAAACAGGAATTAGTGAGGGGTAAGGAACCAATCATGAGGAATGAGGCATCTCATTTTCTGTATGCTACGATCTGGTGAATTTTAGTTTCTTGCCTGAGGGTCAGTCTCCTGAGGGAGGAACTCAGATATAAATTTCAAGTTTTAAGACTGGGAGGGTACATTTCTACATTTGTTTAAAAAACTGTAAGTGTAATTTCTGTGGGACAGTTGGGCTGGTTTCATGATGAGACTGAAAGAGTGCTAATGGCCCTTGTAGGGGTGGAGGGAAAATTTCCCCTCCCCTTCTGAAGGTTTTCTGAAAAGTCAACTGACAAAAGACAGATTAATAGGAGAAAAAGCAAACACAATTTTATTAACGTGGGGTGGGGAAAATCAAGTGTGATGACCCAGTGTCTAAGTGTGTTGCAGAAGCTTATATACCCATTTCCAGGGGAGAGGGAGATGAGGAATGTAGAGAATTCCAAGGGACAGTAACTCATTAGGGAGAGTGAAGGGACCCTGGAGACAAAAATTAATTCATAAATTATTTACCTGGGAATTTGAATGAGTTTAAGAGATAGCCATTGTCTTGTGAAAAGGTCTGTGGAGGTGTTGTTATATTCCTCAATCTTCTTTTCTGAAGATCCATAAATAATGCAGTTTCAGGGAGGGGATGGGTATAATTGTTCTCCTTGGTAAGTCCAGTCTTCACGCAGATAAGAGAAAAGCCTCTTCTAGCATCTGCTGATCTCTAAGGGCCTTTCATTCAAAATATTTAGTATACCAGGATACCATATTTGAGGTAAAATTCTGTGAGTTCCTTTACCCTCTTTTGGAAAATGGTAAATTTTCTCATAAAATGCAGGCTCATTTATGATTCATTTATAGCAGTGTTAATGTGTGCTTATTATTATCAATAGTGCTTGTAACTAACATTACCTTGAACCCAGAAGATGAAGGGCTCAACTCGTAAAGCAGTAAGGAAGAAAGAATATGGGATTCAGGATTCGAGCCCTACCTCCACTTTGTCTTAACTGTTCTCTCTACCACAACTTCCTCATCTCTGAAATAAGGACAACTACTTTTTCCTCATAGGGTCATTTTGATGAGTGAGTGAGAGAAGTAAGGAAAGCTTCTATCACAAAAGAGGTTCCCTGTGTTGGTCCCTTTAGCTTATAGACACATACCCTACTTCATTGAACCAAAAAAAAAAAAAATCCCTTGTGATGCCATAAAAATTTTAGGTCTGAATTTCATTTGCAATTCATGGTGTGATTTAATCTACATTAATTGCCCTCAGGAAACTTCTATATCAGAACGTAGATGAGTTACACAGGCAAGTGAGAACCTTACAAGATAAAGAAAATCTACTGGAAATGACCTGTTCTCAGCAACAATCCAGAATTCAGCAACAAGAGGCCCTACTTAAACAACTGGAAAATGAAAAAAGAAAATATGATGAGGTAAGAAAGTAAATAGACATGCTTCTCAGTTTTCCTATTCCCATTAGTAACAGCTAATTATTATTGAGTGCCTAGCACTTTACTAAACCTAATCCTTTAGTCAGGGTTCAGTCAGGAAAGTAGAATCTACTCTAGGTATTTCAAGCAAGAAGAGATTTAACACAGGGAATAAGAGCTTACAAAACAGTTGGAAGGGACCAGGGGAGAGTAGAGTCAGAAAGGACTGCTGCTAGCTTTCAATAAATCCAGAAGTTCAGAAATCACAGAGAAGCCACCTCCTGCAGCGTCAAAGTGGAGAATTTGCAGGAACTGTCCTGAAGCTCCTACAAATGTCTCATCTGTTGTCTGCCCTTTTATCCATCTGCTAGTGCTAAAGAACTGTTGGGGGGAAAGACAAACAAACCTGTTTCTTCTTTCTATACTCGTACCACTCTGAATACTTCACTTCTGATATAGTTTGGATGATTCTCCTCTCCAAATCTCTTGCTGAAATGTAATCCCCATCATTGGAGGTGGGGCTTAACAGGAGGTGGTTTTGTCATGGGGGTGGGTCCCTCATAAATGGCTTGATGCTGTCCTCACGATAATGAATTATTGCGAGATCTAGATGTTTAAAAGTGTGTGGCACCTCTCCGCTCTCTCTTGCTCCCACTATCACCGTGTGACATGTCTGCTCCCATTTCACCTACCACCATGATTGTTAGCTTCCTGAGTCCCTCACCAGAAGCTGACCAGATGCCGATACCATGCTTCCTGTATAGTCTGCATATCTGTAAGCCAATTAAACTTCTTTTCTTTATAAATTACCCAGTCTCGGGTATTTCTTTATAGCAGTGCAAGAACAGCTTGACACAGAAAATTGGTACCAAGAAGCGGAGCGTTACTAAAAAAGATACCTGAAAATGTGGAAGCAAGTTTGGAACTGGGTAACAGGCAGAGATTGGAAGAGTTTGGAGGGCTCAGAAGAAGGCAGGAGGACCAGGAGCAGTGGCTCACAACTGTAATCCCAGCGCTTGAGAGGCTGAGGTAGGAGGATTGCTTGAGGCCAGGAGTTCAAGACCAGCCTGGGCAACATAGTGAGCCCTTGTCTCAACAAAAAAATAATTAGCCAGATATGGTGGCATGGACCTGTAGTACCAGCTACTCAGGAGGCTGAGGTGGGAAGATCACTTGAGCTGGGAGGTCGGGGTTGCAATGAGCCATGATCATGCCACTACACTACAGCCTAGGTGACACAGCGAGACTCTGTCTCAAAAAAAAAAAGAGGATGAAAGTTTGTAACTTCTTAGAGACTGGTTAAATTGTTATGACCAAAATACTGATAGAAATATGGACAGTGAAGGCCAGCCTAGTGAGGTCTCAGATGGAAATAAGGAAGTTATTGGGAACTGGAATAAACGTCACTCATGTTACACCCTAGCAAAGAACTCCTGCATTGTGTTCATGTACCAAGGATCTGTGGAAGTTTGAATTTAAGAGTGGTAATTTAGGGTCTCTGGCAGAAGAAATTTCTAAGCAGCAAAGCATTCAAGATGTGGCCTGACTCCTTGTAACAACCTGTGATCAGATATGGGAGCAAAGGAATGACTTAAAGTTGGAACTTATATTCAAAAGGGAAGCAGAGCATAAAAATTCAGCAAATTTGCAGCCTGGCCATGTGGCAGAGAAAGAATCCCAGCAGGGTATGGAGCAACTACTTGCTAGAGAAACTAGCATGACTAAATGGGAGCCAAGTGCTAGTATCCAAGACAATGGGAAAAGGCCTCAAAGGCAATCTCAGAGAACTTGGAGACAGCCCCTACCATCACAGGTCCACAGACGTAGGAGGAAAGAATGGTTTAGGGGGCCAAGCACTGGGTACCACTGCTCTGCTCAGCCTCAGGACACTGCTCCCTGAATCCCAGCTACTACAGCTCCAGCTGTGGCTCAAAGGACCCCAGATACAGCTCAGGCTGCCTGTCCAGAGGATGCAAGCCATAAGCCTTGGTGGCTTCCATGTGGTACTAAACCTGTGGGCACATAGAATGCAAGAGTGAAGGAGGCTTGGCAGCTCCCACAAAGATTTCAGATGATGTGAGAGATAGCCTGGGTGCCCAGGCAGAACCCTGCCACAGGGGCAGAGCCCTCACAGAGAAGTTCTAATAGGGCAATGCTGAGGGGAAATGTGGGGTTGGAAGCCTCACACAGAGTCCCCACTGGGGCACTGCCTAGTGGAGCTATAAGAAGTGGGCCACTGCCCTCCAGACTCCAGAATGGTAGATCCACAGGCAGCTTGCATCCTGTACCTGGGAAAGCCTCAGACACCCAGCTCCAACCAGTGAGATCAGCCACAGGGGCTGCTGCCTGCAAAGCCACAGGAGAAGAGCTACCCAAGGCCTTGGGAGCCTACGCATTGCACCATTGTGCCCTGGATGTGGGACATGGAGTCAAGGGAGAGTATTTTGGAGCTTTAAGATTTAATGACTGCCCTGCTGAGATTTAGACTTGCATGGGGCCTATTGACTCTTTCTTTTGGCTAATTTCTCCCTTTTGGAATTGTGATGTTTACCTAATGCCTGTACTACCACTGTATCTTGGGAGTAAATGACTTATTTTGATTTTTACAGGCTCATAAGTGGAAGGAGATAAGTCTCAGAAGAGACTTAGGACTTTGGACTTGATGCTGGAATGAGTTAAGACTTTTGGGGACTATTGGTAGGGAATGATTGTATCTTGTAGTGTGAGAAAGACATGCAATTTGAGGGGTCATGGGTGGAATGATACGGTTTGGTTCTTTATCCCCTCCAAATCTCATCTTGAAATGTAATCCCCGTTGTTGGAGGTTGGGTCTGAGGGGAGTGTGTTTGGGTCATTGGAGTGCATCCCTCATTAATGGCCTGGTGCTGTCCTCATAATAGTGAGTGTGCTCTTCATGAGATCTGGTTGTTTGAAAGTATGTAGCCAGGCATGGTAGCTCATGCCTGTAATCCCGGCAGTTTGGGAGGCCAAGGCATTTGAGCTTGACCTTGAACTTGAGCTCAGGAGTTTGAGACCAGCCTTGGCAACATGGAGAAATCCATCTGTACAAAAAAATACAAAAATTAATTGGATGTGTTGGCATACACCTGTAGTCTCAGCTATTCAGGAGGCTGAGGTGGGGAAGATGGCTTGAACCTGGGAGGCGGAATTTGCAGTGAGCTGAGATCACGCCATTGCACTCCAGCCTGGACAACAAAGCCAGACCCTGTCTCAAAAAATAAATAAATAAATAAAACTTAAAATATAAATAAATAAAGTATATGACACCTCTCCCCATTCTCTTGCTCCTCTCACCATATGACATGTCTGCTCCCACTTCACCTACCATCATGATTGTGAGCTTCCTGAGGCCCTCACCAGAAGCTGAGCAGATGCTGGCACCACGCTTTCTGTATAGCCGGCAGAACCATGAGCCAATTAAACTTCTTTTCTCTATAAATTACCCAGTCTCAGGTATTCCTTTATAGCAATGCAAAAATGGCCAAATACAACTTCTGACACCAGTTATGTGAGTTTTTCCCCATACTAAGCAATTCTCCAATTCTTTGTGGACACCAACTGGATGTACAAAAATGTAAGTCAGTCTGACACTATCTACCTGAAGATAGCATCAGATCCCATGAGTTAAGCTCTCAGTCCCACAATACTGCCCCCATTCGAGATGCCAATTGCAAGTCCAGGTTTTTGCTTATGCTTCTGACCAACCAGTTATAAATCAGAGGTCCCCACAACCCTCTCCTTGGGTTTGATCTTTTTGTAGGATGGCTCACAGAATTCAGGAAAACAGTTTGCTTACTGGATTACTGGCTGATTATAAAAGGACACAACTCAGGAACAGCCAGATGGAAGAGATGCATAGGGCAAGGCATGTGGAAAGGGATGTGGAACTTCCATGACCTCTGATCACACCACCCTCCCAGGACCTCCACATATTCAGCAACCTAGAAGCTCCCTAAACCCTGTCCTTTTGGGGATTTATGAAGACTTCATTATGTAGGCATGATTGGTTAAATCATTAACTGTTAGTGATTAACTCAACCTTTAGTCCCTCTCCCTTCCTGGGAAGTCTGGATGAGCCTGAAAGTTCCAACCCTCTAATCATATAATGGTACCCCTGGCAACTTGCCTACATCCTGAGGCTGCCCCAGAGTCTCCCCACCCCTCTGCCATCAGTCTTCTCATTAGTTTACAAAAAAGACACTTACCACTTCGGAGATTCCAAGAGTTTTAGGAGCAGCGTGCCAGGAAATAGGACAAAGATCAAAATATGTATGTATTATACCACAGTAACACAAGAAAAATGACTTTTCCTTCCCTTATGCTTTCCAAATTGTGTGCAAGTTCCTCTCATCTGCAGAAACTACACTTGATCCCTGCTAGCAGGGAAGTCTGGAAAATGCAGTTTTCAGGCTTCCAAGCTCATGGCCCAGGGGAAAGCTTAGAAGAGTGGGGTCATGTTGAGTTCTAGCACAGTCCACTTGGGATACTCAGCATCCATCCAAATGCTTTTACCTTGTGGCTTAACTTCTAAACTACAAGAAGAATATCATGCTTCCACTGAATATGATGCACTATAATTCATATAAATAAAGACACACTGTCTCCATAAAAATAAAGAATACTCAAAGTCCAATCAGTATCTATGATTATTTTGGGGTGATGTTCATTTTACTTCAGTCTCAATCCACATGCGTGGATATACTATAACATTAAAACTTAATTATAGGCCAGGTGTGGTGGCTCACGACTGTGATCCCAACGATTTAGGAGGCTGAAGTGGGAGGATTGCTTGAGCTCAGGAGTTCGAGACCAGCCTTGGCAACATAGCAAGACCCTGTCTCTACAAAACAAAATTTTTTTTAATTAGCTGGGCCTGATGGTGTGCACCTGCAGCTCTAGCTACATGGGAGGCTGAGGTGGGAGGATTGCTTGAGCCCAGGAGGTCAAGGCTTCAGTGAGCTGTGTTTGTGTCACTGCACTGCAGCCTGGGTGACAGAGTGAGACCTCAAGTGAAAAAAGAAAAAGCTTAATTAGAAGCCAGGAACTTATAATTAAGCAAGTGCCTATAGTACTAGCTGCTTAGAAGCCTGAGGCAGAAGGATTGCTTGTGGCCAGAAGTTCAAGGCTCAGTATGCTATGATTGCATATGTGAATAGCCCCTGTATTCCTGTCTGGGCAACATAGCCAGACCTCATTTCTTAAATTAAAACATCATGGTCTTCTGCTCTGAATAAAATAAAAAAGAAATGAAAATTTTAAAAATTAAAACAAAAAATTATAAAGTTAACTACCAGTAATACAATAGCATGCATTTTGCTAATGGGTATTGGCCTAAGAAGCCACTCCCAATTTCATCTCTTGGTCCCTTTTCATGTATTCTGGCTAGGGGAGAAATAATATCATATATCAATCACAGTTAAAAGTTTATACATCATCTTGTAAGACAACACTTCAAACCTATGAAGTGTTGTCACCTGGCCAGCATCATAGCTAAGTCTTCCGTAGGTAATTTCGCTGTTTTTTTTTTTCAGATTGGTTTTTCTGCATGATAGGATATACGGTAGAACCAATGAGTCATATGATTATATGAGCCATTGTTTCACTTTTCTTGCTATAAAGTGATTTTCTTGGTCAGAAGCAATATTTTTTTTTATTACTACAAGTCTAGATCCGAGTTATATATCATGACGAGAAATAAGGAATTTGGTAAGTCCACAAATGGTGGTCCTGGCAAAAGCGTTATGGACAGAAAAAGTAAATCCAGGCCAGGCGTGGTGGCTCACGCCTGCCATCCCAGCACTTTGGAAGCCCAAGGCGGGCGGATCACTTGAGGTCAGGAATTCGAGACCAGCCTGGCCAACATGGTGAAATCCCCTCTCTACTAAAAATACAAAAATTAGCCAGGTGTGGTGGCACATGCCTGTAATTCCAGCTACTTGGGAGGCTGAGGCAGGAGAATCGCTTGAGCCTGGGAGGTGAAGGTTGCAGTGAGCTGAGATTGCGCCACTGCATTCCAGCCTGGGTGACAGAGCAAGACTCTGTCTCAAAAAGAGAAAAAAAGAAAAAGAAAAACAAAAGATAAAGCAAATCCATATTTATAATAAGTGTCTAGTCCACTGAGAGCAAATTGTCATTCTATCCACGATACTGATGATAGAAAGGTAATGAACCTGCTACCAGGTTGCTTGCTGGTTCTCCCAGGAGATGGTGCCATATTACTTGCTCAGCATTTATATTGGGATCTTGGGGTTTGGCAAATTAAGTGGATTAGCCTTAGTGACTCCCTGAAAAATATATATTCCTGCTATCATGCACCTTGTCCATGAGCCCTCTAAGCAGGCAAATGGGTGCTAGAAAGAGGCTAAATGACATGTACAGAAAGCACTATTTGTTCCGTCTGATTATTGAGAGATGCCTCTGGTGCGAATGCAAAAACATGTGAAACAGACTTCTACGTTCTGATCCAGCATGTAAGAAGCTTGGAAGTTGTCACTGTGTCCTGACAACAAGTGAAATGCCAAACAAACTGAAAAATCAACACATTTCCCTAGATCCTTCAGAGAAGAGAGGTCACAGTCCAAACCGCTACCCCGAAAATTAGAGATACCTATAGACAAATACAGATAATCACAACTTACTGGAGCAAAACCTTCATGAGGACCAGTGCCCAGGTATGGAAACCTGAACTGTAAATGATGAATTGCTGGAGGCTCAGTGTATCAAGTCTGAGAGAGAGAAACTCCAGAGGGACCCAGTCATTAGGGGACTTAGACACATTTGTGAGTTTTACCTCCTGTAGCATACCAGGTTCTTGTGAATATCTGAGAAAAATCCCCTTTTGCTTCCAGAACGGGGAGAAAAGGGGAACATTTGAAACTTCCTAACAGGGTCTGCCGGCAGGAGAAACTATTTAACCAGAGCCTAAGCTGTTGGGGTTTTGTCAGAGTCTAACAGACCTAGCGGAATAGAAATATCCAACTCCAGCCAACTCTAGCCATCTCGTCCCACAAAAGGGAGGTGGGTGGAGAAAAAAAAAACTAGCACGTGTGAAATTTACAGTCCAGGGGCACAGGCTTACTAAAAGACTGTACCTAATCATAGAGCTATAGAATGCCACCCATCCACCCCAACACTTCACCACCACATCACTAACGGCCCATTTAACAGCAGTTTCCTCTACTCACTGCATCATGTTTCGCTATCAAGAAAAAATTACAAGACACGCTAAAAGGCAAAAAAACAAACAAACAAACAAACAAAAACAGTTTGAACAGACAGAGCAAGCATTAGAACCAGGCTCAGATACAGCAGGAATATTGAAATTATCAGACCAGAAATTGAAAATAACTGTGATTAATGTGCTAAGGGCTCTAAGGAATAAAGTAGACCACATGCAGGAAGAGATGGGCAATGCAAGCAGAGAGAGGGAAATCCTAAGAAAGAACCACATAGAAATTCCGTTACAGTGTTTTTGATTTTTAAGTAAAGATCAAAAACACTGTAACAGAAATGAATACCTTGGTGGGCTTATTAATAGACTGCATACAACTGAGGAAAGAGCTCTGTCCTTGAGGACATCTGAATAGAAATCTACAAAACTGAAAAGCAAACAAAAAAATACTAAAACAAAAACAACAGAATATCTAAGATCTGTGGGATAAATGTAAGGGGTATGATAGATACATATAGATACATATGGGAAATAACCAAAGGAGAAGAAATAGAGAAAGGAACAGAAGACATATTTGAAATAATAATCATGATTGAGAATTTCCTGAGATTAATGACAGACACCAAACCAGAGATCCAGGAAGCTCAGAGAACATCAAGCAGGATAAATGCCCAAAAAACTACATCTAGGCATAAAATTTTCAAATGACAGAAAATCAAAGAGAAAGAAAAATCCTGAAAGAGGAAAAAATAAACAACCTTACTCAGAGAGGAACAAAGATAAGAATTACTTCCAGCTTTTCTTCAGAAACCATGAAAGCAAGAGAAGAGTGGAGTGAAATATTTAAAGTGTTGAGGCCGGGCACAGTGGTTCACACCTGTAATCCCAGCACTTTGAGAAGCCAAGACAGAAAGATCACTTGAGATCAGCCTGGGCAACATGGTGAAACCCCATCCCTACAAAAAAAAAAAGTTTTTTAATTAGCTGGGTATGGTGGTGCACACCTGTGGTCCCAGCTGAGTGGCCCTAGAGTTTATAATATACAACTAACCCAAGTCCACTTTCAAATAACACTATACCACTTCAGGAGGCTGAGGGAGGAGGATCACTTGAGCCCAGGAGGTCTAGGCGGCAGTGAGTTGTGATCATGCCACTGCATTCCAGCCTAGGGGACAAAGCAAGAATCTGCCTTAAAAAAAAAATCGCCAGGCACAGTGGCTCACACCTGTAATCCCAGCACTTTGGGAGGCTGAGGCGGGAGGATCACTTAAGGCCAGGAGTTCAAGACCAGCCTGAGCAACATAGTGAGACTCCAGTCTCTACAAAAAATGGAAAAAAGAAAACCTTAGCCAGGTGTGGTGGAGCACCACCTGCAGTCCCAACTACTTGGGAGGTTGAGGTGGGAGGATCGCTTGAGCCCAGGAGTTCAAGGCTGCAGGAACCATGATTGTGCCACTGCATTCTGGCCTGTGAAATAAATACATAAATAGTAAAGTATTAAGAGAAAAAATTACCAACCTAGAATTCTGTACCTTGCAAAATTATCCTTCAAAGGTGAGGGAAGCTGGGCATGGTGGCTCATACCTGTAATCCCAGCACTTTGGGAGGCTGAGGCAGGAGGATCTCTTGAGCGAAGGAGTTCAAGATCAGTCTGGGCAACATAGTGATAACCTTATCTCTACAAAAAATATATATATTAGCTGGATGTGGTGGCATGCATCTCTAATTTCAGCTACTGGGGGTGGCGGTGGGGGTGGGGACTGGGAGTGGGTTAAGGTGGAAGGAATTTTTGAGCCCAGAAGGTTGAAGCTGCAATGAGCTGATGCAATAAGAAAGGAGGGACAATGGAATTATATAAAATGCTCTATTAAAATTACAAAAGGCAGAAAAAGCATGGAAGACAAAAGTAGCAACAAAGAACAAGAACAACTAATAGAAAACCATAATAAATATGGTAGATATAAATCAAATTATATTAATAATCACTTTAGACATCAATGGTTTAAATGTACCAATTAAAAGAGAATGTCAAAGTTGGTCATGCCACTGCACTTCAGCCAGGGTGACAGAGTGAGACCCTGTCTCAAAAAAAAAAGTAAAGGTGAGGGCCAGGTGTGGTGGCTCACACCTGTAATCCCAGTACTTTGGGAGGCCAAGACAGGAGGATCGCTTGAGACCAGGAGTTTGAGACCAACCTGGGCAACATAGTGAGACTCTGTCTCAACAACAACAACAAAAATTGTTTCTAAGTGAAGGAGAAATACTTTCTCAGACAAAAAAAATTAAGGGAATCTATTACCTTGCAAGAAATGTTAAAAGAAGTTCTTTAGAGAGAAGGGAAACAAAATATAGATCAGAAACCAGGATCTACATAAGGAAGGAAAAGCATTGGAGAATAAATTAGTGAAGGTAAAGTAAAAACTTTCATTTTTAAATTTTAGTTGATCTAAGAGATAAGTTGTTCAGCATAATAGCAACAATGTATTTGATTATGTGTGTCATATATAACTGTGTATAAATATATATACACACACATACATACACTTAGATATGCTTATGTGTAAGTGAAATTAATGACAGCAATGATATAAGGGACAAGAAGGAAGAATTAGGATTATCTTCTTATTATAAGGTACTCATACTACCTGTGAAGTAGTATAGTGTTATTTGAAAGTGGACTTGGGTTAGTTGTATGTTATAAATTCTAGAGCTACTAGAAAAAATAGAAAGAAGTACAACTGATACCCTAAGAAAGGAGGACAACAGAATCATATAAAATGCTCAATTAAAGTCACAAAAGGCATAAAAAGCATGGAAGACAAAAATAGCAACAAAGAACAACTAATAGAAAACAGTAATAAATATGGTAGATATCAATCCAATTATATTAATAATCACTTTAGACATCAATGGTTTAAATGCACCAATTAAAAAAGAATGTCCAAATTGGTCAAAGTTGAACAAAACCCAACTATATGTTGTCTACAAGAAGCCCACTTTAAATATAAAGACACATGTAAATTAAAAGTAAATGGATGGAGAAGGATGTAACATGCTAACATTAATCAAAAGAAAGTGAGAGTAGCTAAATTAATTTCAGACAGCACATACTTCAGAGTAAGGGAAGTGTATTAGTCTGTTCTCATGCTGCTATAAAGACATACCTGCGACTGGGTAATCTATAAAGAAAAGAGATTTAATTGATTCACCATTCTACATGGCTGGGGAGGCTTCAGGATACTTACAATTATGGCAGAAGGTAAAGGGGAAGCAAGGCACATCTTACATGGCTGGAGAAGGAAGAGAGAGTGAGGCAGGAGGTGCTAAACACTTTCGAACAACTGGATCTTGTGAGAACTCTATCACCAGACAGCACTAGGGGCATGGAGCTAAACCATTAGAAACCACCCCCATGATCCAATCACCTTCCACCAGGCCCCACCTTCAACACTCGGGATCACAATTCAACATGAGATTTGGGTGGGGACAGAGAGTCAAATCATATCAGGAACTTATCCAGGATAAAGAGGAACATTATTTAATGATTAAAAAGGTCAATTCTCCAAGAAGAAAAAACAATCTTTAATATGTATGTGCCTAAAAAAAGAATGTCAAAATATGTGAGGCAAAAATTGATACAACTGCAAGGAGGAGTAGGTGAAATTCACTGTTATCATTGCAGATTTTAATACCCCTCTATCAGCAGTGGACAGGTCCAGCAGGCAGAAAATCAGTGAGGACATAGTTGAACTCCACACCACCATAAACCAGCCAGATATAGTGGATATCTATAGACTACTTCACCCAACAACAGCAGATTACACATTCTTCTCAAGCTCTCATGGAATGTTAATCAAGAGAGACCACATTCTGGGCCATAAAACACAAATTAACAAACATGAAAGAATAGAAATCATGCAATGTATGCTCTCAGACCCTGATATGGTTTGGCTCTGTGTCCCCACCCAAATCTCATGTTGACTTGTGATCCCAAGTGTTGGAGGAGGGGCCTTGTGGGAGGTGATTGGATCATCGGGGTAGTTTCTGATGGTTTAGCACCATACCCCTAGTGCTGTCTCATGATAGAGTTCTCACAAGATCTGGTTGTTTGAAAGTGTATAACATTTCCCCCTGTGCTCTCTCTCTCTCTCTCTCTCACTCTTGCTCTCTCCCTCCCTCCCTCCTTCTTTCTCTCTCTCTCCCCCACTCACTGTGGTAAGACATGTCTTGCTTCCCCTTCACCTTCCGCCGTGATTGTAAGTTTCCTGAGGCCTCCCAGCCATACTTCCTGTATAGCTTGTGGAACTGCAAGTCAATTAAATCTCATTTCTTCATAAATTACCCAGTCTCAGGTATTTCCTTATAGTTGTGTGAGAACGGACTAATACAGACCCTAATGGAATTAAACTAGAAATCAGTAACAGAAAGATAGCTGGAAAACTCCCAAATACTTGGAGATTAAACAACAGACTTGTAAACACAAAAGTCAAAGAAGAAATCGCAAGAGAAATTTCAAAATATTTTGAACTAAATGAAAGTGAAGATACAACTTATCAAAATTTGTTGGAAAGTGGTTCTTTGAAGGACATTTATAGCATTGAATGCATATATTAGAAGAGAAGAAAGACGGGAAGCATTGGTGAGTGTCTGAAGGGAGAAAAACCCCTGAAGGCAGCTTGAAACAAAGAGAGGGGATTGGGACTAACAACCCCAGCCCACAAAATCGTGCTATTTATCTCAGCCAAAGGAGATGCAAAACCAGAGTGGCTGTTCTGCACCACCATGCTGTATGAGGCAGAGTCCATGAGTCTTCTGGGCATGAACCCCTAGCTAACCTTCCCACATAGCCAGGGCATCCCATTTTGGGACACCCCTAACCACAATCCAGGATGGGCAGCACTGCAAATGTTTTGGAGAACTGAGGCAAACCTTGGCTTAAGGCACCCATCTAGTCCTGAAAAGGAGGCAGTGACCTAGAGTAAAGGGGATTCAACAGGTGAACTGCAAAGAACCTGTAAGCAAACACACCCTAGAAAGACAAAAAGAAGCCAGCCAGCAAAGACTGGAATAAATAACTAATCCTTCAATGTGAAGACAAAGATGTAAGCCCAAAGGAACAACAGCAAACAGGAAACCATGACTTCCCCAAACAGACAAAGCAAGGAGACCGTGACCAGCCCTAACAAGATGGCGATGTGTGAGGTTTTGGATCAAGAATTCAAAATGGCAGTTTTAAGGAAATTCAGTGAATTCCAAGATAACACAGAAAAGAAATTCAGAAATTCATCAGATAAATTCAACAAATATATTGAAAATTTTTTAAATCAAACAGAAATCCTAGAACTGTGAGAAATGCATTTGCTGAACTGAAAAATGGACTAAAGGCTCTTGACAGCAGAATGGATAAAGTAGAAGAATCAGTGAGCTCAAGACAGGGTATTTGAAAATATACAGAGGAGGAAAAAAATATCTAAAATCAATTATCTAAGCTTTGGCCTTAGAAAATTACAAAAAGAAGAGCAAATTAAATCCAAAGTAAGCTGAAAAAAAAAGAAATAATAAAAATTACAGGAGAAATCAATGAAATTATCTAACATGGTGGTGTTTGTGTAAAAAAAAAATTTTGAAGAAATCAATGAAATTTAAATGGGTATTCAATAGAATAACAAAACTAAAAACTGGCTCTTTGAAAAGATTAATAAAATTGATAGGCCTCTAGCCAGGCTAACAAAAAAAAAGAGGGAGAGAGGACATAAGTTACAAATTACAAATAACAGAAATGAAAAGAGGGAACATTACTACAGATGCCACGAACATTAGAGCAATCATCAATAAATATTATGAACAACTTTATGCCCACAAATGTGATAACCTAAATAAAATGGACCAATTCCTTGATATAGTCTGCCAAAATTCACACAAGAAGAAATAGACAATTGAATAGAACTATATCTATTAAAGAAATTGAATCCACATACTAACCTTCTAAAACAGAAAGCACCAGGCCCAGATGGTTTCACTGGTGATTTCTACCAAACATTTAAGAATAGATTATATCAATTCTCTGTAGTCTCTTTAGGAGATGGAAGCAGAGGGAATACTCCCTAATTAATTCTATGAGGCTGGAATTCCCTTCATACCAAAACCAAAGACATTATAAGAAAAGTACAGACCAGTATCTCTCACGTAGATATAAAAATCCTCAGCAAAATATTAGCAAACCATATCCAACAATGTATACAAAGAATTATGCACCATGATCAAGTGATTTATCTCAGGTATGCAAAACTGGTTCAACATTTGAAAATAAATTATGTAACTCATCGCATCAACAAGCTAAAAAGGAAAATCACATGATTCTATCTATTGATGCTATCTTAGTCTGTTTATGCTGCTATAACAAAATACCTTAGGCTGGGTAATTTATAAACAACAGAAATTTATTTCTTCCAGTCCTAGAGGTTGGGAAGTCTAAGATCAGGATGCCAGCAGTATTGGTGTCTGATGATGTCTGCTGTCTGCTTCCAATGGCACTTTGTTGCTGCACCCTCTGGAGGGGAGGAACTCTTTGTCTTCACATAGTGGAAAGGATAAAAGGGTAAGAGGATGCTCCCTTCAACTGGGAGCCCTTTTATAAGGATGCTAATTCCATTCATGAGGACAGAGCCCTCATGACTTAATCACCTCCCAAAGGCTATACCTCTTAATATTGGTGCATTGGGAGTTATGTTTCAATAGGAATTTTGGAGGGAACACCATCATTCAAACCATGGCAAATGCGTAAAAAGGATTTGACAAAATCCAACATCCATTCACTATAAATGCTGTCAGTAAACTGGAAATATGGGAAACTTCCACATCATGTGTCATCAGGGAAATACAAATTAAAACAACAATGAGATACTACTACATACCTATTAGAATGAACCAAAATCCAGAGCACTGACAACACCAAATGCTGGCAAGCATATGAAGCAATATCTTTGCATTCATTTATTGCTGGTGGGAATGCAGAATGGCGCTGTCACTTTGGAAGACAGTTTGCTGGTTTTCACAAAACTAAATGTACTCTTACCATATGATCCAGAAACCATGCTCCTTGGTATTTACCCAAAGGAGTTGAAAAAGTTATGCCTACCCAAAACCCTGCATACAGATGTTTATAGCATCTTTATTCATAACTGCCAAAACTTGGAAGCAAGAAAAATGTCTTTCTTTGGACACCACTAAAAACTTGTAGCCCTCACTTAATAAGTGGTTTGAAGGGACACGCATAGTGGCTCACACCTGTAATTCTAGGACTTTAGAAGGCTGAGGTGGGAGGATTGCTTGAGGCCAGAAGTTTGAGACCAACCTGAGCAACATAGTAAGACCCTGTCTCTCCAATTTTTTTTTAATTAGCTGGGTGGTACATGCCTGTAGTCCTAGCTACTTGGGAGGCTGAGGTGGGAGGATCACTTGAGCCTAGGAATTTGAGGCTGCACTGAGCTGTGACTGCACCACTGCACCCCACCCCAGCATGGGCAACAAGAGCAAGACCCACGCTCTAAAAAATAATAATGCCAGCAAAGAATGGTTTGTTAATTTTAGAAAGGCATTTGAGAGTGAGATTCTGTCTTTTAAAAAATTAAATGAGTTGAAGGAACAAATGTGGTATATGTTGATTCCAGAATCTAAAGAGGCAACTCCAAGCACTTGGCCTTTTCTTCCATCAATAGCCCTCACTCCTCAGGTTGAAAGCCAGTATGGAGAGTCTGCTATCCCAGATTATCTATTCTGACTATACATTCAAGAATTAGGGAAATAACCACTGAGGAGATTCAGAAACATACATGTAGCCATTGAATCACTGCGGACGTGTCCTAAGATACACTGTGATTTTAAACTCCATTTTTCACCTCATTTCCTTAAGGTCCACACCTCGAATTGTGAAATTCAATGGTGTTTTGGGTTCCAAGCTATTAGTGTTGACTCAGAATCACTGTACTGCTGTTCGCCAAAAGTCTATATAATTCCCTTTCTCCAATGCCCAGTCCCCTTGATAAGAGGCTACAGGTCCTCTTAGGGGAATGTTTGGAAGAAGATCACATACTTGTGTCAGTATCACAGGGTTTTTCCTGAAGAAAACCTGGCATGCTCATCATTCAAAGGACTCTGGATCTGTGAGCTGACCCAGGCCTAGGGATTGAACAAGAAGAGGCCATTACTTTCCATTCTTGTCATTTAAATTGGGCCTTTGTTCACCAGACCTAAGGGGTTCTATTTATTTATTTACTTACTTCTTTGTTTGAAAATACATTTCAGGTAAGACTTTAATTGGCTGCCTGTATATTTTAGTCCTACAGTCATTGTCATCAACTAACTATGACAAGATAGCTATAGGTCAAACCCTTTGATTGTATCTCTGGCCCAATTTCCTACTAACATTAATAATACTTACCTTGTATCTGAAAGTTAAGCACTGCCGCTTGACCTCTGACACTGTGTAGTACCATCATCCCCATTAAAATCAGGGAGCCATTTCAGTGTTGGCACCTCCACCATTATCCTCAATAGGTTAGCATTATATAGCATTTCAAGTAATTTGGTGCTTTTTCACCAGTGTTATTTGGTAAAGCCTTGGTGAGGGGAGTATCTTTTGGATTCCCATGGTTATGAAGAGTAACTATAAACCCACCCCAAATTTCCTATCTGCTTAAACCTTTGGATGCCTTTTTCTCCCTTATGCCAAAGAAGTTTGGCACCTTAATATCATTTAATATAAGTCACTTGTGTGTCCAAGTTTCAGTCAATCAAAAGAGCAAACAAAGTCATTATTTTTTTTCAGACAGGGTCTCACTCTGTCGCCCAGGCTGGAGTGCAGTAGTGCCATCATGGCTCACTGTAGCCTCAACTGCCTGGGCTTAAGTCATCCTCTCACCGCAGTCTCCCAAGTAGCTGGGACTACAGGCATATGCAACCATGCCTGGCTATTTTATTATTATTATTATTGCATGTAGAGACAGAGTTTCAATATGTTGCCCAGGCTGGTCTTGAACTCCTGGGCTCAAGTGATCCACCTGCCTCGGCCTCCCAAAATGCTTGGATTACAAGCATGAGCCACTGCACCTGGCCCAAAGTCACTCTTAGATGTTCAAATTAACACATTAAATCCTGAATGTCCAATAAGTGTATTCATATTAATAAATTCAGCCTATTTAACATTACACTTGACTGTGAACAACATGGGTTTGAACTGTGTTGGTCCACTTGTATGCAGATTCTTTTGGAAAATTTTCTGGAGATTTGCCAGAATTTAAAAAAACTTGCAGATGAGCCACATAGCTTAGAAACATTGAAAAAGTTAGGCACGTTGTGAAAGCGTATATGTAGATACTATTTTATCTTTACTCCATAAAGTATACCTAACTCTATTATAAAGTTAACATTTATGAAAACACACACACAAACACTTACAGACCATACATAGCGTCATTTGCAGTTGAGAGAAAGGTAAACAAATGTAAAGATGCAGTATTAAATCATAACTGCATAAAATTAACTATAGTACACACTGTACTGCTGTAATAATTTCATAGCCACTGCATTTTGGTATTGCAGTAAGTTTATTTATTTATTTGTTTTGAGACAGATTCTCACTCTGTTGCCGAGCTGGAGTGCAGTGGTGCGCTCTCAGCTCACTGCAACCTCTGCTTCCCGGGTTCAAATGATTCTCCCGTTTCAGACTCCCTAGTAGCTGTGATTACAGGCATCTGCTACCACACCTGGCTAATTTTTGTACTTTTAGTAGAGGTGAGGTTTCACCATGTTGGCCAGGCTTGTCTCGAACTCCTGACCTCAAGTGATCCACCCGCCTCGGCCTGCAGCGAGCTCACATGTTGCAAGTATCCTCTTAAAATGCCATGTGACACCAATCTTCTTTGCATGAGCAGGTTCCTCTGGCCAGTAAATTTTGTGTTGAATTAAAAAGAAATCTCTCGTGGGTCTCAAGTATTTTTCACTGTGTTTAGTGCAATACCATAAACCTTAAATTACAGCATGGGACTCATACAAAGTAGCCACTAGTGACGTCGGAAATGCTGCCAAGAAACAAAGAAAAATTATGACATTACAATAAAAAGCTGAATTGCTTCATAGGTACCATAGATGAAGTCTGCAACTGTGGTTTCTCAACATTTCAAGATAAATGAATCCACCATGAGGACCGTTATAAAAAAAGAAAAGCAAATTCATGAAGCTGTTGCTGCAGCTGTGCTAGCAGGCGTAAAAACCATGCACTTTTTGTGAAATACCTTTTTATCCATATTGAAAATGCAGCTTTTATGTTGGTGCAGGATTACTATAAGAAGGGCATATCTATAGATTCTAATATGACTCAAGAAAAAGAGAAGTCATTATATGACAATTTAAACCAAAAGGAAAGTGAAGAATTTAAAGTTGGAGAATTTAAAGCTAGCAAAGTAGCAGCTACTAGGGAAGCCGAGGTGGAAGGATCACTTGAGACCAGGAGTTTGAGGCTACAGTGAGTTATGATTGCACCTTTGTACTCTGGCCTGGGCAACAGAGAAAGACCCAATCTCTAAAAAATAATAATGCCAGCAAAAGATGGTTTGTTAATTTTAGGAAGAGGTTTAGCTTTAAAAAGGGTGGTTTGTTAATTTTAGGAAGAGGTTTAGCTTTAAAAATGTCAAGAAAACAGGAGATGCAGTTTCTGCTGACAGAGACAGCAGGTGAGTTCCCAG
Source organism: Homo sapiens (assembly GCF_000001405.40). Lineage (NCBI taxonomy): Eukaryota > Metazoa > Chordata > Mammalia > Primates > Hominidae > Homo > Homo sapiens. The sequence goes on from NC_000001.11 coordinate 42,607,415, forward strand.
ATGCCGTTAAGAAGATAATTGTGACCAGGCACAGTGGCTCACTCCTGTAATCCCAACATTTTGGAAGGCTGAGGCAGGAGGATCACTTGAGGCCAGGAGTTCGAGATCAGCCTGGGCAACATAGCAAGAACTTGTCTCTATAAAAAAAAAAAAAAAAAAGAAAGGAAGGAAGAAAATCATTGAGGAAATAGGATATCTGCTGAACAGTTTTTGAATGTGGGTGAAAGTGCCCTGTTCTGGGAAAAAAAAAAATCACAAAGGACATGTATTAGTAAGGAAAATCAGTGAACACGGATTTAAAGCAGAAAGGGATATCTATGAAGCTTCTAATCCCCAAGCCTTGAAGGGAAAAGGTAAACACCAGCTGTCAGTCATTTCATTGTATAAAAAGAAGGTCTGCACAACAGGAACTCTTTTTTTAGATTGATTCCATCTATGCTTTCTGCCTGAAGTCAAGAAGTACCTTGGTAACAAGGGACTGCCTTTTAAGGTTCTTTTGATGTTGGACAAATGCCCCTGGCCACCCAGAACCACATGAGTTCAACACCAAAGATGTTGAAGTGGTCTACTTGCCCCCAAACACCATGTCTGTAATCCAGCCTCTAGACCAGGGATCATACGGCCCTTTAAGGCTCATTACCATGTCTGTAATTCAGCCCCAAACACCATGTCTGTAATTCAGCCTCTAGACCAGGGGTCATAAGGCCCTTTAAGGCTCATTACCATGTCTGTAATTCAGCCCCAAACACCATGTCTGTAATTCAGCCTCTATATCAGGGGTCATAAGGCCCTTTAAGGCTCATCACACACGGTACTCTATGGAAAGGATTGTCAACTATGGAAGAGAACCCCGATAGAGAGAGAAGTCTGGAAGGATTGCACTGTTGAAGATGCCATCATTGTTTTTGTTTGTTTTGATTTTTGTCATTTTTAGTTTATGTGGCAAGTGACAGGCACGGACATGCCATCATTGTTATAGAAAAAGCTGTGAAAGCCATCAAGTCTGGCCGGGCACTGTGGCTCACGCCTGTGATCCCAGCACTTTGGGAGGCCGAGGCGGGCGGATCACGAGGTCAGGAGATCGAGACCACCCTGGCTAACACCGTGAAACCCGTCTCTAGTAAAAATACAAAAAAAAATTAGCCGGACGTGGCGGTGGGCGCCTGGGTAGTCCCAGCTACTCGGGAGGCTGAGGCGGGAGAATGGCGTGAACCCGGGAGGCGGAACTTGCCGTGAGCCGAGATCGCGCCACTGCCCTCCAGCCTGGGCGACAGACAGAGCGCGACTCCGTCTCTCTGTCTCAAAAAAAAAAAAAAAAAAAAAAAAGATATGAATCTTGGAGAAATTCAAGAGCAAATAGACACCACATCCAGAGGAGGAATTACCATAAGACAACTTGATGGAGATTAGCACTTTCAAACCAGTGCCACATGATGAGGAAGAAAACAGAAAAAGCAGTACTAGAAAACAAATTGACCTTAGACAATCTGGCAGAAGGATTCCAAATATTCAAGACTGCTTTTGACAGATTTTACAATATGGACATTTCTATGTGATACAGGCACTGAAACTAACACAAACAATGAAAGAAGGATTTGTACTGTATAGAAATATTTTTAGGGAAATGAAAAAGCAAAAAAGTCAAATTACAGTGTATTTCTGTAAAGTTATACTGAGTGTCCCTGCCTTTCCTGCCTTCCCTTCCACCTTCTCCACCTCTTCCAGCTCTGCCACCCCTGAGATAACAAGACCAATTTCTCCTCTTCTCCTCCTCCTCAACCTACTCAACATGAAGACAATGAGGATGAAAAATTTTGTGATGATCCACTTCTACTTAATGAATAGTAAATATATTTTCTCTACCTTATCGTTTTCTTAATAAAATTTTATTTTCTCTAGTTTACTTTATTGCAAGAGTACAATACATGATACACATACAAAATATGTGTTAACTGCTTATGTTGTTGATAAGGCCTCTAGTTAACAGTAGGCTATTAGTAATTTGGTGGGGAGTCAAAAAAATCATAATGCAGATTTTCAACTGTGTGGGGGGTCAGTGCCCCTAACTCTCATGTTGTTCAGGGGTTAGGGGCACTGATTAGTGTAACTCCCTACAAATACATTCCTGAATATAGTCCTAGAGTTTTTGCCAATTTAAGTTGGCAAAATCTTGCCATTCTTTCAATATGGCAGTCCCAAAGTCAGTCCCTACACTTAACCCCAACTAACCATGGTGTGCTGGGATCCAACTGTAGTTACAGGATTGGAGACAATGAGAAGTGGTGGTGGTATAGAGGTGGGCCTCGAGGACTATAGGCATCCCCTTACAAGGTAAGTGCCTTGGGTGAAATCAATACAGAATCTTCAAACTTAATCTCCTTAGACAGGAGTGGAGGGAGTGCTTGTGATGGCAAGAGAGGCACTGTAATTCTCAGGTTTCCACGCATTCCCAAAGCCTGTTTCTCACATAAGAGACCTAGCAAGCCTGTGAAATCAATTAGTGCTGTAATTCTGCAGTCCACTTGATATTTGGGATTTGGTTTTTGGATATATCGGTCTTCTGACTACAAGAGAGAAATTATTTTAGGACACTCATAGAAGATCTGTGGTTCTCAGACAATGCCTTGTTCCAGTAATTAAATCCCCAAGTTGGACATTTTCTTCTAAGCTCAGTAACATGATCAGATGTGGCTAGCCCACCTCACAATCCTTGTAGTCCTCAATTCCATTATAACATTTTTTATACCACTCATGTGGTCTTCCAAAGTACTTCATTACCAGCAACTATAAGTGATAATCAATTCTTTTGCCATAGATTGCTAGAACTAGTGACAAGACTATATCACCTTCAAAGCTAGCCAAGTCAGATAACCAATCCCAAATTCCTAATTTTGAGTTTCTCATCACTGCAGTCACTTATAGAACCAAATATTTTATCAGAGTTAATTAACTGAAGAGAACAGCTTTCACTTTATATACTTTAAGCTGGGAGATTTTTTGTTTTTTTGTTTTGTTTTGTTTTGTTTTGAGACAGAGTCTGGCTCTGTCACCCAGGCTGGAGTGTGGTGGCATGATCTCAGCTCACTGCAACCTCTGCCTCCTAGGCTCAAGCCATTCTCCTACTTCAGCCTCCCATGTAGCTGGGACTATAGGCACACACCACCACACCTGGCAAATTTTTATATTTTTTTGTAGATATGGGGTTTTACCATATTGCCCAGCCTGGTCTCAAACTCCTGAGCTCAAGCTATATGCCTGCCTCAGCCTCCCAAAGTCCTGGGATTATGGGTGTGAGTCATCACACGCGGCCTTGGAAGATTTTTAATAAAGGGAATTAGATGCTTACAAAATTATTGGGAAGGCTGGGGAAGCAAAAGGCAAGGGGAAATAGTTGCTGACTTTCAGAAAATCTGGAAGTACAGGAATCCCGTGAAGCTACTATGATCTCAGAAGCAGGAGTGACTATAAGCTTTTTTTTTTTTTTTTACCAGAAAGACTTTGCATTTCTTCAACATCATACCTTTGTCAGGTCAGAGTTCTCATTATTTTTCAATGTTTTTCAGCATGTCAAAAGCAACCAGGAATTGTCAGAGAAGCTATCTAAGCTACAGCAAGAGAAGGAAGCTCTACGTGAAGAATATTTGCGATTATTGAAGCTGCTTAATGTCCATGTGAGGTAAACAAAGACAAGTTCTCTTTGGAAGAAAACTATGTAGAGTAGTTATTTCTTGCTGAGCAGGCTCTAGGGCTAAATGGTGGGCTGCTCACTGAAGCAACCTTTCAAGAGGGCCATCATAAAATTCCTATGTTTCCAAAAGTGCTATCCACAGGGCTTTTCCTAGGGAAATATGGGGCCTAATTTCTTCTCAAGAGAGGGAAGGAGAAGGGAATTACCATTCATTGAGCTTTGATGGTATTGAACTTGTTTTTCCCCAAATACACCCTTCTCACTTGCCTTCACACTTTTTTTCACCTCACATACTTTCCTCAGCCTGAACCACCCTCTCCTCATTTAAAGAGCTTTTTTATTTTTTATTTTAGAGAACTGACACAAAATATTACTAATATGTATATTATATAGATGTTATATATAATGATATACCTATTACATATATGGTACTTATATATTCTCTCTTTCTATACATACATACATACATACATATATGTATATCAGGCAAATACCATTGTCCAAAGGTAAAATGACATTTGGTTTTTAGGCAGTTAATTTTTTTTTCATTTTACATATAATGAAACAACATTGCAAAAAAAAATTCTTTTTTCAGATAGGATCTCACTCTGTCACCCAGGCTGGAGTGGAGTGTCACGATCACAACTCACTGCAGCCTCAACCTCCTGGGCTCAAGTGATCCTCCCACCTCAGTCTCCTGAGTAGATGGGACTGCAGTCATGTACAGGCTCACCCAGCTCACTTTTTAATTTTTTTATAGAGACAGGGGTCTCACTATGTTGCCTCAAGTGATCCTCCTTCCTTGGCCTCCCAAAATGCTGGGATTATAGGCAGGCATAAGCCACTGTGCCCAGTGCAATTTTTTTTTTGTAATTATTTATGGCACACCTCTCAGTGTAAAATTTTTGAATGAAACAAAACTTATGCAGACATTCTCCCAAGTTCACTCCTAGTGTCTTGTCAATAAACATAATTTTATGGTTTTATTATAGCTTTCATAAAAGTTTTATACTGTCTTTCTCTTAATATCATATGATAAGCATTGTGCTTTGTTGCTATAGTCTTCAAATTTGCTATTTCCATAAAACTTAATATTTCATGAAGTTGATATGCCCTTGCACTAACAGCAGCAGTTAAACAGGGTACAACTGCTAACAGACAAACAGAACATACAATTACAGTGCTAACAAATGTATACCTTATTTCAGGAATAGGATATCATATAGAAACAGCATTAGAGGAAGAATATGCATTAGAGCCCATGTGTGTTTCACAGCAAGGGGGCCAGAGAAGTCAGGCAGCAGCTGCAATGTTGTTCACTCTGTAAGGGTCGTGGCTGGATGCACTTCCTCCCTCAGATCAGGAACCACTCATGTGTGCATTGACCACCTCACAACCAGGGAGCCCAAAACCAAGTCTCAGCTGAGATTTTATTAAATACTTTTTATATTCTGTTGTTCACATAAGCATATTCCTGCCATGTAACCTGTTTCAAGAGCAGAGACTTCTTGGGGGTCTCAATGAGACCAGGTGCAAATCATCATTATCACTGTTATCAATAAACAATGCTGATAAACTGGTACAAACTGCCATGAAACTACTTGGACCTGAGGTTATGATGCCACACTATTTTAATCGTTATATTTCCCTCTGTCGTATGCTTGACCAACAGTCAGTGCCAAACAGGCACTTTAGCAAAACAGTTTAGGTTAATCCTAGACCTGCTGGAATTAACTCTCACAACATAATCCTAATTTGGTTAAGAATTACTCACTGGTCTGATGGTTGAATATTTTTATTCAAAACAGTGCTGAAAAAAATCATTTTAGTATTATATTTTTCATTTTTAAATTTATTTTTATAGAACTATAGATCTTAAAATGTATTGACAAACATTCCAAAGTATCCTACTATTACCAGAAAGGGGTCCTGAACCCAGACCCCAACAGAGGGTTCTTGGAAATCATGCAAGAAAGAATTCGGGGCAAATCTAAAAAGTAAAGTAAAAGCAAACTTACTAAGGGAGTAAAGAAATAAAAGAATGTCTGCTCTATAGACAGAGGCTGCCCCGAGGGCTGCTGGTTGGCTATTTTTATGGTTATTTCTTGATTGTAAATATGGGGTGGATTATTCACGTGCTTTATTTTATTTTATTTTATTTTAGTTTTTTGAGGCGGAAACTCGCTCTGTCGCCCAGGCTGGAGTGCAGTGGCACGATCTCGGCTCACTGCAAGCTCCGCCTCCCAGGTTCACGCCATTCTCCTGGCTCAGCCTCCAGAGTAGCTGGGACCACAGGCGCCCACTGCCACGCCCGGCTTATTTTTTTTTGTATTTTTAGTAGAGACGGGGTTTCACCGTGTTAGCCAGGATGGTCTCGATCTTCTGACGTGATCCACCCGCCTCGGCCTCCCAAAGTGCTGGGATTACAGGCGTGAGCCACCGTGCCCGGCCTATTCATGTGCTTTCTGGGAAGGGGACAGGAATTTTTCCAGAACTGAGGGTTCCTCTTTTTTTTAGTCTATATAGGGTAATTTCCAGATGTTGCCATGGCATTAGTAAACTGTCATGGCGCTGATGGAAGTGTCTTTTATCATGCTAATACATTATAATTAGCATATAATGGGGAGTGAGGACGACCAGAGGTCACTTTCATTGCCATATTGGTTTTGGCTGGTTTTGGCTGGCTTCTTTACTGTATTCTGTTTTATCACAGGGATCTTTGTGACCTGTATCTTGTGCCGACTTCCTATCTCATCCTGTGATTAAGAATGCCTAACTCATGGGAATGCAGCCCAGCAAGTCTCATTCTCATTTTACCCAGCTTATTCAACATGGAGTTGCTCTGGTTCAAATGCCTCTGACACTACCAAATTTTTCTGCCTTCATTATATAAGAGTAGCAATTTTACCACATCCTCGTTAGCATTGAATACTACTATTGATGGGGGAGAGAGGTTCTGATGAAATTTTCCCCAATATTCTTTTTTTTTTTTTTTTGAGATGGAGTCTCGCTCTGCCGCCCAGGATAGAGTGCAGTGGCCGGATCTCGGCTCACTGCAAGCTCCACCTCCTGGGTTCACGCCTTTCTCCTGCCTCAGCCTCCCGAGTAGCTGGGACTACAGGCGCCCGCCACTACGCCTGGCTAATTTTTTGTATTTTTATTACAGACAGGGTTTCACCGTGTTAGCCAGGATGGTCTCGATCTCCTGACCTCGTGATCCACCCGCCTCGGCCTCCCAAAGTGCTGGGATTACAGGCGTGAGCCACCGCACCTGGCCAATATTCTTTAATTGAGATATAATTTGCGTATAATAAATGCAAAGATTTTTAAATGTACAATTGGATAAGTTTTGACAAATGTTTGTGCCCATATTACCACCACCCCAATGAAGATACAGAACAGGGCCAGGCGCAGTGGCTTATGCCTGTAATCCCAGCACTTTGGGAGGCTGAGGCGGGCAAATTACGTGAGCTCAGGAGTTCAAGACCAGGCCAGGCAACATGGTGAAACCCTGTCTCTACCAAAAATACAAAAATTAGCTAGGCATGGTGGTGCACATCTGTGGTCCCAGCTACTCAGGAGGCTGAGGCAAGAGGACCACTTGAGCCCAGGAGGCAGATATTGCAGTGAGCCAAGATCATGCCACTGCACCCTAGCCTGAATGACAGAGTAAGACTCCATCTCGAAAAAAAAAAAAAAGATACAGAATATTTCTACTGTCCTTTAAAAGTTCTCTATGACCTGTTTGCAGATGATCTGCACCTACTGCTTCTCCCATCTCCCTCCAAGTAGCTACTGTTCTGATTTCTGCCTGTCCTAGAATTTCTTCTAAATGGAATTATACTACATGTAATGGTAACCATAATAGGTTTGTTGCCCAATGCACACAGCAAGTCAATACACCAAGCCACTGGGTTGCAGCAGAGAAAGAGGTTTAATCGTAGAGTCATCAAATGAGGAGATGGGAGGAAACCTCAAATCCATCTCCTTGAGGAACTTAGGTTTAGGGTTTTTAAGGATTTTGGATTGGGCCAAAATGTGAAGATGGTTGATAGGTCAAAGAGTCCAGGGTGAAGTCATAGGACAGGGAGATGAAGTAGCTATATTCTCATGCTGATGCTGTTCCTCTCTGGGGGTTTTCAAACTGGTTGCTGGAATTTGTGTCTGAAAAACATCTTAAGCAACTCCTTTGGTTTGTTTGTTTGTTTTTTGAGACAGGATCTCACTCTCTTGCCCAGACTCTGGAGTGCAGTGGCCTGATCTTGGCTCACCGCAACCTCTACCTCCCAGGCTCAAGCAATTCTCCTGCCTCAGCCTCCCGAGTAGCTGGGATTACAGGCGCACGCCACTACTGCCCGGCTAATTTTTATATTTTTAATAGAGATGGGGTTTCACCATGTTGGCTAGGCTGGTCTTGAGCTCCTGACCTCAAATGATCCACCCGCCTCAGCCTCCTGTAATCCCTGCTGGGATTAAAGGTGTGAGCCACCGCGCCCGGCCAAGCAATTCTTAAAAAAAACCCTACGATTCTAAATGTTAGAGGTCCTGTCTGTAGGAACAATGGGGATGCAAATGATCAGTATCTAATGCTGTGTGACTTTTAGCAACAAGGAAGTGGACCAAAGTGAAGCCTGATTAATGCTTTATTATAATTATATTGCTGTCCAGAACCCAGCATGTACTTCCTGTCAACCTTGTTGGGGCAGCTTCATACTCTTTTGTGTCTGACTTCTTTTGTTCAACATATTCTATTATTTTTAAGTGCACTTATAGACAGAAATTACTTGTGATTTTATTTTGAACTTGTTTTTTGTTTTTTTGGTTTTTTTTTTAGATGGAGTCTCGCTCTGTCACCTAGGCTGGAGTGCAGTGGCACAATCTCTGCTCACTGCAACCTCCGCCTTCTGGGTTCAAGCGATTCTCCTGCCTCAGCCTCCCGAGTAGCTGGAACTACAGGTGCATGCCACCACACCCAGCTAATTTTTTTATTTTTAGTAGAGACAGGGTTTCGCCATATTGGCCAAGCTGGTCTCGAACTCCTGACCTCAGACGATCCACTCGCCTTGGCCTCCCAAAGTGCTGGGATTACAGGCATGAGCCACTGTGCCTGGCCTATTTTGAATTTCTTTGATGGCTAGTGAGGCTGAATGTTTTTCCACATTATTTGTACACAGCCTTTTAGGGTGGTGGATTCTGACCCCGCTGCACATGCCTGGGCTCCAACATAGAAGAATAAAATAAAAACCTGTGGGCACAGGGTCTGTGGATCAATACTTTTCTAAAAGCATCCTTGTGTGATTCTAATGTGCATCCGAGGTTGAAAACTATATTTAGGAAAGAAAATGGAAGGAATTAATTGAAACTCTACCTTTATTTTTGTTTTCATTTCCCTGATCCCAGTCCTGACTTTCACAGGCAATGGTTATTTTTTACGTTTTCTCTACCACTTTTCCAGAGGAACAGTTCCCTTGCTTTTTTCAAATCAAAGTATAGACAACCTGGTTTTACTTAAACACAAGCTAAAAGTTGTTCCTAAATTTTAGAACATAAATATTGTGTCACCTCATAACATTAATAGTTAACAAAGCCAAAAATAAGCATAGAAAATCTACATGTTCTTCAGGCAAGGTAGCCAACAGGACTTCAGACCGAACCAATAGTAGCGACAAATAGCCAGCAATGACAAGGGAAGCTCTAAGTTCTCACCAGCTGTACTGCATCAACATGCTTTCCAAACCGTGTGTAACATTACGGAGAGTATCCTAAATATCAAATAATAGGAGACTAATTAGGTAAAGTATAATACAGTCACTTAATAGGACATAATACAGCTGTAAAGGATGATGGCTGTGAATATTAGATAACAATGTGGGAAAATGCTTATACTGTAATAAGTGAAAAGAGCATACGATAAACATTTTGATGCAGACAATGTTTAAACAAAAGATGCTTATAAAAGGAATTAGAAGGAAATACAATATCATAGTACTGGTCATATTGGGAGTTGGGGATTTTCCCAAACTTTCTGTAATTAATTCTTTTAAATAATAAATTGGTCTGGCATGGTGGCTCACACCTGTAATCCCAGCACTTTCAGAGGCCAAGGCAGGAGGATCACTTGAACCCAGGAGTTCAAAACCAGCCTAGGGAACGAAGTGAGATCTCGTCTCTACCAAAAAAAAATTTTTTTAAGGAATAAATTAATTTTTTTAATTACCCAAATGGCAGAATAAGAGAGCAGCTGTCTGGCATGAGAAGTTAGAGACTTGGGTTTTAATATTCCAGTATAGGATAGGTGAAAGAAATTCCAGAAATGTAACACCCAATGGGTTCTACTTGTCCACTGCCTAGACAGAGCTGATTTATCAAGACAGGGGAATTGCAAGACAGAAAAAGATTAATTCATGCAGAGTCAGCTGTATGGGAGACGAGAGTTTTATTACTCAAATCAGTCTCCCCAAAAATTTGATGATAGGGGTTTTTAAGGAAAATTTGGTGGGTAGGGGGTTAGAAAGTGGGGAGTGTTGATTGATCAGGTCGAAGACTAAATCACAGAAAGTTGAAGCTGTCCTCTTGCACTGAGTCAGTTCCTGGGTGGGGGCCACAAGACCACATGAGCCAGTTTATCTATCTAGGTGTCATCAGCTGGTGCACCTCAACACAGGGTCTGCAAAATATCTCAAGCACTGATCTCAGGTTTACAACAGTGACTCCTAAACCATAATTTCTAATCTTGTGGCTCATTTGTTAGTCCTGCAAAGGCAGTCTAGTCCCCAGGCAAGAAGGGGGTTTGTTTTGGGAAAGGGCTGTTATCAAGTTTGTTTTGAAGTTAAACTATAAACTAAGTTTCTCCCAAAGTTAGTTGGGCCTACACCTAGGAATGAACAAGAACAGCTTGGAGGTTAGAAGTAAGATGGAGTTAGTTAGGTCAGATCTCTTTCACTATTATAATTTCTTCAGTCATAATTTTTGCAAAAACAGTTTCAGAAGTACATGTTGTATTATAAACGATGTTAAAACATCAGAGCAACTGTGAACAGCTGGGAAACCCAGAGGATGACAGGTATACTGCTGGATCTTACATCTCTGAAGCTATAGACTGGAGGATGTTGAAAACCAGTGATATCTTTTTTTTTTTTTTTTTTTTTTTTGAGATGGAGTTTTGCTCTTGTTGCCCAGGCTGGAGTGCAGTGGTGCCATCTCAGCTCACCGCAACCTCCGCCTCTCAGGTTCAAGCAATTCTTCTGCCTCAGCCTCCCGAGTAGCTGGGATTACAGGCATGTGCCACCACGCCCAGCTAATTTTGTATTTTTAATAGAGACAGGGTTTCTCCATGTTGGTCAGGCTGGTCTGGAACTCCCGACCTCAGGTGATCCACCTGCTTCGGCCTCCCAAAGTGCTGGGATTACAAGCGTGAGCCATCATGCCTGGCTGAAAACCAGTGATATCTTTTACCAAACGTTCCTAGCAGAAAGGAGAATGAGAACAGTTATGAAGTGTACCTTTTTGTAAAGAATACCTCCTTATAAAGAACCTAAGTCACAGCTGTGGTAATTGTGAACAACACAGTCTGCAAAAGTACATGCCTATATTATGTAGTGGGTGCTGATGGTGGCTCAATGGATCAAAAGCCTAGGCTCCCTCTATCTTGTTTTTGCTTCACCATCTTTAACATGTTTCCCTTATCCACATAGTTCAAAATAATTCACTACCATATCCACATATCAGGCAGTAAGAAAGAACGACGGGAAGGCAAGGGCATTCCATTTTCCTTTAAGGCACACTACTTCCATTCATATTCTGTTGGCCAGAACTTACTTACATGGCCTCATTTAACTGCAATAACTCATCCTATGCTGAGTAATATTCTGTTGGCCAGAACTTACATGGCCTCATATAACTGCAAGGAAAGCCAGAAAATGTAGTTCCTATGCTGAGTAAACCAGTGCCCAGCAAAAAAAAATCGGGGTATATAATGTAGAAGAAGGAGAAGTTGGATTGGGTACAACCCCAGCAGTCAATCACTCCGGCATGCACTGACAAGCAAGCTATATCTAGCTTTGTATACATGCCTCTGGCCTACAGGAAGCCAAACTGTTCAGTTTGGTATCTGGCTAAATTAATCTCTTCAGGGAAAAACATGCAAAATGATTCTTTTATGTACACTTAACAAATAGGAGAAAGAGGAGTACTATTTTGGAAAATGGAGGAGCCCTGCAAAAACGCATTTAAGGGTAAGACATAACTTAGCAGGGGCCAAGGGAAAACTTCTCCTTTACCCTCTGAAGGTTCACTGAAAAATCAACTGACAAAAGGCAGATAAATAGGAGAAATAGTATGCAAATCTATTAATGTGTGTGTGGGAGAACCACAGAAAGATTACCCCAGTCTCCAATGAGGTATAGAAGCTTATACACCATCTTGAGATTACAGAAAGAATGGGGGCTTAGATCATGGCAAAACAGGTTAAGGGAAGGGGAGAAGAGGAGGCCTCCCTAGCAAAGGTGGTCTTGTTATATAGATGAAACCTCACAGGTATTATAGCAGCCCTCAGAGAGAATAGATAGTCAATATCGCTTTCACACCTTTAAAGGTTTCAGACTCTCAGTGAATCTTTCCTAGATCTGACAAAGGAAGGAAGGCCCTCAGAGAAAGCCTGGCTGAATTTATTCTCTATAGATGCAAATCCCCGCCCCCCATCCACCTGCTCCCATGAAAGACAACTTTTCAACTGTTCTTGTATTTCCAGCCATTCTGAATAGGTATCCTGAAATATATCAAGGAAATATACTTTGGAGTGAAATATTTTCATTTCCTTCAACTTACAAGGATATAGGACTCCCTTGGAGTAGTTCTTCCATACCAGTTTAACTAAAATTAGCATCTAGATAAGTCTGCTTTGTTCTTCCAATCCCTTCTGGTTGTACAAAATGAAGTATATCTCATCAGGAGAAATCAGGAATATCTGTTTGCCTACTTTTGTTAGTATTATAGCAGTGGGGTATGATGGGAAGATCATAGGCTCTGGGGTCAGATTCTTCTCTTTAGAATAACTTCTTTTAAATAACTTCTCAGGAGCTAAATGATAAAAACCTATGAACACAAAGAAGGAAACAACAGATGCTGAGGTCTACTTGAGGAGTAGGGGAAGAGAGAGAGGAGTAGAAAAGAACTATTGGGTACTGTGCTCAATACCTGGGTGATGAAATAATATCTGCAACAAACTCCTGTGGCACGTTTTGACCTGTGTAATAAACCTTCACATGTGCCCCCAAACCTAAAATGAAATGTAAAAAAACAAGCTTTTATAAAACTAGAAAACACCAGTAACCTTGAACTGTACAATATTTGAGGAAGAGCTGCCTGCAGGGAAGTTCAAACAAGAGTGTGGGGAAATACCTACAGACCTCGCTGGCTCAAGATCTCAAATAAATCAGGCAGAGCACAGTTATTCAAAGTATGTGGGACAATATGAGGGGCAAAAAAAAAAAAAAAGTAACTTGTCTCTCAGGAATCTCCAAGACTCCCCTCAGGTTTGATGACTCCCTAGAATGAAGTGCAAAACTCAGAAAAACAGCTATGGTTATGGTTTATTACAGTGAAAGGATACAGATTAAAATCAGCTAAGGAAAAAGGCACACAGCTCACAGATCTCAAGAAAAGACTTACTTATGTTACCCATCTATTACAAAGGATATTACAAATGATACAGATGAACAGCCAGGTGGAAGAGATGAACAGAGCACATCATCCCTTCCCATGAAGGGGCTTGGAGTTTCTATACCCTCTCTGGGTGCACCACCCTCCAGGAACCTGTGTTCAGCTATTTAGAAGTCCCCCAAACCCAGTCCTTTTGGGCTTTTTTGAAAGTTTCATGAGGTAGCCATTGTCAACCTAAAGGGAAGAAGCTGAGGCAAAATTAATGTAAGTAGAGAATTTATTTGATCCAGGCTTAGGGATTACAACCCAGAGCATAGATTCAAATTGCCCTGAATATACAATCTGATTAGCAGAAGTTACAAGTGGATTTTTAAACAAAAATTTTATTTTTAATTTTTATAGGTACATAGTAGGTGTGTGTATTTATGCAGTACATGAGATGTTTTGATACAGGCATGCAATGAGTAATAATCACATCGTGGAGAATGGGGTACTCATCCCCTCAAGCATTTGCATTACAAATAATATGATTATACTTTTTTGGTTTTTCTCTTTTCTTTTCTTTTTTCTTTTTCAGGGTCTTGCTTTGTTGCCCAGGCTGGGAGTGCAGTGGCGCAATCTCAGCTCACTGCAGCCTTGACCTCCTGGGCTCAAGTGATCCTTCCACTTCAGCCTCCACAGTAGCTGGGACTGCAGGCATGTGCCACCACACCTGGCTAATTTTGTTTATTTTATTTTATTTATTTATTTATTTATTTATTTATTTTGAGATGGACTCTCGCTCTGTGGTCTAGGCTGGAGTGCAGTGGCGTGATCTCTGCTCACTGCAAGCTCCGCCTCCCGGGTTCACGCCATTCTCCTGCCTCAGCCTCCGGAGTAGCTAGGACTACAGGCGCCTGCCACCACGCAGGCTAATTTTTTTGTATTTTTAATAGAGACAGGGTTTCACTGTGTTAGCCAGGATGGTCGCGATCTCCTGACCTTGTGATCCGCCCGCCTCGGCCTCCCAAAGTGCCGGGATTACAGGTGTGAGCCACCGCGCCCGGCCTAATTTTGTTTATGTTTGTAGAGTCAAGGTCTTACTATGTTGCCCAGGCTGGTCTCGAACCTGTGTGCTCAAGCAATTCTCCTGCCTCAGCCTCCCAAAGTGCTGGGATTACGGGTGTGAGCCACTGCAACTGGTCTGTTTCTTTAGTTATTTTTAAATGTACAATCTAAAAAAATGTACAATTATTGACTATAGTCTTATTCATTCTTTATTTTTTATAGTTAAAACTTTTTTTATAGTCATACGCATTAACCATCCCCACCTCCCCCAATTTCCCCACTACTCTTCCCAGTCTCTGGTAACCATCTTGTACTCTCTATCTCCATGAGTTGAATTGTTTTGATTTTTAGATCCCACAAATAAATGAGAACATATGATGTTTGTCTTTCTGTGCATGGCTTATTTCACTTAGCATAATGACCTCCAGTTCCATCCATGTATTGCAAATGACAGGATCTCATTCTTTTTTACGGCTGAATAGTATTCCATTATGTATAAGTACCATATTTTCTTTATCCAATCATCTGTTGGTGGACATTTAGGTTGCTTGCCAATATTGGCTATTGTGAACAGTGCTGCAAAAAACATGGGAGTGCAGATATCTCTTCGATATACTGATTTCCTTTCTTTTGGATATATACTCAGCAGCGGGATTGCTCAAATATATGATAGCTCAATGTTTAGGTTTTATTGTTTTTTGTTTTTGAAACAGTCTTGCACCTTCTTTCTCACTGCAAACTCTGCCTCCCAGGTTCAAGCAATTCTTCTGCTTCAGCCTCCTGAGTAGCTGGGATTACAGGCGTACTTATGCACCACCGCACCTGGCTTTTTTTTTTCTTTGTATTTTTAGTAGAAATGGGGTTTCGCCATGTTGGCCAGGCTGGTCTTGAACTCCTGAAGTGATCCGCCCGCCTTGGCCTCCCAAAGTGCTAGGATTACAGGCATGGGCCACTACGATGCCCAGCCTCAATTTTTAGTTCTTTGAGGGACCCCCAAGATGTTCTCCATAGTGGTTGTACTAATTTACATTCCCATTAATAGTGTATGAGGGTTCCCTTTTCTCCACATCCTCATCAGCATTTGTCATTGCCTGTCTTTTGCATAAAAGCCATTTTAACTGGGGTGCGATGACCTCTCATTGTAGTTTTGATTTGCATTTCTCTGATAATCAATGATGTTGAGCACCTTTTCATATGCCTGTTTGCCATTTGTATGTTTTCTTTTCAGAAATGTCTATTCAAATATTTTGACCATTTTAAAATCAGATTATTGGATTTTTTCCTACATAGTTGTTTGAGTTCCTTATATATTCTGGTTATTAAACCCTTGTCAGATGGGCATTTTGCAAATATTTTCCCTATTCCATGGGTTGTCACTTCACTTTGTTGATTGTTTCCTTTGCTGTGCAGAAGATTTTTTTTAACTTGATGTGATTCCATTTGTCCATTTTTGCTTTGGTTGCCTGCACTTGTGGGGTATTACTCAAGAAATTTTCTCACAGACCAATATCCTGGAGAATTTCCCCAGTGTTTTCTTATAGTACTCTTACACTTTGAGGTCTTAGATTTAAGTCCTTAATCAATTTTGATTTGATTTTTGTATACAGTGAGAGATAGGGATCTAGTTTTATTCTTCTGCATATGGACATCCAGTTTTCCCAGCACCATTTATTGAAGAGACTATCTTTTCCCTGGTGTATGTTCTTGGCACCTTTGTCAAAATGAGTTCACTGTAGGTGTGTGGATTTGTTTCTGGGTTCTCTATTCTGTTCTATTGGTCTATGTGTCTATTTTTATGCCAGTACTATACCATTTTGGTTATCATAGCTCTGTGTATAATTTGAAGGCACGTAATGTGATTTCTCCAGTTTTGTTCTTTATGCTTAGGATGTCTTTGGCTATTCTGGGTCCTTTGTGGTTTCATATAAATTTTAGGATAGTTTTTTCTATTTCTGTGAAGAATGTCATTGGTATTTTGGTAGGGATTGCATTGAATCTGTAGATTGCTTTTGGTAATATGGACATTTTAACAATATTGATTCTTCCAATCCAAGAACATGGAATATCTTTCTGTTCTTTGGTGTCCTTCAATTTCTTTCATTAGTGTTCTATAGTTTTCAGTATAGAGATCTTTCACTTTGTTGGTTAAGCTAATTCCTAGGTATTTAATTTTATGTCTGGCTATTATAAATGGAATCGCTTTTTAATTTCTTTTTCAGATTGTTCCCTGTTGGCATATAAAAATGCTACTGATTTTTGTATGTTGATTTTCTATTCTGCAACTTTACTGAATTTGTTTATGAGTTCTAGTACTTCTTTAATGGAGTCTTTAGGTTTTTCCAAATATAAAATTATATCATCTGCAAACAAGAATAATTTGACTTCTTATAAATTTGTTTCTTATAAAATTGTTTCTTCTGTCCCCAGTTTCTTGAGAGTTTTTATCATGAAAGGATGTTGAATTTTATCAAATGCTTTTCCAGCATCAGTTGAAATAATCATATGGTTTTTGTCCTGTTGATATGATGTATCACATCATTTGTCATTCTGTTGATATAATGTATCACATTGATTGATTTGTGTATGTTGAACCATCCTTGCATCCCAGGGATAAATCCCACATGGTCATGATGATCTTTTTAATGTATTATCGAATTCCATTTGCTCGGTTTTTCATTTGTTTGTTTTGAGACAGGGTCTCACCCTGTCACCCAGACTGGAGTGCAGTGGTGTGATCTTGGCTTACTGCAAACTCCACCTTCCAGGCCCAAGCAATCCTCCCACCTCAGCCTCCTGAGTAGCTGAGACCACAGGCATACCCCATGATGCCCAACTAATTTTTAATTTTTTGTAGAGATGGAGTCTTGCTATGTTATCCAAGCTGGCCTTGAACTCCTGAGGTCAAGCTGTCCTCCTGCCTCAGCTTTCCAAAGTGTTGGGATTGCAGACATGAGTCCACTGCATACAGCTGGTTTGCTACTATTTTGTTAAGGATTTTTGTGTCAATATTCATCAGTGATAGTGGCCTGCAGTTTTCTTTTTTGTATGTGTCTTTGTCTGGTTTTGGTATTAGGATAACACTGGTCTTGTAGAATGAGTTTGGAAAGATTTCCTTCTCCTCTATTTTTCAAAATAGTTTGAGTAGGATTGGTATTATTTCTTTAAGTGTTTGGTAGAATTCAGCAGTGAAGCCATTGGGTTCTGGCCTTTTCTTTACTGGGGGACTTTTTTTTATGGCTTTGATTTCCTTATTTGTTATTGGTCTGTTCAGGTTTTAGATTTTTTCATGGTTCAATCTTTGTTATGTTGTATGTGTTTAGGAGTTTGTTCATTTCTTCTAGGTTTTCCAATTTACTGAATTTAGTTGCTCATAATAGCCACTAACGATACTTTGAATTTCTGTGGTATTAGTTGTAATATCTCATTTTTTGTCCCTGATTTTATTTATTTGGATCTTCTCTTTTTCTTAGCCTGCTAAAGTTTTGTTGATTTTAACTTTTCAAAAAAACAACTTTTTGTTTCATTGATCTTTTGTATTGTTTTCTTCATTTCGATTTCATTTATCTCTGCTCTGATCTTTATGATTTCTTTTCTTCTACTAATTTGGGATTTCATTTGCTCTTGTTTCTCTAGTTCTTTAAGATGCATCATTAGATTGTTTATTTGCAGGTTTTTTTTTATGTAGGCACTTACAGCTATAAACTTACTGCTTTTGCTGTATCCCATAGGTTTTGGTATGTTGTGTTTCCATTATCATTCGTTTCAATAAATTTTTCAATTTCCTTCTTAATTTTTTCATTGGCCCACTGGTCATTCAGGAGCATATTGTTTAATTTCCATGTATTTGTATAGTTTCCAAAATTCCTCTTGCTGTTTATTTCTAGTTTTATTCCAATATGGTCGGAGAAAATGCTTGATATTATTTCAGTTTTTTTAATGTTTTAATACTTGTTTTGTGACCTGATGGTTTATCTTTGAGAATGATACATATACTGAGGAGAAGAAGGTGTATTCTACAGCCATTGGATGAAATGTTCTGTAAATATCTATTAGGTCCATTTGGTCTATAATGCAGATTATATCCAATGTTTCTTTGTTGATTTTCTGTCTGGAAAATCTGTCCAATGCTGAAAGTGAGGTGTTGAAGTCTCCCTCTATTACTGTATTGGGATCTGTCTCTCTCATTAGCTCTAATAATACTCCCTTTATATATCTGGGTGCTCCAGTGTTGGGCATATATATGTATTTATAATTGTTATATCCTCTTGCTAAATTGACCCCTTTATTATTATATAATGACCTTTTTGTCTTTTCTTATAGTTTTTGTTTCAAAATCTATTTTGTCTGATATAAGTATAGCTACTTCTGCTCTTTTTTGGTTTCCATTGTCATGGAATATCCTTTTCCATCCCTTTGTTTCCAGTCTATTTGTATCTTTATAGGTAAAATGTCCTTTTTGTAGGAAATAGATCATTGAGTCTTGCTTTTTAATCCATTCAGCCAGTCTATGTCTTTTGATTGGAAGGTTTAGTCCATTTACATTCAATATTATGATTGATAAGTAAGGACTTAATACTCCTGATGTTTTCTTATTTGTTTTCTGGTTGTTTGTAGTCTTCTCTTCCTTCTTCCTTTCCTTCCTGTCTTTCCTTTAGTGAAGGTGATTTTCTCTGTGATATGATTTAGTTTCCTTTTTATTTTTTGTATATATGTTGTATTTTTTTTGGTTTGAGGTTACCATAAGGCTTGCAAATACTATCTGATATGAGTTCACTGTGTCCGCAGCCAAATCTCAACTTGAACTTTATCTCCCAGAATTCCCACATGTTGTGGGAGGGACCCAGGGGGAGGTAATTGAATCATGGGGGCCAGTCTTTTACTGTGCTATTCTTGTGATAGTGAATAAGACTCATGAGATCTGATGGGTTTATCAGGGGTTGCCGGTTTTGCTTCTTCCCCATTTTCTCTTGCCACTGCCATGTAAGAAGTCCCTTTCACTCCCGTCATGATTCTGAGGCCTCCCCAGCCATGTGGAGCTGTAAGTCCAATTAAACCTCTTTTTATTCCCAGTTTCAGGTATATATCTTTATCAGCAGTGTGAAAACGAACTAATACAGTAAATTGGTACCAGTAGATTGGGGCATTGCTGAAAAAATACCCAAAAATTTGGAAGCGACTTTGGAAGTGGATAACAGGCAGAGGTTGGAATAGTTTGGAGGGCTCAGAAGAAGACAGGAAAATGTGGGAAAGTTTGGAACCTCCTAGAGATTTGTTGAATGGCTTTGACAAAAAATGCTGATAGTGATATGAACAATAAGGTCCAGGCTGAGATGGTCTCAGATGGAGATGAGGAACTTGTTGGGAACTGGAGCAAGGGTGATTCTTGTTATGTTTTGGCAAAGAGACTAGTGCCATTTTGCCCCTGCCCTAGAGATTTGTGGAACTTTGAACTTGAGAGAGATGATTTAGGGTATCTGGTGGAAGAAACCTCTAAACAGCAAAGCATTCAAAACGTGACTTGGGTGCTGTTAAAAGCATTTCATTTTAAAAGGAAAACAGAGCATAAAAATTCAGAAAATTTGCAGACTGATGATGCAATAGAAAAGAAAACCCCATTTTTGAGGAGAAATTTAAGTTGGCTGCAGAAATTTGCATAAGTAGCAAGAAGCCTAATGTTAATCCCCAAGACCGTGGGAAAATGTCTCCAGGCCATGTCAGAGACCTTCACAGCAGACCCTTCCATCACAGGCACAGAGGCCCAGGAGGAAAAAGTGGTTTTGTGAGCCGGTCCCAGGGTCCCCATACTGTGTTCAGCCTAGGGACTTGGTGCCCTGTGTCCCAGCCACTCCAGCCATGGCTGAAAGGGGCCAACTTAGCACTTGGGCTGTGGCTTCAGAGGGTAGAAGCTTCAAGCTTTGACAGCTTCCATGTGGTGTTGAGTTTGTGGGTGCACAGAAGTCAAGAATTCAGGTTTAGGAACCTCCACCTAGATTTCAGAAAATGTATGAAATGCCTGGATGCCCAGGCAAAAGTTTGCTGTAGGGATAGGAACTTCTGCTAGGGCAGTGTGGAAGGGAAACATGGGGTTGGAGCCTCCACACAGAGTCCCTACTAGGGCACTGCCTAGTGGAGCTGTGAGAAGAGGGCCACCATCCTCCAGAACCCAGAATGGTAGATCCACTGGCAGTTTGCACCATGCACCTGGAAGAGCCACAGACACTCAATGCCAGCCCATGAAACAGCCAGGAGGGAGGCTATACCCTGCAAAGCCACAGGGATGGAACTGCACAAGACCATGGAAACCCACTTTTTGCATCAGTGTGACCTGGATGTGAGACCTGGAGTCACAGGAGATCATTTTGGAGCTTTAAAATTGACTGCCTCACTGGATTTCAGACTTGCCTGGGCCCTGTAACCCCTTTGTTTTAGCTAATTTCTCCCATTTGGAATGCTGTAGTTACCCAATACCTGTACCCCCATTGTATCTAGAAAGTAACTAGCTTGCTTTTGATTTTACAGGCTCATAGGCAGAAGGGACTTGCCTTGTTTCCGATGACACTTTGAACTGTGGACTTTTGGGTTAATGCTGAAATGAATGAAGACTTTTGGGGACTGTTGGCAAAGCATGATTGGTTTTGAAATGTGAGGACATGAGATTTGGAGGGGCCGGGGCAGAATGATATGGTTTGGCTTTGTCCCCACCCAAATCTTATCTTGAATTTTGTCTCCCAAAATTCCCACATGTTGTGCAAGGGACCCAGGGGGAGGTAATTGAATCATGGGGGCCAGTCTTTCCTGTGCTATTCTCGTGATAGTGACTAAGTCTCATGAGATCTGATGGGTTTATCAGAGGTTGCTGCTTTTGCCTCTTCCCCATTTTCTCTTGCCACTGCCGTGTAAGAAGTGCTTTTCACCTCCCACCATGATTCTGAGGCCTCCCCAGCCATGTGGAACTGTAAGTCCAATTAAACCTCTTTTTGTTCCCAGTTTTGAGTATGTATTTATCAGCAGCTTGAAAGCAAACTAATACACTATCTTATAGCTAATTATTTTAACGTGATTACAACTTAATATGGTTTGCATAAACAAAGAAGGAAAAAGAAAACTAATACTCTATACCCTAACTTCATCCCTCCACTTTTAAACTTTTACTTGTTTCTGTTTATATCTTATTGTACTATGTCTTGAAAATTGTTGTAGTCATTATTTTTTATTGGTTTATTGTTTAGTCTTTCTACTTAAGAGTAGTTTACACACTACAGTTACAGTGTTATATTTTGTGGTTTTCTATGTATTTACTATTACCAGTGAGTCTTATACCTTCAGAAGATTTCTTATTAGTCATTAACGTCCTTTGCTTTCTGATTGAAGTACTCCCTTTAGCTTTTCTTGTAGGACAGAACCAGTGTTGATGAAATCCTTCAGCTTTGTTTGTCTGGGAAAGTATTTATTTCCCCTTCATGCTTGAAGGATATTTTCACTGGATATACTATTCTAGGGTAAAAGTTTTTTCCTTCAGCACTTTAAATATGTCATGCCACTCTCTCGTGGCCTGTAAGGTTTCCACTGAAAAGTCTGCTGCCAGACATATTGGAGTTCTATTATATGTAATTTGTTTCTTTTCTCTTGCTGCTTTTAGTATCTTTTATTTTTGACCTTTGGAAGTTTGATTATTAAATGTCTTGAGGTAATCTTTGGGTTAAATCTTCTTGTTGTTCTATAACCTTCTTGTACTTGGATATTGATATCTTTCTCTAGGTTTGGGAAGTTATCTGCTATTATCCCCTTGAATAAACTTCCTACTCCTATTTCTTTTTCTTTTTCTTTTCTTTTTTTTTTTGAGACGGAGTCTCACTCTGTCACCCAGGCTGGAGTGCAGTGGCACGATCTCGGCTCACTGCAACCTCTGCCTCCCGGGTTCAAGCAATTCTTCTGCCTCAGCCTCCCAAGTGTGTGCCACCACACCCAGCTAATTTTTGTATTTTTAGTAGACATGGGGTTTCACCATATTGGCCCGGCTGGTCTTGAACTCCTGACCTCGTGATCCGTCGGCCTCAGCCTCCCAAAGTGCTGGGATTACGGGCGTGAGCCGCTGCATGGGCCCCTGTGTCTTTTCCTACACGCTCTTTAAGGCCAATAACTCTTAGATATGTCCCCCTATTTTTTTTTTTTTTTTTTTTTTTGAGATGAAGTCTGGCTCTGTTGCCCATGCTGGAGTGCAGTGCCGCAATCTCAGCTAACTGCAACCTCTAGCTCCCGGGTTCAAGCGATTCTCCTGCCTCAGCCTCCCAAGTAGCTGGAATTACAGGCATGTACCACTACACCCAGCTAATTTTTGTATTTTTAGTAGAGATGGGGTTTCACCATGTTGGCCAGGCTGGTTGTGAATGCCTGACTTCAGGTGATCTGCCCACTTTGGCCTCCGAAAGTGTTGGGATTACAGGCGTGAGCCACTGTTCCTGGCTAGATTTGCCCTTTTGAGGCTATTTTCCAAATCCTGTAGGTGTGCTTCATTCTTTTTTATTCCTTTTGTCTTTTGTCTCCTCTGCTTTTGTATTTACTTTTCTTTTTCTTTTTTTCTTTTTTTTTTTCAGATGGAGTCTCGCTCTGTTGCCCAGGTTGGAGTGCAATGGCATGAACTCAGCTCACTGCAACCTCTGCCTCCCAGGTTCAAGCAATTATCCTACCTCGACCTCCTGAGTAGCTGGAATTATAGGTGCGTGCCACCACACCTAGCTATTTTTGTATTTTTAGTAGAGACAGGGTTTTGCCATGTTGGCCAGGCTGTTCTCGAACTCCTGACCTCAGGTGACCTGCCTGCCTTGGCCTCCCCAAGTACTGGGATTACAGGCGTGAGCCACCGCACCTGGCCCTGTGTATTTTCAAATAGTCTATCTTCAAGTTTACTAATTCTTCTGCTTGATCAATTCTGCTATTAAATGACTCTAATGCATTCTGCAGTATGCCTATTGCATTTTTCAGCTCCAGAATTTCCTCTTGATTCTTTTTAATTATTTCAATCTCTGTTAAATTTATCTGATAAAATTCTGAATTCATTCTCTGTATTATCTTTAATTTCTTTGAGTTTCTTCAGAACAGCTATTTTGAATTTTCTGTCTGAAAGGTCACATATCTGTTTCTCCAGGATGGGTCCCTGGTGCCTTGTTTAGTTCATTTGGTGAGATCATGTTTTCCTGGAAGGTCTTGGTACTTATAGATGTTCATCTGTGTCTGGGCATTGAAGAGTTAGATACTCATTATAGTCTTTGCAGTCTGGGCTTATTTGTACCCATCCTTCTTGGGAAGACCTTCCAGATATTCAAAAGTACTTGGGTGTTGTCATCTAAGCTCTACCTGCTTTAGGAGACTCCCCAAGCCCAGTAATGCTATGGTTCTTGCAGATTGGTAGAGGTACTGCCTTAATGGTCTTGGAAAAGATCTGGATGAATTCCCTGGATTACTAGGCAGAGACTCTTGTTCTCTTCCCTCTTGTTCTCTTCCCTTACTTTCTCCTAGACAAATGGAGTCTCTCTCTATGTTCTGAGCCACTTGGAACTGGGGGTGGCATGACACAAGCACCCTTATGGCCACCACTAGGACTGTGTTGGGTCATACCTGAAGCCAGCACAGCACTGGGTCTCTCCCAAGTCCTGCTGTAACCACTCCCTGGCTACCAGCTATGACCACTCAAGTCCCTGGGCTCCGCAATCAGCAGATGCAAAGCCAGCAAGGCCTATGTCCTTCCTTTCAGGGCAGCGAGCTCCCCCATGCCCCAGGCAGGTCCAGTGGTGCCATCTGGGAGCCAGGGACTAGAATAAAAAAACCTGAGAAGTCCACCTGGTGTTCTGTTGTATTGTGGCTAGCCTGGTACTCAAACCCGAAAATGCAGTCCTTTCCACTCTTTCTTCCCGTTTCCAAAGGTAGAGGACCCTCACCTCATAGCCATTACCATCACAGGCCCATGGAGAGTACTGCCAGACTACCGCCAATGTTCCCTTAAGGCCCAGTGTCTCCTAAATCAGCTTGTGGTGAATGCTGCCTGGCTTGGTACTCACCCTCAGGATAATGGGCTCCCTTCTGGCCCAGGGCATGTCCAAAAATGCTGTTTAAGAGCCAAGTCCTGGAATCATAGACCCCAAGAGCCTTCCTGGTGCTCTACCCTACTGTGGCAAAGCTGATACCTATGCTGTAAGACTAAGTCCCTTTTATTTTTCCCTCCAGTTTTCTCAAGCAGGAGTTTCACCCTGTAGCCACCACAGCTGGGAATGTCTTGTCACCTGAATCCAGCAAGTCTCAGAGTCTCACCCAAGGCCCTTAATATAGTATCTGAGTATCGCTGCTGGTTACTCAGGGTCCAAGGGCTCTTCAGTTAGCAGATGATGAATCTTGCTGGGACTGGGTCCTTCCCTTCAAAGGAGCGGGTTTCCTTATGGCTTAGGGTATGTCCAGGAGCTAGGGCCTGGAAAGGGGGCCTCATTACTCTGACCAGTGCCCTATCCTGCTGTGGTTGAGGTGGGCGTGGTGGTACACACTTGTAATCCCAGCTACTCAGGAGGCTGAGGCAGGAGAATTGCTTGAACCTGCGAGGTGGAGGTTGCAGTGAGCCAAGATCATGTCACTGTACTCTAACCTGGGCAACAGAGTGAGACTCTACCTTAAAATAAGTAAATAAGGCCGGGGGCGGTAGCTCACGACTGTAATCCCAGAACTTTGGGAGGCTGAGGTGGGCGGATCACCTGAGGTCAGGAGTTCGAGACCAACCTCAACATGGAGAAACCCTGTCTCTACTAAAAATACAAAATTAGCCGGGCGTGATGGTGCATGCCTGTAATCCCAGCTACTTGGGAGGCTGAGGCAGGAGAATTGCTTGAACCTGGGAGGCGGAGGTTGCAGTGAGCCGAGATCGTGCCATTGTACTCTAGCATGGGCAACAAGAGCAAAACTCCATCTCAAAAAAAAAAAAAGTAAATAAATAACGTAAGCTATACATTGATTGGCAATACAGTGTTCTGTTTTTTTCAGAGACAGCCTTGCTCTGTTGCTCAGGCTGGAATGCAGTACACGATCTCAGCTCACTGCAACATTTGCCTCCCAGGTTCAAGCAATTCTGGTGCTTCAGTCTCCTGAGTAGCTGGGATTACAGATGTGCGTCACTATGCCCAGCTAATTTTTGTATTTTTAGTAGAGATGTGGTTTCACCGTGTTGGCCAGGCTGGTCTTGAACTCCTGGCCTCAAGTGATCTGCCCGCCTCTGCCTCCCAAAGTGCTGGGATTACAGGTGTAAGCCAACACGCCTGGCCAGCTATACATTATTCTTTGTATCACAAATTTCAAGAACAGAAAATAATGAGTGAGGGAGCTAGTCAAAAACAAAATGATTTTAAAACAGTCACCCCCAAGCAAATTCAGTTATAAAAAGTCTGAATGGGGGCAGGTAATGACTGAAGTTCTATACTCTTGTCTCTGGGCCTGATGAATTTTGCATGCTTCACATAGCTCAGACTGCTCTGAGCTATTTTTCTTTTCTCAGTATGATTGATTAAATCCTTGGCCATTGGTGGTTCAACTCAACCTTCATCCTCTCCCCTCCCTGAATGATAAGGGTATGCACCTGGAAGCCCCAACTCTCTAATCATACCTTAGAATCCTGAAGCTCTCTAAGGGCCTCCAGACACCAGTCATTTCATTAACATACAAAAGACACTTATTACTCCAGAGTAGATTCCAAGGACTTAAGAGGTTTTTTTGTTTTTGTTTTTTTCCACCAGGAAACCGGGAGGGAGACCAAATCTATCTTTGTCAATGTCACAGCCTCCCAGGCCAGTCTCCGTGTCTCATATCTGTAATCTTAGCACTTTGGGAAGCTGAAGTGGGAGAAACATTTGAGGCTAGGAGTTCGAGACCAGCCTGGGCAACATAGCGAGACCTTGCGTCTACTAAAAATTGTTTTAAAAGTTAACTGAGCATAGTTGTATTAGTCACTTCTCATGCTGCTAATGAAGACATACCCAAGACTGGGCAATTTATAAAGGAAAGACATTTAATTGACTCACAGTTCAGCATGGCTGAGAAGGCCACAGGAAACTTACAATCGTGGCACAAGGAGAAGCAAACACGTCCTTCACATGGTGGCAGCAAGGAGAGGTGCTGAGTAAAAGGGGAAAAACCCCTTATAAAACCATCAGATCTCATGAGAACTCACTCACTGTCAATAGAACAGTATGGAGGCAACCGCCCCCATGATTCAATTACCTCCCACCAGGTATCACCTCCCGTCCATGATACATGGGGATTATGGGAACTACAAGATAAGATTTCGGTGAGGAGATAGCCAAACCGTATCAATAGTGATGCACACCTCTAGTCCCAGCTACTCAGGAGGCTGAGGTGGGAGGATCACTTGAGCTGGGGAGATCAAGGCTGCACAGCAAGACTGTCTCAAAAAAAAAAAAAAAAAAAAAAAAACAAAACATTACAGCCTTCCAGGGCAAAGGGACATTTGGCAATGTCTGGAGACCATTTTAGTTGTTACAACTGTAGGAGGTGCTACTGGCATCTGGTGGGTGGGGGCCAATGATGCTACTAAGCATTCTACAGTGCACATTATAGCCTTCCACAGCAAATATTTATCAGGCCTAAAATGTGAACAATGCAGAGGTTTGTTTAGAGTTATTTGGTGTAATCACATCTAGTAGGTTCAAAGTGAAGCTTCTCCTTAACTTTAAAGAACAACATTCTTTTTGTTTGTATCGCACTCATGCTCCATGAGGTTTGGCTAGTGGTAGTATGGATGCTTTAATCTATTTTCTTGTTTACTCTGATTAGATATTATAGTAGCTTGAAATGGTAATTTAGACTTTTGTTTCTTTGGTTTTTTAAACAGCTTTATTGAGATATAATTCAAATATTATACAATTCACTCGTTTAAAGTGTATAGTTCAATGGCTTTTGTCCATGTTTTGATTGTTACCACAATCAACATTAGAACATTTTATCAACCTAAAAGAAACCCCATGCTCTTTAACTATCACTCTATCCCCAGTTCCCTTCCCACCACCAGACTAGGCAACCACTAATCTACTTTCTTTCTCTCTAAATTTGCCTATTACTGACATTTCATATAAATGGAGTCTGTTGTGCCTGGCTTGTTTTACTTAGAATAATGCTTTCAAGGTTCATGTTGTAGCATGTATCAGTACTTCCTTTCTTTTTATAACATTGTATGGATATACCGTATTTGGTTTTTTTTGTTTGTTTGTTTTTTGAGATGAAGTCTCCCTCTGTTGCCCAGGCTGGAGTGCAGGGGCGCAATCTTGGCTCACTGCAACCTCCGCCTCCTGGGTTCAAGTGATTCTCCTGCCTCAGCCTCCTGAATACAGGTGCCCGCCACCACACCCAGCTAATTTCTGTATTTTTAGTAGAGACGGGGTTTCATCATGTTGGCCAGGCTGGTCTTGAACTCCTGACCTCAAGTGATCCACCTGCCTTGGCCTCCCAAAGTGCTGGGATTACAGGTGTGAGCCACCGTGCCTGGCTAGATATACCCTATTTGTTTATCCACTCATCAGTTGATGGCAATCTGGGTTGTTTCCACCTTTTGGCTGTTATGGATAATGCTGCTATGAACATTTGTGTATAAGTTTTTGTGTGGACATATGTTTTCATTTATCTTGAATATATAGACCTAGGTAGAATTGTTGGGTCAAATGGCAACTCTAGGCCAGATGTGGTGGCTGGCGCCTGTAATCCCAGCACTTTGGGAGGCCAAGGCGGGCAGATCACGAGGTCAGGAGATTGAGACCATCCTGACTAACACGGTGAAACCCCGTCTCTACTAAAAATACAAAAAATTAGCCAGGCGTGGTGGTGGGTGCCTGTAGTCCCGCTACTCAGGAGGCTGAGGCAGGAGAATGGCATGAACCCGGGATGCAGTGCTTGCAGTGAGCCAAGATCGCACCACTGCACTCCAGCCTGGGCAACAGAGTGAGACTCCATCTCAAAAAAAAAAAAAAAATGGCAACTCTATGTTTAACCACTTGAGGAACTGCCAGGCTGTTTTCTAAAGAGACTATACTATTTTATATTCCTGCCTGCAGTGTATAAGGGTTCCAATTTCTTTGCATCCTTGTCAGCACTTGTTATTATCTGTCATTTTACTCTAGCCATCCTAGTGCGTGTGAAGCAGTATCTCATTGTGCTTTTGATCTTCATTTCCTTAATGGCTAGTAATGTTAAGCATCTTTTCATGTGCTTATTGGCCATAACTTAGATGTATCTAAGAATCAGAGTCTTGAAAGTGACCTATATGGAACTGGCTTTTAGAAGTCCAGATTCACTGGGTGGCTTATGCCTGTAATCCCAGCACTTTGGGAGGCTGAGGCAGGAGGATAGTTTGAGGCAGAGTTTAAGACCTGCCTGGGCAACATGTGAGACACCCATCTCTACAAAAAATTAAAAAAATTAACCAGGTGTGGTGGTGTGCACTACTTGGGATGCTGGGGTGGGAGGATTGCTTGAGCTCAGGAGGTCGAGGATGTAGTGAGCCATGATTGTACCACTGCACTCCAGCCTGGGTGACAGAGTGAGACCCTGTCTCAAAAGAAGAAGAAGAAGAAGAGGTCCAGACTCAATGCAAGGACTGAGAACAGGCCAAGCCATCTGGAAATTAGATAAGATTGAAGGGAGTATATCACTGTCCAAGATACAGCCAAGAACGAGGAAATTTTAAGTTAATGACTGAATTAGTGGAACAGGAGTCAGAATTTAGATGTCAGGGATAAAAAATCAGTTATACCACAATAAAAAAATCAAGGAGTTTCCTAAATTAAACTCAGATGCTAAAGTTATACCACAACCATCAGTACAAGACCAAGGTAGTCCAAGTGCGGTAGCTCATGCCTGTAATCCCAGCATCTTGGGAGGCTGAGGCAGGCGGATCACAAGGTCAGGAGTTCGAGACCAGCCTGGCCAATATGGTGAAACCTTGTCTCTACTAAAAATACAAAAATTAGCAGGGCATGGTGGCAGGCACCTGTAGTCCCAGCTACTCGGGAGGCTGAAGCAGGAGAATCGCTTGAACCCAGGAGGTGGAGGTTGCAGTGAGCTGAGATCCTGCCATTGCACTCCAGCCTGGGCGACAGAGCAAGACTCCATCTCAAAAAAAAAAAAAAAAAAAAAAAAAAAGACCAAGATAAGCCAAATACTTGAGTCCACAGCAGTAGTTAAAGCTGGTGTTATATAGGGGGTTATCCTTGGCCCACTCCCTGAAATGGAGGGCAAGAAGATGTGAGGCAGGATAAGTATCCACATCCGGTGCCAGTTCCCTGACTTAAGCAAGAAGAGGACACCCAAGAAAGGTGCATATTGAGGATGCAAAATAAATTTTAACTGTGTTCAGATGTGTCTAAACTCAAATTTACTTTTATAGAAACTATAATGAGAAACATCACCAACAAAAAGTCAAGCTTCAAAAAGTCAAGTATCGTTTAACTAATGAAGTAGAACTACGAGATAAGAGAATTAACCAATTTGAAGATGAAATTGGAATCCTGCAACATAAAATAGAAAAGGTGAGGAAAAAATAAAAGGTGAAGAGCTCACTGGTGATTCCCATGGTCAGCCATTTGGAGAAAGCCTTTTCATTTTAAAAATTATTTGAGACCCCTTCATAGTCCTCGTTTTCATTTCTTTTCTTTGCACCATCTTTCAATAAGTAATTCTTTAAGCCCTGACCAAAAGTACATAAGACTCCTAGTGCTGCTACACGGAATTGAATACTGAAAATACTCTGTACTGCCAACTTATGATCAATGTCTTTCTTCAGATGGAAATGCCTTTTCTTGAACACTCCTGAGCACAGACTTCCAAACCACTCTCAGTAACTCATTTCTGCTTTGTGGAGCCCTCATTTTGCCTCAGACTTCAGTGTCAGTTTTAAATGGCAGTGAAAATAGGTGATCCTTACTCCTTTATCAGTCCTTGCCTTCAAGCTTTTTTATGTTTGTCTTATTGCCCTTGTGACTTAGTGGTGGATGAATAAACAGGAAATGGGACAGATGAATAGAATCAAATGCAGAATGGTTGTGGGATTATTAAACTATATAAATTCAGGATGGAGAGTAACTGACTAGGCCAGTAAGGTTTTCCCTTCTTGGGGTCACTAGCCCTTTCAGAATATTGAGAACTCTATCATCATTCCTAAAATATTCATTTCCACACTCAACAAATTTTTATACCACCACTGTGTGCCAAGGATACCATAACCATTAATGTAATTTCAGTGATTCCATCAACTATCCTGGGACCCTAGGTCAAGAATTCCCAGACTATACACAATAAAGCATTTTTGGAATATAATAGGTGGGTCACAAATATTGCATTCTTAGTTTTAAAAAATTGGCTGGGTGCAGTGGTTCATGCCTGTAATTCCAGCACTTTGGGAGGCCAAGGCAGGAGGATTGCTTGAGGCCAGGAGTTCAAGGTTACAGTGGGCTATAATTGTGCTTATAAATAGCCACTGCACTCCAGCCTGGGCAACATAGAGAAGCTCTGTCTCTAACTAAAATAAAAAATCCTCTTGATACTCTAAACTATAGTGAGAGAAGAAAAATAAGTTGGATTTTTGCAGTCCTCCTTTTTTTGCCATTAATTTTTCAAACTTTTAGAGACTGAGATCCAGCTTAGAACTAGGAAAAGACTATGGAAAGTGTATAAGAAAAAGTAGTAATCCATTTTAATAGCACCCATGGGCAAAAAAAAAAAAAAAAAGAAAAGAAAAGAAGAGGCAGGGCACGGTGGCTTGCGCCTGTAATCCCAGCACTTTGGGAGGCCGAGGTGGGCAGATCACCTGAGGTCAGGAGTTCGAGACTAGCCTGGCCAACATGGTGAAATCCCATCTCTACTGAAAATACAAAAAAATTAGCCGAGCATGGTGGCACATGCCTGTAATTCCAGCTACTCAGGAGACTGAGGCAAGAGAATCTCTTGAACCCAAGAGGCGGAGGTTGCAGTGAGCTGAGATCATGCCATTGCACTCTAGCCTGGGGGACAAGAGCAAAACTCCATCTAAATAAATAAATAAATAAATAAAGAGTAAGAGAAAGAAAGGAAAAAAAAAAGTAGCAACCCTAGTTCATGGGTCCATCAGACATATCATCAGCCTATTTCTATATTATCAGTTCTTTTTCATACTTTTGCATTTTGCTTCTAGGCCAGAAAAACAGTCTTCTGCTTTCAACAGGCATGCTAGCTTTCTTCCTGACTACACTGGGTTGAATAGCGTCCCTCAAATTCATGTCCTAGAACCTTAGAATGTGACCTTATATAGAAATAGGGTCTTTGCAGATACAATTAGTTAAGTGAGATTATCCTGGATTAGGGTGAATCATAAATCTAAGATGATTGCTGTCCTTATAGGAAGAGGGGAAAACACACAGACAGACACAGACAGGGGAAGAATGCCTCATGATGATGAATTCAGAGACTGGAATGATACAGCTACAAGCCAAGAAATAGCAAGGGTTGCTGGCAACCACCAGAAGCTAGGAGAAAGGCATGCAACACAATCTCTCCTGGAGCCCCCATGAGTAATTAACCCTGACAACAATGTGATTTCAGATTTCTGTCACTCAAAACTATGAGAAAATGTTATGGCAGCCCTAGGAAACTAATGCACCTACCCAAAGAACCACAGGTCTTCATAAAATGTGCTGGAGCTCCCAAATAAGCAGAGGCTGAGAGAATAATTGGATCTTTTGCTCACTGCCATTGAAGGGTACTGTGGGCTTTGGCCTTAAATAGACTTGGATTCAAATTCTAGCCCTGCCTGTAAGCTTGGACAAGTCTCTGTGTATCACTTTCCTCATCTGTAAAATGAGGGAAATAATCCCTACCTTACATACACAAGGCTTTTGTGAGTATTAAAACATACAATTTCTAAAGTGGTACTTGGTACATACACATTTTTCATAGATGTTATTTTCCTTTTTTTGGTATATAATCTCTTAGAAGGGCCAGGTGTGGTGGCTCATCCCTGTAATCCCAGCTACTTGGGAGGCTGAGGCAGGAGAATTGCTTGAACCAGGGAGATAGAAGTTGCAGTGAGCCAAGATTGCACCATTGCACTCCAGCTTAGGTGAAAAGAGTGAAACTTCGTCTCAAAAAAAAAAAAAAAAAATCTTAGAAGAATGTTAATTGGTGGATTCATTGTTCACATGAGAAATTGTTGACAGAATTAGAACGACTTAGCCTAGAGAAGACTGATGTTAGAGCTTTTAATGCCACAGTGGTACAAACCTAGGAATTCTTATTTTATGTATATTTTAGGGCCCAAGGACCAGAGCACTGAGCATAAAAATGCCAGATTTCTTTCTAAGTCTCCAAAAAGTAATGCCACTTCTTTTGGCTTCATTCCTTCAGCTTTTTCTTTATATAATGAGTCAATTGAGACTTCTGTTGTGACCACTCAAACCAGACTTTCCCATTTTATCCTATTATCACAGCATGTGTCTGGAATTTTTGTTTGTTTTAAAAAATACAGTATTTCCCAAGGACAAGGTGTCAGTCACCTTCCTCATGCAGTACACTTTTTAATCCAGTTAGAGCTGTCTAGGGTTTATCTGTGGGATGATTGCTTCTATTCTCAATCCTTACCAATACATTATTAATTAAATGTCTTTAAATTATAGCAGGTCAGACTACCATTAGATATTGCCGGGTCCCTGAGATGGACTTTAAAATCTGGAATAGCTTTTTCGGAACATAATCTAATCAACATCCTACAGGTCTTTAATAATAGATGGATGGCCAGGCATGGTGGCTCATGCCTGTAATTCTAGCACTTTGGGAGGCCGAGGTGGGTGCATCATCTGAGGTCAGGAGTTTGAGACCAGCCTGACCAACATGGCAAAACCCCATTTCTACTAAAAGTACAAAAATTAGCTGGGTGCGGTGGTGGGCACCTATAATGTCAGCTACTCAGGAGGCTGAGGCAGGAGAATTGCTTGAACCCAGCGGGCAGAGGTTGCAGTGAGCCGAGATTGCACCACTGCACTCCAGCCTGGGTGAAAGACAAAACTTTATCTAAAAAAAAAATTAATAATAATAATAGATGGCCAGTCTTTTCTGAATGACCTACATTAGTATCTTATTTAAAAGAAACATGTAGGTTGGGCACAGTGTCTCATGCCTGTAATCCCAGTCCTTTGGGAGGCTGAAGCAGGAGGATAGTTCGAGGCCAGGAGTTTGAGACCAGCCTGAGCAACAGAGCAAGACCCTGTTTCTACTATTTTATTTTATTTTTTATCTTAAAAAAATTTTTTTGAGACAGAGTCTCATTCTGTCACCCAGGCTAGAGTGCAGTGGTGTGATCCTAGCTCATTGCAGCCTTGAACTCCACACATGGCTTTTGTGTGTGTGTGTGTGTGTGTGTGTGTGTGTGTGTGTGTGTGTGTGGAGACGGGGTCTCACCATGTTGACCAGGCTGGTCTCAAACTCCTGGGCTCAAGCAATCCTCCCACTTTGGCCTCCCAGAGTGCTGAGATTACAGGTGTGAGCCATGGCACCAGGCATCTGACTCTACAAAAAATTTAAAAATTAGCCAGCTGTGGTGGTTCATGCCTGTAGTCCTAGCTACTCAGGAGGCTGAGGCACATGATCACTTGAGCCCAGGAGTGTGAGGTTACAGTGAGCCATGATTGTACCACTGCACCCCAGTCTGGATGACAGAGCTAGATCCTGTCTAAAAAAACAAAAAAACAAAAAAAAACAAAAAAAACAGCTGGACGCAGTGCCTCACGCTTGTAATCCCAAACCTTTGGGAGGCCTAGGCGGGCAGATCACTTGTGATCAGGAGTTTGAGATCAGCCTGGCCAACATGGCGAAACCCTGTCTCTACTAAAAATATGAAAATTAGCTGGGTATGGTAGTGGATGCCTGTAATCCCAGCTACTCGGGAGGCTGAGGCTAAACCTGAGAGGCAGAGGTTGTAGTGAGCCGAGATATTGCCACTGCACTCCAGCCTGGGCAACAAAGCAAGACTCCATGTCAAAAACAAAACAAAACAAACAAACAAAAAACAACATGATCTCACTACTTTCAGGGTCATGAAAAAGAAGAAAAAAAAATACATGACATGGGCTGGGCATGGTGGCTCACGCCTGTAATCCCAGCAATTTGGGAGGCCAAGGTGGGCGGATCACAAGGTCAGGAGATCGAGACCATCCTGGCTAACACGGTGAAACCCCATCTCTACTAAAAATACAAAAAACTTAGCCGGGCGTAGTGGTGGGCACCTGTAGTCCCAGCTACTTGGGAGGCTGAGGCAGGAGAATGGCATGAACCTGGGAGGTGGAGCTTGCAGTGAGCAGAGATCACGCCACTGTATTCCAGCCTGGGTGACAGGGCAAGTTCTGTCTTAAACAAACAAACAAACAAAAAAATATATATATATATATATGACATGACATAAAATAACCTCTTGAAAATTGAAAAACTATTTAGCTACAGTGAATGACAATGTCAGCAAACAGATAGAAACAGACTAGGGGACAGGAAAAAAAAAGTAAATAAGGGAAAATTTCTGCTAGATTTAGAAACAGGCTTATGCTCTTAAATTTATCATACTTTCTCCTGCTGTGGTAATTAGGAGACTTTCTAATCCCTAGGAGAAGGCAATACAGGACCAGATCACTGCCCAAAATGATACCCTGCTTCTAGAAAAAAGGAAACTTCAGGAGCAAGTCATAGAGCAAGAACAGTTGATCCACAGCAACAAATGGACGATATCTTCCATCCAGAGCAGGTAGGTGCCATCCTGCCTGGGAGCCAATAAACTCCACAAGAGGATGTTTCTCCCTCAACAAAGAGATGGTTCTAGAGACTGTCCTTTGAGTTTGTAGCCTACCCTATGACTCTCGCTCCGCTGTCTGCTGTTTTTGGCAGATCATACAAGTGGCAGAAATTGTTAAATTAAAGAGAAAAATATCATGGAGGAGGCTGGTTGGCTATTTAGATAGGCTGTTTCATAATGTCATTGCCTCACTGAGGACTTGGCTGTGTGCATTCTGGCCTGTCATTTTGTGTGTGTTGATCCACATTTTTATTATTGGATACCTATGGAATCAAGGTAGAACAAGAGAGAATTAGGCTCACAGAAGTAACTTAAATTCATGAAATCCACAGGATATCAGTGTATTAATTTTTAATGAGAAATATTATAAGCAGAAAATAAGTCATATATCAGCCAGCCTGAGCATTCTCTTCTTCATAGGAGACTTTCATTATAATCAAAGAGAGTGGGTTGATGTTAACAAATAATGTCACCAATAATAACTGGAATGATTAAGATTTGTCTGAGCAATTACTATATGCTAGGCACTGTTCTAAGCTCTTTCCTTCATTTAATCCTGACACCAATCCCAGGAGAGAGGCACTATTAGCCTTATTTTACAGATAGGAAGCCAAGGTCTAGAGAGGTGAGGGAACTCACTCAGCCCAGTCAGTGACAGAGCAGCATGTGGACCTCAGCAGCTTGGCCCTAGACCATAGCACCATAGTCTGGGGAGAGGACTGCCAAGCAGACTGTAATGTTCTTGTCCACTGCTTTGGGCACACGTCTCTGGGCAGGCTTGGAGAATCTCTGATCTTTTACTGTCTGTGTCTCCCCTTTTAGATGTCCCATATAAATCATTGCTCTTCTCAAACTGTCATAGCTTCTGACAGTCAGGATCCAACACAATTAACTCATTACCTTTGCATTAACATTAATCATATTTCTATCTTGCCCTACTGATGACACAATCACCTGGACTGGATTGAATGTTTTCCTTACAGTAAGTTTCTTCCAAGGAGTATTTCCTCATTTTACAAATAAGGAAACTGAGGCTCAGATTTGTCACAACAGTGTATATTTCATCAGGTTGCTGTGCATATTAAATGAGCTAATACATGAAAAGTTTTAAGTGCTTACTGTGTGGGTAGGTTACATTGCATAAGTACATGGCAAGTACTTGAAACATGGTTGCTGCTGCTGCTACCACTATTTCTACTTCACAAGAAATCAGAATCCGATCAGTATGATAACAGAACCAGATGCAAGCTATGTAGCTACAATATTTGAAGGGATACAGAGTCTCTCTTGTTTCATTCCCACCCTAAATGGGATCATATCCTTCCTTAAATTTTTCAAGGGCTAGAATTAATACTCTTGTACATGTATTTAATAACCATGTACAGCCCAGAAGTTTATTAACTTTTACTTGGTGTATTAGGGTTCTCTTAGAGGAAAAGAACAGAATAGGAGACATAAATATGTATATGTAAAGGAGAGTATATACATATATATAAAGAGGAGTTTATTAAGTATTAACTTACACAATCACAAAGTCCACAATAGGCTGTCCACAAGCTGAGGAGCAAGGAGAGCCAGTCCGAGTCCCAAAACTGAAGAACTCAGAATCCTGTGTTTGAGGGCAGGAAGCATCCAGCATGGGAGAAAGATGTAAACTGGGAGGAGAGGCCTGTCTCTCTTTTTCACGTTTTTCTGCCTGCTTTATATTCACTGGAAGCTGATTAGATTGTGCCCACCAGATTAAGAGGGGATCTGCCTTCCCCAGCCCACGACTCAAATGTTAATCTCCTTTGGCAACACCCTCACGGACACACCCAGGATAATACTTTGTATCCCTCCATGCAATCAAGTTGACACTCAGTATTAAACAACACACTTGTTCTTGGAATATGGTGGGAATTATTCTGTCAAACTTGCTTCTAAAATCTGGACAGTAGTCTAAGATCCGGGGCCAGTGGGAAGTGGGATGTAGTTTTGGGTTTTTAGTAATGATACAGAAATCTCTAATCATGCCACTGATTTATGCCATTCTTAGGGTACTTTACATGGATAAAGAAAATAAGCAATTACAGGAAAATAGTCTTCGTCTCACACAGCAGATTGGCTTCTTAGAGCGAATTATAAGGAGCATCCATATTCGCAGAGGAGAGGTAAGATGTGTGCTTCCTATTGGGCCTGCCTTTAATGTGAAGTTCGGGTTGCTACGGCTGCTGTGCTGTCTCTTGCCTTCATCTTTATATAGCTGTAGCTGGGCTCTTGGCCTCATGGTAGGCTGTGGCAAAGAGGCTCTTGGCTGCACACCAGGATAGCAGACCCTGAGACTGCTCTTGATCAGCCAGATTTTAGTAAACTATCTCCTCCTGTGTGATCTCCAAGCAATTTGTATATGCCTCATAGCTTCTTCCTTAATACACTGTATTGTCATTGCCCTTTTTCTCCTCTATCTCATTAACTCAGCAGTGAGTTCCTGGAGGGCAAGGAGTGTATCTCATATATTACTGTATCTATGGACAGGTACTCCATAAATATTTGAGAATGAATAAATATTCAGTGTTTTAACATATGTGCCTTACTCTCAACAGCACTGTTTGCCATGTATGATTCTAGCCCCATCTAAAACATGAGCAAATCTGAGACTCAGTTAAGTAAAGTGAAGTTTGCTATGGCAAAGAGTCAAGCCTAAAGAGAGCATCTGAGTGAAAGAGAAGCAATTATGTTCCAAAAGTCCAAGCAGACAAGTGGCCAAATACAGAGAGATGCAGAAAATAGTACAGGTTCAGATCAGGTCCATAGTCTGTCTGGTAAGCAAGTCAGCAAGAGGGACTTCAATGAACAGAATCATATTCTGAAGCCAAGATGGAGGCTGATTACTTTCTTCTCTGGTTTATATCACCTACTAGATGTTTCTTCCCAAGATACTGGATAGTAGATCCTGCTTGTTGATCACTGTTGCTGTAAGACTTGTTTGGTCTCAGAGAGGTGATTATTTCCAAGCTATATGAGTGGGTTTTCGTTTTTTTTTCTGATTTTGTCAAAAGTAGAACTGCCAAGTAGTGTGGCTTGATATCCAGTAATTTATGTCTTTCCTTGAGCCACAACTGTTTTCAATTGTCTAGTCATTCATTCTTTTACTTATTCATTCAATGAATACTTATCAATTCCAGGAAATGGCCTAGGTCCTGGGAATAAAAAGATAGTCCCTGTTTTCAGAGGCCTTTGGTCTACTAGAGAAGGACAAACACATTTGTAAATAAGTACTATAGTATTACAAGTGCTGAGTTAGAAGACTTAATGGAGTATGTCTGGGACCAATAGCTTTGCGATCCATATTGTTAACCTTGAATGAAGATAAGAATGGTCACATGGATCAGAACTATAGCACATCAAACTCAATATTCCGTATGTGTCAAAGGTACTAACTTCTAACATCTTGATACCTATTGAAATAAATAACTCCAAAATTGTTTTTAAACTTAGAATCTTAAGGAGTTTCCTGTTCCAAAATGGTGGCATAGAGGCAAGCTGGCTTCTCTCCCTCCAACAAAGAAACAGAAAGAAATATACAGCACTGAGGTCTTCACCAGCAACAATGCAGAACTCCAGCATGAGGATGAGTCAGTTCCTGAGGCCACAGAGAAGTGGAAACACTCTGAGCAGATGGTAGGAGAATCCAACTTCCACATCCACAATACCCTTCCCCACATTCTGCCAGGCACCCACTGTTTGGAAAATCTCTCAACTTATGGTTTCTACACTGGAAAAAGTAAAACGGAGGTAGTCAAACAGATTCCCCACTTTCTTGGGTTTCCTAGCCAGAAACCTGTCCTTGTCTTAACCCACAGGTAGTAGTATCACAACTTCCTGCAGGCAGAAATATCCCTGAAGACAGGCATATCCCTGAAATATCCCTGAAACAGAAGAGGTGGGACTCTGCTCTGTAACTCAGCCAAAGAAGACATAAGAGTGGCTGTAGGAGCTATGTCCCCCAGGTCTCCTGGGCATGAGCCCCTAGACAGCCTTCCCTCACTGCCAGGATAACCCCTTTGGGACCTCCCCTATTTGGGACAGGCAGTGCTCTCACCATTTACTAGAGCCAAGGTGAACCTGGGCTTAAGGTGCCACCTAGAGCCAAAAAGGAGGCAGGGATCTAGCATTAAAGATTTGGCTGGGTGCGGTGGTTCATGCCTGTAATCCACTTTGGGAGGCTGCGGTGGATGATCACCTGAGGTCAGGAGTTCGAGACCAGCCTGGCCAACATGGTGAAACCCCATCTCTACTAAAAATACAAAAAAATTAGCTGGGCGTGGTGGTATGTGCTTGTAATCCCAGTTACTCAGGAGGCTGAGGAAGGAGAATCACTTGAACCTGGGAGGCAGAGGTTGCAGTGAGCCAAGACTGAGCCACTGCACTCCAGCCTGGGTGACAGAGTGAGACTCCATCTCAAAAAAATAAATAAATAAAATCAATGCAAAAAAATAAAAGTCAGCAAGTAGCTGAATGGATAAAGAAATAAAACCCAACTATATACTGCCCTCAAGAAACCCATCTCATCTATAAAGACACACAGAGACTGAAAAGGAGTGGGAAAAGATATTCCATGCAACTGGAAACCAAAGAGGAGCAGAACTAGCTATAGTCATATCAGATAAATTAGACTACAAGTCAAAGACTAAAAACGACAAGGGGGGTAACCTATATAATGATAAAAGGGCCAATTCAGCGAGAGAATATAACAATTATAAATATCTATGCATCCAACACCAGAGCTCCCAAATATATAAGGCTAACATTAATAGACCTAAAGTGAGATAGACTGCAACCTAATAATAGTGGGGACTTTAACACCCAACTCTCCATAATGGACAGATCATCCTAACAGAAAATCAACAAATAGTGGAGTTAAACTACACACTAGACCTAGTAGATCTAACTGACACTTATGGAACATACCCACTGTTGCAGAATACACATTCTTTTCATCAGCACATAGAACATTTTTCAGAATAGACCATATCTTAGACCACAAAACAAGTACAAATTTGAAAAACAGAAATTGTGTCAAGTATCTTCTTTGAACACAATGAAATGAAACTAGAAATCAATAACAGGAAAAACCTTGGAAACTACACAAACACATGGAAATAAAACAACATATTCCCAAATGACCAATGGGTTAATTAAGAAATTAAGATGGAAATTTTAAAATATCTTGAAACAAATGGAAATGGGAATACAAAATCTATGGGATATGATAAAAGCAATATTAAGAGGGGAGTTTTTTGTTGTTGTTTGTTTGTTTTTAGATGGAATTTCACTCTTGTTGCCCAGGTTGGAGTGCAATGGCGCAATCTTGGCTCACTGCAACCTCTGCTTCCCGGGTTCAAGCGATTCTCCTGCCTCAGCCTCCTGAGTAGCTGGGATTACAGGCATGTGCCACCATGCCTGGCTAATTTTGTATTTTTAGTAGAGACGGGGTTTCTCCATGTTGGTCAGGCTGGTCTGGAACTCCCGACCTCAGGTGATCCACCCGCCTCAGCCTCCGAAAGTGCTGGGATTATAGGCATAAGCCACCATGCCTGGCCTTAAGAGGGAAGTTTATAACAACAAACACCTATATCAAAAAAGTGGAAAGACTTCAAATAACCTGAAGATGCACCTCAAGAAACTAGAAAAGCAAGAACAAACCAAACCCAAAATTGATACAAGGAAAGAAATAATAAAGATTAGAGCAGGCCGGGCGCAGTGGCTCACACCTATAATCCCAGCACTTTGGGAGGCCAAGGCAGGCGGATCACAAGGTCAGGAGATTGAGACCATCCTGGTTAACACAGTGAAACCCTGTCTCTACTAAAAATACAAAAAATTAGCTGGGCGTGGTGGCATGCACCTGTAATCCCAGCTACTTGGGAGGCTGAGGCAGCAGAATCACTTGAACTTGGGAGGTGGAGGTTGCAGTGAGCCGAGATCACGCCACTGCTCTCCAGCCTGGGTGACAGAGCAAGACTCTGTCTCAAAACAAAACAAACAAACAAAAAAGATTAGAGCAGAAATAAATGAAATTGAGATTAAAAGAACAATATAGAAGATCAATGAAACAAAAAGTTGGGTTTTTTTTTAAGATAAACAAAATCAACAAATCTTTAGCTGGACAAACTAAGAAAAAAAGAGAGAAGACCCAAATAAATAAATCAGAAATGAAAAAGGAGACATAACAACTGAGATCTCAGAAATACAAAGAATCATTAGAGACTATTATGAATAACCATATGCCAACAAATAGGAAAACCTAGAAGAAATGGATAAATTTCTAGAAACATACAACCTACCAAGATTGAACCATGAAGAAATAGAAAACTTCAACAAACGAATAATGAATCATATGATCAAAGCCATAATAAAAAGTCTTCCATCAAAGAAAAGATCAGAACCTGCTGGATTCACTCCTGAAGTCCACCAAATATTTAAAGAAGGAATACCAATCTTACTCAAACTCTTCAAAAAAAATAAAGAGGAGGGAATACTAACAAACTCATTAAATGAGGCCAGCATTACCCAGATGCCAAAACCAGGCAAGACTATAAAAAGATCATTCACCATGATCAAGTGAGATTTGTCCCAGGAATACAAGGATGGCTCAACATATGCAAATCAATAAACATGATACACCACATTAATAGAATGAAGGACAAAAACCATATGATCATCTTATTACATACAGAAAAAGCATCTGACAAAATTCAAATCCTTTCATGATAAAAACTCTCAAAAGATTAGGTTTAGGAGGAATGTACCTCAATACAATAAAGGCCATATATGACAAGCCCACAGCTAACATTATACTCAATGGAGAAAAGTTGGAAGCTTTTTCTCAAAGATCAAGAACAAGACAAGGATGCCCACGCTCACCACTTCTATTTCATATATACTGGAAATCTTTGCCAGAGCAATTAGGCAAGAGAAAGAAATAAAAGGCATCCAAATAGGAAAGGAAACTGAAATTGTGTCTACTTGTTGACATGATCTTATATATAGAAATCCCTAAAAACTGTTAGAACTAAGAAGCAAATATAGTAAAGTTGAAGGATACAAAATCAACACACCAAAATCAACACACCAAAATCAGTAGTGCTTCTATACACCAATAACACATTATCCAAAAAAGAAATAAAGAAAATAATACCATTTACAATAACTTCAAAAGAAATAAACTACTCAGGAATAAATTTAACCAAAGAGGTGAAAGATCCGTATACTTAAAACTACAAAACTTTGATGAAATAAATTGAAGAAAATACGATAAATGAAAAGATATTAATGTTCATGAATCGAAAGAATTAATATTGCTAAAATGCCCATACCACCCAAAGCAATCTATAGGTTCAGTGCAATACCTATCAAAATTCCAATGTCATTTTTCGTAGAAATAGAAAAAACAGTCCTAAAATTCATGTGGAACTACAAAACCCCCAAATAGCCAAGGCAATATTCAGCAGAAAGAACAAAGCTGGAGGCCTCATACTACCTGATTTCAAACTATATTACAGGTTGGGCACGGTGGCTCAGGCTTGTAATCCCAGCACTGTGGGAGGCTGAGGGGGGCAGATTGCTTGGGCCCAGGAGTTTGAGACCAGCTTGTACCCAGGAGTTCAAGACCAACATTGCAAAACCCTATCTCTACAAAAAAGTAAAAAATTAGCTGGGCATAGTAATCTCAGCTACTTGGGAGGCTGAGGCAAGAGGATTGCTTGAGCCCAGGTGGTAGAGGTTGCAGTGAGCCATGATTGTGCCACTGCACTCCAGCCTGGGTAACAGAACAAGACCCTGTCTAAAAAAATATATATGTGTGTGTGTGTGTGTGTGTGTGTGTGTGTGTGTGTGTGTGTATAACAGAACTACAGTAATTAAAACAACATGGGACTGGCATTAAAACAGACACATTGACAAAATGAAACAGCATAGAGAGCTTAAAAACAAACCCACACATTTAAAATTGATTTTTCTTTTTCTGCTGCCCAGGCTGGAGAGCAGTGGCAATCACAGCTCACTGCAGCCTCAAC
Source organism: Homo sapiens (assembly GCF_000001405.40). Classification (NCBI taxonomy): domain Eukaryota; kingdom Metazoa; phylum Chordata; class Mammalia; order Primates; family Hominidae; genus Homo; species Homo sapiens. Next base: position 42,650,715 of record NC_000001.11, read on the forward strand.
TTCCTGGGCTCAAGCAATCCTCCCACCTCAGCCTTCCAAGTAGCTGGAACCATAGGTGCACGCCATCACACTCAGCTAATTCTTTAAATTTTTTGTAGCGATGGGGTCTTGTCATGTTGCCCAGGCTGGTCTCAAACTCCTGGGCTTAAGCAATGCTTCTGCCTTGGCCTCCCAAAATGCTGGGATTATAGGTGTCAGACACCACACCTGGCCTACAGTCAGTTAATTTTTTGACAAAGGATGAAAATGACATTGAGAAAAGGACAGTCCCTTCAACAAAACGGTATTGAGAAAACTGGATATCTATGTGCAGAAGAATGAAAGTGGACCGTTACCTAACACCACATTAAAAAATCAACTCCAAATGGATTAAAGACTTAAAGACAAGACCTGAAATTGTAAAACTACTAGAAGAACACTACATAGGGGAAAAACTACATGATATTGACCTGGACAACAATTTTTCCAATGTGACACGAAAAGCTCAGGGAACAAAAACAAACATATACAAATGGGATGGGATTATATCAAACTAAAAAGCTTCTGCACAGCAAAAGAAACAATTAACAGAGTGAAGAGGCAACCTATGGATTGGGAGAAAATATCTGTAAGCTACACATCTGATAAGGGATTAATATCCAAAATATATAAGGATCTCAACTCAATAGCAAGAACACAACCCAATTAAAAAGTAGGCAAAGGGCCTGAATAGACATTTCTCAAAAAAAGACATACAAATGGACAACAGATATATGAAAAAAAAAAAGCTCAACATCATGAATCGTTATGGAAATGCACATTAAAACCACAATGGGATATCACCTCACACCTGTCAAAATGACTGTTATCAAAAAGATGAAAGATAAGGGCCAGGCATGGTAGCCCAAACCTGTAATCCCAGCAGTTTGGGAGGCTGAGGTGGAAAGATTGCTTGAGGTCAGGAGTTCCAGACCAGCCTGGGCAACACAGCAAGACCCTGTATCTACAAAAAAAAATTTTTTTTGTTTTAATTAGTTGGGTGTGGTGGTGTGCACCTGTGGTTGTAGCTTCTCAGGAGGCTGAGGTGTGAGGATTCCTTAAGCCCAGGAGGTCAAGGCTGCAGTGAACTATGTTCATGCTACTGCACTCCAGCCTGGGTGACAGAGCAACACCCTATCTCAACAAACCAAAAATATGAAAGATAATGTGTTGGCAAGGATGTGGAGAAAAGGGAAACCTTGTACACTGTTGTTTGGAATATAAATTAGTACAGCAATTATGGAAAACTGTGGAGTTTCCCCAACAAAGTGAAAATAGAACTACCATATGATCCAGCAATCTTACTTCTGGGTATACATCCAAAGGATTTGAAGTCAGTATGTGATATACACTATGGTGTGTGAAAATGTGGTATATATATATGATACAATACTATTTAACCTTAAAAAGGAGGGAAATTCTGTCATTGGCAACAACATTGGTGAACCTGGAGGATATTATGCTAAGTGAAAAAAGCCTGGCACAGAAAAACAAATACCACATCTTCTCACTTAAATGTGGAATCTAAAACAATTGAACACATGTAAGCATAGAGCAAAATGCTGGTTACCAGAGGCTGAGGGGTGAGGAGGCAATGGGGAGATGTTGGCCAAAGGTGCAATGTTTCAGTTAGACCGGAGGAGTAAGTATTTGAGGTGATGGATATGTTAATTACCTCAATTCAATCATTCCATATTATATATCATAGCATCACTTTGTACACCGTAAGTATAGGCACTTATAATTTGTCAATATTCAATAGTATAAATAAAAATTTGAAAAAACTTTCTGACCATCACAATATCCAAGAGAAATAAAAATATATGTCCTACCAGAAACTTGTAGATAAATATTCATAGCAGCATTATTCATAATAACTAAAAAGTGAAAACAACCCACTCTCCATCCCCTGATGAATGGATAAACAAAATGTGTTTTATCCAAACACTGGAATATTATTCAGCCATAAAAGACATAAACTATTGATACTTACTCTAACATAATGAAGCTTGAAAACATGATAATATTTTAAAGAAGGCAGACATAAAAGGCCACATATTGTATGATTCTATTTATATGAAACATCCAGAATAAGGAAATCCATAAAGACAGAAAGTATATTAGTGATTGCCAAGGATTTGGGGGAGGAATAAATGGGGAGTAGACTGCTCCTGGGTATGGGCTTTTTTGGGGGGTGATGAAAATATTCTGGAATTAGACAGTGGTGATGGTTGCATAAGTGTGTGAGTACATTAGAAAGCACTGAATTGAACCCGTTAAAAGGGAAAACTTTATAGTATGTGAATTACTTCTCAACAAAGCAGTTATTTTAAAAATAAAATTTTCTGCAATATCTCCAAAATTTATATAACAAAAGAAGCAAGGTGAAGATAGTATGTATAGTACCATGTGTGTAAAACTAGATAGACAGATATAGATAGATCGTCTATAGATAAATATAGATAGGTTATATATATAGAGAGAGAGAGGGCAACCAGCTTTTCATTCTGTACCCTTTTATGTTTTTCATTGTTTGTACTATGTGCAGGTATTGTATCTATTATATATATATTTTTTTCTAGGATCATATAGCTAATGGTTTATCATTATAACTTTTCACATTCATCCTTTCTTTCCTTTTAGGAAACAACAATTAGTGACATCCTTGAATCCGAAGTAGTGAATGAAATATTGCCTTTATCAAACTCCAGGTTAGTAAAGTCAAGACAAATAAAGTCAAGTCTATCTGAGATGGACTGTCAGCCATGCCTGAGAGTCATGGCTGCCTAACTAGTCCTGGATTGCTGGCTTGAGAAGGCATAGCTTTCTGGGGTCATTTTCTCTACATGAATTATTTGAATCTTCTTCCAATTCCTCCCCTTGCCACTCCTTCAACTCTAAACCCCACAGAATCCTGACTTAAGGTAGGAAATAAAATATGAACATAGGTTTAAGGTAAATTTTATTTGGCTTTGTGTAACAGTTGCAAAAAATTGAAATTCTATCAATGCCTGTATCCCTGTAACCCCGAACTGCTACCAACAAACTCTATGTACATGATGTCCTCACATATGGCATTTCTTAGTTTTTCAGGAAAAGGTTTGGTAGAGTCATTTGCAAGTCTTCAAGAGACTGAAGAGATCAAGTCAAAAGAAGCAATGGCAAGTTCAAAGTCCCCTGAAAAGTCTCCTGAGAATCTTGTGTGTTCACAGAATTCTGAGGCTGGATACATAAATGTGGCTTCTCTGAAGGAGACACATGGTATACAAGAACAAGACCAAAAGTCAGAACTATAAAATCACTGGTGCCTAAAGCTATACTGAACAAAAGTGGTAATTTAAAGCCTGGACAAAAGGTGGACCATGACATTGAGAAGAGTTACCACAGATCCCAAATGGATATCACCCAAGAGTCTTCAAAACTGCTGATAAATTCATTAAAGCAGTTGTAAAAATGGATTTCTCAAGTTTGTTTGATATCCTCAGATGCCTTGTATTGACCAAAATATTGACTTTAGTTCAATGATTTATTTAGGTTTCTCTTCAGCAGAGCACATGTAGGGTTAATTCAACATTCTTTCCCATTATCATGGGTATCTTTTCTGATTTATTTTTTAACAGTAAAAACAATACAGTCACATTAAAGCAAATTTTGTTTTTAAAAAAACCCTCCTATGCTGGGCGTGGTGGCTCACGCCTATAATCCCAGCACTTTGGGAGGCTGAGGTGGGTGGATCACGAGGTCAGGAGATCGAGACCATCCTGGCTAACACGGTGAAACCCTGTCTCTACTAAAAATACAAAAAAATTAACCGAGTGTGGTGGCGGGTGCCTGTAGTCCCAGCTACTCAGAAGGCTGAGGCAGGAGAATGGCGTGAACCTGCGATAGCACCACTGCACTCCAGCCTGGGTGACAGAGTGAGACTCCGTCTCAAAAAAAGCAAAAAACAAAAACAAAAACCCTCCTATAATACCATAAGCTTTTTTTTTTTTTTTTGAGACGGAGTCTCTTACTCTGTCACCCAGGCTGAAGTGCAGTGGCATGATCTCCGCTCACTGCAACCTCTGCCTCCCAGGTTCAACCAATTCTCCTGCCTCAGCCTCCCAAGTAGCTGGGATTATAGGTGCCCGCCACCATGCCCAGCTAATTTTTGTATTTTTAGTAGAGACAAGGTTTCACCATGTTGGCCATGCTGGTCTTGAACTCCTGACCTCAGGTGATCCACCCACCTCAGCCTCCCAAAGTGCTGGGATTACACCAATACCACAGTCTTAACACAACTAATTTTATTTTACAGTTATTCCCTTTTGGTCCTAATTCAAGTACATATATTCTAAGTGGTTATTATAATATTGTATATTCATTTTCACAGTTTGATTTTTAATTTACTGTATATACCATGGAAACATTTTCAATCGCCATATGATATTCAATCATGTTGATGTTCTATAATTATTTTTATGGGAAAAGTTTTAAATGTTTAATGAAGAAGATTTAGAGCAATACATTATTTAAAAGTGGATAGGAGGTTGGGCGTGGTGGCTTACACCTGTGATCCCAGCACTTTGGGAGGCCGAGGTGGGCAGATCACCTGAGGTCAGGAGTTCGAGACCAGCTTGGCCAACTTAGGGAAACCCCGTCTCTAACAAAAATACAAAAACAATTAGCCAGGTGTGGTAGTGCGCGCGCCTGTAGTCCCAGCTACTGGGGAGGCTGAGGCAGGAGAATCACTTGAACCCGAGAGGCAGAGGTTGCAGTGAGCCGAGACTGCACCAGTGCACTCCAGCCTGGGTGACAGAGCAAGACTCCATCTCGAAAAAATAAATAAAATAAAATAAAATAAAAGTGGATAGGAAAATACCAAGAGCTTTTCCTGGGGGAGGGGGTATGAGAAGAGAGTTCACATAAACCCCATTACACAGAAACTACCCCTAAATATTTCCAAACAGGAGTACAAAGTAGGTGAACAGTCTCCAGCTCATCTTTAGTGTAGTGGGACTGCTTCTTCAGAAAAGATCAGCAACATTCACATCCATTTCATCTATCAGGGTGGAACAGTACTGCTCAGTATCTCTGAGGATGTGGATGTTCTATAAATTAAACGTTCTCTTGTTTGGCATTTAAGCTGTTTTTACTTTTTTTTTTTTTTTTTTTTTTTTGAGACAGGGTCTCACTTTGTAACCCAGGCTGGAGTGCAGTGGTTTGATTACTGCTCATGCAGCCTCAACCTCCCATGCTTAAGTGATCCTCTCTCCTCAGCCTCTCCCAAGTACAGGCATGTGCTACCATGCCTGGCTCATTTTTGTACTTTTTGTAAAGACGAGGTCTCACTCTCACTCTATTGTTCAAGCTGGTCTCAAATTTCTGGGCTCAAGTGATCCTCCCACCTAAGCCTCCTAGGTGATAGGATTATAGGATGAGCCTCTATGCCAGGCCTGGTTTTACTTTGTTACTATTTAAGATTATGCTGTGTTGAAGGTCTTTGTGCATGTAGTTCTTTTCTTCTTTTGAATTACTCCAGAAAACAAATTCGCAAGATTGGACTGAGTCAAAGGATATAAATGTTAATATTGCTCTAGGACATCACTTCCTTTGCTTTAAAAAAGGGTTCTGCCTGACCAGGTGCGGTGGCTCACGCCTATAATCCCAGCATTTTGGGAGGCCGAGGCAGGTGGATCACTTGAGGCCAGGAGTTCAAGACCAGCCAGGCCAACATGGCAAAGCCCTGTCTCTACTAAAAATACAAAAATTAGCCGGGTATGGTGGTGCACACCTGTAGTCCCTGCTATGCGGGAGGCTGAGGCTCGAGAATCACCTGAACCCAAGAGGTAGAAGTTTCAGTGAGCTGAGACCACTCCACTGTACTCCAGCCTGGGCAAAAAGTGAGACTCTGTCTCAAAAAATAATAATAATAAATACATAAATAATAAAATAAATAAAAAGTGTGTCAACATACTGTTTTCATAGTCAAGTTACTCAACCTCCTTGAGCCTCAATTTCTTGATTCCTAAAATGGGAACAATAATAGTTCTCTATCCCATAGGGTTGTGAGGACCAAATGAAATGAAGCATGTAAAGTATTTAGCACGTAGTAACTGCTTAATAAATGCTATCATCATTTATTTTCACTAGAGGTTTATCAATGTACTATTTTTTTCACAACCTCATCAACATTGGATATTATCAATTTTAAAGATTTATTCTAAAACAGTTGGTATAAAATTATACTGAAGCGTGACTGCTGCTGTTCCTTTTCCCCCTCCTCCCCTTTCTTCTTTTTCAGTTGGAGGAGACCAAGAGGAGAGGATCAGTAACCAGAAATAAAAATGACCCTTTACATTGAGACACACTGTATTTTTATATGTAATCCTTGCTTTCTCAGACAACAGAGCTAGAAAGATGATCATAGGAACTAGGAAATAATAACTATTTTATTAAATGCATGCTGTTATATTGAATGAGCCTTGCCCAAGGTCCCCTTCTTTCACTAAATTCATTGCATCTATTATTTATTGAATACCTACTATATGCTATTCAGTAGGCGACATTGCAGCTACAGCTGCGAATAGGACCAGGAGAGTCTCTACTTTCATGGAGTTTATATGCTATCAGGGAGGAAGATTATGTGTGTGTGGCAGGAAATGAGGTGTAGACACATACCATACGAAGATAATGTGGAAGTGGGGGTGGCATGAAGAAAACAAACCAGTGATCTGAATGACCAAGGGCTACTTTAGATTAGGTCTAATGTTGCCTCTCAGGAGGTAACATCTGGGGTGAGCCCTGAACTACAAGGAGCATTACTTCCCACACGCATACCCCAACCAACCCCCACAATCCCCCGCCAACCCACATTAAGTTCTGGAAGGAATATTTCAGACAGAAGTAACAGCTATTACAAAGCCCTAAAGAGAGGAGGGATCTCAGTGACCTGGAGGAACAGACAGGTCAGAGCACAGTAACTAAGGGCAAGTGGTACAAGATGAGGTCAGGTACGTGATAGCCAGATAAATGCACTGTAGGGCTTCGTATGCACGGAATTGGATTTTATTCTAAATATGGGAAGCCAGGAGTTATTTTTAAAATAAATAGGAAGCACAAGAGTTATTTTAAAAATAAAAAATAAAAAACTCTAGTTGCTTTATGGGAAATGAATTGGAAATGACAAAACTGGTAGCTTTTGTGGCAGAACAAACATTATCTATTGTCCTGACTTAGAGGAAGGGATATTTACTTAGCAAGCCTGTACGTGCCAAGCTGTTCTAAACGCTGAGGATGAACAAACCAGAGTTCCTGCCTTCACGGTGTTCACACTAGCGGGCAGAAGACAGACAGCACGTGTGGCGGTGCAGAGGGCTTGGCTGCAAGAGCCGATAAGGAGGACCCTGGCGACTGCCTAGTCCAAAAGTCCTAGCTAGAGCAAGATCAACTTGTACTGCCCTTAGTACAGCCACGTGAGTGGGGTGACCATTGACCTTAACCAAAAAGATGTCAAGGCTTTCCTCCTCCTCACTCCCGCGTCCCCAGTGCCAGGCAGAGTCTCTCAGCTAGACCCTAGCAGTCTCAGCACACACCGCACGGGGCGACAGCTTCCGGGGGCGGAGCCTGGTCTCGCTCCACGTCTACCGCGCCTGCTCCCCGGACGAAATCCGCGGACCGGGCTTTAGGTTCGCCGGAATCCCACGCTCCCGACTTCTGCTTCCGGGTCGGAGCCATGGCGGTGGCAAATTCAAGTCCTGTTAACCCCGTGGTGTTCTTTGATGTCAGTATTGGCGGTCAGGTGAGATCCAGGAGGCTGCCCACACCTGCGCCGAAGGGAAACTGCTCGGGGCTAGGCAGGCAGAACTCACCCAGAGAGAGCGGACTCGGGAAGCCAGCCAGAAAGTGAAATTGCACCCGAACCTACCGACCTGCCGGGCGGGGGGAAAGGAGGAGGAGGAGTCTCCCCAATCCTAGCGCCCCGCTTCTGGAGGAACTGGGCGGTTAGACTAGGGAGGCGGAGGTGGGAGATACCGAGCGGCAGGGTGGTGGGTCAGCCCATCATGCCCCCTGCTCCGTGAAGCCCTCATGGTCTTGGACTGGGCCTTCTGACACTCTCCCGCTGATTGCAGGAAGTTGGCCGCATGAAGATCGAGCTCTTTGCAGACGTTGTGCCTAAGACGGCCGAGAACTTTAGGTAAGGACGTGCTCCAGCTCCGCTGGATTAGCTGAGGCAGAAGTCGGGCTCCAGTCAGCCGCCTGAAATAGCCTGTCTACCTCTGTCCGTCCGCTCACTGCTCTTGAGACCTGATTCCTCCATGCATTGCTCTGTCTGGTTGCCGTTTGGATTGTTCCCGTGTTAATTTACGTTGTTAGTCTGTGTGACTGCGTGTCTGGACGTCTGGCTGGCCGATTGGTGGACTTGCTGGCTCCAGTGTTTATTCTTTCCCGTATTTAGAGGCGCTCACGACTGTGACATCATAGTGATTGAATCATTCATTTTTTGTCCCTTTCAGGCAGTTCTGCACCGGAGAATTCAGGTCAGTTTCAGATGTGTTTGACTTCTTTGCCTGCTCCAGAGGGGTGTTCTGGGGCTGCAGTGAGGGTATCGGTGAACCACCTGCTGGCCTTGAATGATTGCTGGTGACAGTGATAGAAGGTAATGCCCCAAGGGTCTGTCCCTAGTTTATTTGCCTTCTTTATGTCTGTCAACCATCTTTAGGAGAGTCCTTTTGGCTCCAGTGCATGGTAAACTGGAAAGGCCTTGTGCTACCTGCTGTCACTCCAAGTCTCTTTCTTTTCGGTTATAGGAAAGATGGGGTTCCAATAGGATACAAAGGAAGCACCTTCCACAGGTAAGGCTCTTGGCAAGCCATCCTGGAGTCTTTCAGAAATATTTCCTGGGGGATTAGGCTCTTTAGAGGAAAATAAAACCAGAGGGTAATTCTTACATTTCTTGAGAAGAAATGTTTTTGTGGACTCAACAACTGAAGATTTATTAAATGTTCTAACTCTACTTACACTCCCCCACTTCTTAGGTCTTTAAAACAGAAACTACTCATCTTTACAATATCTTGTCTTTTTCATGCACTTGTTTGTGCGAATGCAGATTTTTTAAAAAGTACACTTGTAATCCTAAAGTGCATATAATATATCCTGCTGGTTGATATTTATAACTAATTCCTAAAATGATCATATATGATTGTCCAAGGATAATCATATTTCCTGGGGAGTGGAGTATGTCAACACTTAGTCTCATTTCAATATAGAATCTTTCTCATGGCCTCACTGTGGTTAGTAACAATGTTAGCACATAATTATATCACAGCTTTAGAGCTTTGGGTCTCTAATCCCCAGTAAGACTCCTGTGAAGTGGTATGGGTGATCTGCATTCTACAGAGGAGGAAACTGAGGATAAGAAAGGTTAAGGACCCTCCCTAGGGGTAATAGCTAACAGTTGTTAAGCCCTTACATGTTTAGCAGTACATTTCACATAAATTCTCTGTAGTTCTTTCCCCCAAATTTACATCAAACCCTTGCTCTGCCTTTTGCTTTGGCAAGTAAGCTTTCAGCCCCTTCTTCTTATTACTGTTCAGGTACCAGATCATGCACTTGATCAACTCTAACATGCCCTAATTTATAACGAAAATCCTTTTTTATGGTTAATTATCCTTTCAGCTTAATCATTCAGGAAAAGAATAATCTTCAGGTTTTTTTTGTTTTGTTTTGTTTTTTTGAGACAGAGTCCCACTCTGTCGCCCAGGCTAAAGTGCAGTGGCATGATCTTGGCTCACTGCAACCTCCGCCTCCTGGGTTCAAGCAATTCTTCTGCCTCAGCCTCCCGAGTAGCCAGGACTACAGGCATGTGCCACCACGCTCGGCTAATTTTTGTATTTTTAGTAGAGACGGGGTTTTGCCATGTTGGCCAGGCTGGTCTCAAACTCCTGGCCTCATGTGATCTGCCTGCCTCGGCCTCCCAAACTGCTGGGATTACAGGCGTGAGCTACCGCACCCAGCTAAGAGTAATGATTTTATAATAGCCAAAGTGATAGTGTATTTTGAAATCAACGTTAATCTAATACAATAATAACAACATCTATGTTTTTCTAAACCATAAAATCTTCTCAGTATTCTTTGCTCTCTGTTTCAGGGTCATAAAGGATTTCATGATTCAGGGTGGAGATTTTGTTAATGTAAGTACTATTCCTTTCCTATCAAAGACCCGTAGTTTTAGTTTTTGTTGTTATTGTTGCAATTGCTGTTTTTACTACAGAGACCCAGTCTTCAGGCTTGAGAACAATAGCCAGGTTTGATGTGGGTGTTGGAGAGAATGGTGATGGGGAAGTTCTTGAAAGTGGCTGGGTACGACTGACTGTAGATAACCGACTTTAGCACTTTGATTGAGGCATTAAATTCCATGGTCCAAATCTCAGCCTTTTTGAGCCAGAAATTGGACTTTTTAAGAATACCTATAGATGATCTATGATAGGTTCACACTAATTAGTCATATGAAACTTAGTCAGAAATCAGCTGTGGTTTTTGTTTTTTTCTGAATGGAGGTAAGTCTCCTTCTAGTGGGCTAAATGCTTGTTTCATTTTCTCTTTTACTTCTGGGTGTCACAGTGCCTGGAAAGCTGAGTTTTTCATAAGAAGTTGATTTGTGGGCAAGGAATCAGAGCAAGAGAGGTAGATAGTTCTGGAGGAATTTTGCTCTATTCACTGAGAGAGCCCAGTGAAATAGTTCTTTTTTGCTAACCATAGCTTTCTTGTAAGTAGACTGTTTTTGTCCCCCATATGAAGCCTCCCTCCCCACCCCAACCTTGGAGGGTGTGGGATAAACTACATTTTTTCTTTCTTAAACCTGCTTTTGTCCTTACCCCCCACTTCTGAATGGTCTTTCTTTACTCTTATTAATATCATTTGGTTAGTTGTGTTGCTGTTTTCTTGGATCTGGGAGACATGTGTTCTCTTTTATGTGTTTATTTAGTCTGAATCTCATGAGTTTTTAAGACCTCTTTCCTTTCCTATGCAATACAGGGTTGCAGAGTGGCAGGTTTTAGGCCGAATTACGTTTTTACCTATGTTTTGATTCATCTGCATGGTGTTGTATAACTGTGAAATGGCACAAAAAAATCCTAGTTTTTTTTTCTCTTTAAAAAATGGAAAGTGGAAGTATGCTGGGCCTGCATTTCTCACAGTGGCAGTGACAGTGACAATTGGTTGGAATCAAGGAACTGGTCCCTTTGGACATGGCATATCTTTGCCATTTCACCAGTCTCCACAACTGTTTCCCTTATTTACGTTGCCTGCTCCTGTGGGCATTTGTTTGCAGCCCCGGGAAACAGATAATGGTAGTAGGGTTTGTTAGCTGGTAAGAAGGGCTGAGAAGCTATCCTCTGCCTTCTTTCCTTTTTTTTCCCCTAGGCTTCCCTGTTGCCTTACAAGGAGAGGAATAGCTTTTTACTAGTCTTTGCCCCAGGCACATCTGATCACTTGTCGATAACTCTGGGGTTAGACAATAGTTGCTCAGTCTGAAGGCCGAGTTAAAAGCAATTGCTGGTAGGGCTCACATCTGTAATCCCAGTACCTTGGGATGCTGGGAGGATTGCTTGATCCCAGGAGTTTGAGAACAGCTTGGCAACATAGTAAGACCCTGTCTCTACAAAAATAAGAAAAGTTATTTTTTATTTTTTTATTTTTGGTGGTGTGCGCCTGTAGTCCCAGGTACTTGGTAGGCTGAGGTAGGAGGATCCCTTGAGCCCAGGAGGTCAATTCAAGGCTGCAGTGAGCCATGTTCATACCACTGCACTCCAGCCTGGGCGACAGAGCAAGACCTTGTCTAAAGGGAAAAAAAAAAAGCTTGCTTAGAACCTTCCTTGGGGAAGGCAAAATGGAATGAGCAAGAGTCAGAAAAATCAGAATTTGAGACCTTCCAAAGTTTGACCAAGAATATTTGTTTGTTCATTTATTTTTGGTTTTAATAGTATTTATTATTTTGGTTGCAAAAGAAAAGTGCAAAGAAGAAAATAAATCACCAAATGAATTACCCTCATTCTCACCTCACAATATACTATTGGCATTTTGGTTTACAGTTGTCAGTCTTACCTTAGTATGTATATGTGTGTTTATATAATTTTTAACAGACTTAAAATAATCTATATGTTTTACTTTTTTTGTACTTCATAATTGTCCATATTTTCCCTTGTCGTTATGTCTTCTAAAACATGCTTTCTAATAGCCACCTAATATTTCATTATGAATAGACAAGTTATTTGATCAATTCACTATAGTTGAAGATAAGTTGCTTTCTATTGTTTGCTCCAAATTATTAATTTTGTAATTTTCCCTATTGTTTCTGGAGAGCTATAGATAACGTGATTACGGAGAATGGCACGGTAACTGATGTGTCCCTTAGGTTCACTGGGAAATTGGAGATGAACTTGTTTTCTCTCTTCCTTCTGTATTAATATGTATGTGTAGTTAGTTAATGACATATTAGCTTATTTGATTATTTATATAGTACTATATTGTTTGTACAGTGCTTTTTACAGACACTATCTAATTGAATCTTCATGATAACTGTAAAGAGTAGGTAATTTCATCCTCACTTGATAGATGAGGAAATTGAGGCTCACAGATTGGAAGTGACTTTCCCAGCTCTAAGTGATAGATCTGGAACTCAAATTCAGATCTTTTTTTTTTTTAGATGGAGTCTCGCTCTGTCGCCCAGGCTGGGGTGCAGTGGTGCGATCTTGGCTTACTGCAACCTCCACCTCCCGGGTGGGTTCAAGCGATTCTCGTGCCTCAGCCTCCCGAGTAGCTGGGATTACAGGTACCACCACCACACGTGGCTAATTTTTGTATTTTTAGTAGAGATGGGGTCTCACCATGTTGGCCAGGCTGGTCTCAAACTCCTGACTTCAGGTGATCCACCCGCCTCAGCCTCCCAAAGTGATGGGATTACAGGTGTGAGCCACCACACCAGGCCAGGTCTTTCTAATATACAGACTTGATTTTATTTTATAATATTTAGGCAAACAAAGGTTTGAATTTGGACAGTTTTTCTTTATTCTCTGGCTTATATTAATGGTAGTTCTTTTCCAAAAAGGGACCCTTGATTCCTCACTGGGTCAGTGTTTTCCCTTTCTCCCATGTACTCTTTCTCTTTACTAACTGGCGAGGAGAGCTTGATCTTTTTGGCACTCCTCAATATTGCCTTTAAAACTCAGGGATTCTATTTAAGGCACTGCAAATATGGCCTTGGTCAAATTGTTTTATTACCCAGACTTCAGTTTCCTCACATGAAAAATGGGGAAGATGATAATGCTTATTCCTCAAGGTTGCTGGAAGAGCAAGGAGATAATGCAAATAAAGCTAGTTTAAGCAGAAATTGGGAGTTTATAATAAAGGGAGTGTTTCATGGAACTAAAGGAAGAAATAGAACTAGGAACTAGAACCATAGAGAACCAAGGCAGTTCTTTATCTCCGTTTCTCTAGTGCTCGCTACACATCTGTGTTGTGTTCTCTCTCTGTTCTCTAGCCCAGCTTGCAAATGGTAGTCACATCCAGCTTTCAGGTTTACATGTTACAAATTTAGCCTCAAAGAGAGCATCTATCCCACCTCCAGATTCCCAGAGAAGGAACTCTAGTTGGCCCAGAGTGAGTTAGGCATCCTTCCCTAGATCAATCAACTATGACCAGGAGGGTGGTATCATGTTGTACATACAGACTGCCAAGAGCTCACCCACCCTCTTAGATAGTTTAGGGGAATGGGGTGGTAGTCACTTAAGTGGGTACTTTTATGTGACTGAAGGCATGAGAGTCTTCAGGAATGGCAAGGATTGAGTATGTGATCACCTTGTTGCTGTTCCCTACTTTGTCTGCATCTTAATTGATCGTTCTAGAGGCCCAGCTGTGACCTCTTTTATCCAGTCTATAAAATGCTCCAGCCAGTCTTTGTGGGCTGTAGGTACCTTATATAAGGCTTGATCTGATTGCAGGGTGGGGTCAAATAGGTGCAGCTTCCAAGATGACCAACAAGAGTAAGAGTAGACTTTAAAGATGTCATGCTTTAGGTGCGACAGTGTTCTTCCTCCGGTTTCCAGGGACCCAACACTCCAAGTCACTAATACTTCCCTTCTCTCTGCTCAGGGAGATGGTACTGGAGTCGCCAGTATTTACCGGGGGCCATTTGCAGATGAAAATTTTAAACTTAGACACTCAGCTCCAGGCCTGCTTTCCATGGTAAGTGAGGTCCAATCAAGGTTTTGGGTTATAGCCAGCTGGTTCCTGGGCCCCTCTTGAGGCCCAGTGCTGTCTCTTGGGATGGAAGCAAATGCTTTCCTTCTCTTGCTTGGCCCAGGACTCACCTTTACCACCTCCTTTCTTAGTCTGGTTTGACTGAGAAAACCAGTAGGTATGCTGGCTCACGCCTGTAATCCCAGCACTTTGGGAGGCTGAGGCAGGTGGATAACCTGAGGTCAGCAGTTCGAGACCAGCCTGGCCAACATGGTGAAACCCCATCTCTACTAAAAATACAAAAAATTAGCCAGGTGTGGTGGTGGGTGCCTGTAATCCCATCTACTCGGGAGGCTGAGGCAGGAGAATCGCTTGAACCCAGGACGGGGAAGTTGCAGTGAGCTGAGATTGCCCCACTGCACTCCAGCCTGGGCAACAAGAGCGAAACTCCATCTTAAAACAAAGAAAAGAAAGAAAAGAAAACCAGTAGGTAAGGCCCACTAGCAGGCTAGCAGGCTGGGGAACTAAAATCTGAACCAGGATTTGTGTCTGGGCATTCAGCCCTACTGCTCAGAATGTAAACAGTTGTGCTTTCAAGACATATTCATAGCTGGGTGTGGTGGCTCACACCTGTAATCCCAGCACTTTGGGGAGGCCGAAGCAAGAGGATTGCTTGAGGTTGAGGTCAGGAGTTTGAACAATCTGGGCAACATAGTGAGACTTAGTCTCTACTTAAAAAAGAAAAAAAAAATTAGCCAGGTGTGGTGACACACACCTGTAGTCCCATCTACTAGGGAGGCTGAGGTGGGGAGGATTGCTTGAGCCCAGGAGTTTGAGGCTGCAGTGAGCCATATCCTGTTCATCTCTGTATCCTTGGATCCTAGCTTAGGCCCTGGCTCATAATAGGTGCTAAGTTAGATTTACTGAAAAAAACCATAGAGGAATCAGTGTTACAAGCTCTTTTGGAAATCTTGCCCTTCAGCTAACATGGCCGGGGAAACTTACTGCAGGTATATTTGGTTTCCATCAGGCGAACAGTGGTCCAAGTACAAATGGCTGTCAGTTCTTTATCACCTGCTCTAAGTGCGATTGGCTGGATGGGAAGCATGTGGTGTTTGGTAAGTCCTACTCCTGTCTCATGGTCCAGGCCCCATTCACCCTGGATGGAACCTCCAGAGGAGTTAGTTCTCAAACTCTTACCAAGAAAGCTCAACCTGTGTAACTGCTTAGGTGGTAATAGAGAAAACAGAAATGGTGGGGAGGTGGGGAACATGTGTGGCTAGAGAACTAGAGGGAAGGACAAAAGGACCATTTGATATAGTATGGAACCACTTAGGGAGAAAACCCAGTTGCTAGCACCAAAGAAATGCCATAGAGGCAGCATGATACGGTGAGACTTTGGAGTCACTCAGGTATAAGTTTGAGCCCTAACTCTACTTATTACCTATGACCTTGAGCAAGTCATTTCACCTCTACCGCATCTTAATTTCCTAAAGTTAGTATGAGGGTTTAATGAGAAAATAGCTAAGAATGGGCTTTGGAAGCTGGAAAATGCTATGTAAACAAGAATAAAGTCCAGCTCATGCTCTTCCTACAGGAAAAATCATCGATGGACTTCTAGTGATGAGAAAGATTGAGGTAAGTACTGCTTTGATTTTTCTGTTTCTCTGCCATTGTGGTCTGGTACTGTCTGACTAGCGTGCAGGAGCTAGAGAAGGGGGAATGAGCTCCAGTTTGTTAGGCTGTCTTCATTGCCCCAGGAAAAGGGAAGAGAACCACCTAAGTTAGCCTGTCTGGCCAACACTGAGGTTTGGCCTCTGATGATCCTGTTGCCTACTTGATAAAATTCTACTCCTCAGCATTGCGTTCAAGGTCCTTCATGATTAGTCCCTGTCTACCTCTCCATGGCCCCTTCTTCTGCCATTGCCTCTTCCATGTTCCAGTCACATCAGGCTACTAGCTCTTCTCTAAATCTGCCATGCATGTCCCTGCTGCTTGCTCTTTCCTGCCCCTGAGCCTTTGCTCACACAGTTTCCTCTAGCCGGAATGCTCTTCTTTCCTTCCCTCCTGATGGAATCCCATTCATCCTTCTAGGCACAGTTCAAATACCCCTCTTTTGTGAATCCTTCCCTGACCTCTTTAAGCCCCAATTTAGTTGCCTATCTAACCCTTATCCAATTCTCTCTTATAACTTTTTCTTATATAATCATAAGTTTGATATTTTCTAAGTGTTTTGCATTTTCTCTTTGATAGGTATTATATGCTTTACCTGTCTGCCAGGACATGGACTGTTTCTGAGTGCTGAGTCCTTAGCACAGGGCTGGCAGGCATCAGTAAAAGTTTGATAAGGGAACGAGGAAGTGCCTGAGTGGATGAATCTCCATTGTGCTTTTTTTCCTAGAATGTTCCCACAGGCCCCAACAATAAGCCCAAGCTACCTGTGGTGATCTCGCAGTGTGGGGAGATGTAGTCCAGACAAAGACTGAATCAGGTAAGTGTGTCTTTCTCCTATTAGGTTAGGAATCAGACCTCAGAGAAGGCAGCATGGTCTAGTGGAAAGAACTTTAGTCTTGAAGACATGAGATTGAGCCCAGTTCCTCCGTGTATGGCCTTGGAGTAGTCACTTTCCTTCTCTGAGCACATTTCCTCATCTGTCAAATGGAAATACTGTAATACCTATCTCTCAGAGTCACTGTAAAAATAAAAAGAGAAAGGGTTGTAGGAGCACTTTACTTTTCTATCACTTTGTAATGTACAAAGTATCAATGTGAAAACTACTCAGGCAGTTTGTAACAGCACTCTCAGACTACAGTTCCATTCAGTAGTCCCCCTAGAAAGACCTGGCTCCAGGCCTGAGTAACTCTCTGCTGGGACCAGGCCAGGCAGCCAGGAGACACACCTGTCATGCCTCTCATCAGAACTGATACTGCAATTCCAGGCCTCGACTTCATATTCGCTGGCCTCATAGGTGAATGCCTTGCATCTTCCAGCCTACATGGACTCATTTCTTACCCGTAATTACCACTGCCTGCTCTGCGCTGGGCAGCATGCTAGCTGCAGAGAGGGGGACAAAGAATTGAAAGATGTCTCCTTTCAGGAGCTCATGGAAAGTAAGACATTCCCAGAGGTGATCACTAGTAATATGAGTGACATTGCCAAGTATGAGAAGAGTACAAGGGAGAAATCCATCACTTCCAGCCAGGTGAGGGGTAGTGATGTTTTGTTTTTCTTTTTTTTTTATTTTCAAACCTGCAAAAAAGTTAGAAGATAATACCTTGAACACCAATATATCTTCACTTAGATTCACCAATGATTAACATTCTTGTTTTATTGCTTTGCCTTGACATTTGTTTTTTTCTTTCCCTTCTTGCCTCCTCACCCATTTCCATTGCCTCTCCTCCTCCCTCCTGCTCCTCTTCCCTCCCTCCATCCTTTCCTTCCTTTCTTCCCATCTTCCTTCCTTTACCCTTTCTTCTTCTCTTTCCCATTTGAAAGTTGCAGACTTCTTGACACTTTACCCCTAAGTATTTCAGCAAGGAACTCCTAAAAATAAGAACATCCTACGTAACCACAATATTATCTAATATATAGTACATTTTCAAACCTCCCCAATTGTCCCAAAAGTAACTTTTGTAGCTTAAAAAAAGGTGATCCAATCAAGGTTCCCATATTTCATTTCATTTGGTTTACACAAGTAACATAATACACTCTCATTGTGAAAACTTTCACACCAAACAGATAAAGTGAAAGCCCCTCTTGACAATACCCACCTGCAATTCCACTCCCCTTTCCAAAGGTCACTTCCTTATTAGTTTGATGTATGTCCATCAGGGCCTTTGCCTTGCCCATCTAATTTTGGGAGGTTTTCTTTTTCCCAAATGAAATCATACTATATTTTTCATGTTCTAAAAAATATGTCTTGAAAACTTTTCCTTCTTAGTTCATGTAAAACCACCTTGTATTAAAAAATGAAAACAGCCCGGCAGGAGGTGGCTCACTCCTGTAATCCCAGCACTTTGGGAGGCCAAGGAGGGCAGATAGCTTGAGCTCAGGAGTTCGAGACCAGCCTGGGCAACCTGGTGAGATCCCGTCTTTCCAAAAAAAAAAAAAATTAGCCAGGTGTGGTGGTGCATGCCTGTAGTCCCAGCTACTCAGGAGGCTGAGGTGGGAGGATTACTTGAGCCCAGGAGTTTGAGGCTGCAGTGAGCTATAATCACACCACTGTACTCCAGCCTGGATGACATCAAAAAAAAAAAAAAAAGGAAAAGAAAAACCGAAACTGCAGTGCAGGCTGAGCATCCCTAATCCGAAATCCCAAATGCTCCAAAATATGAAGCTTTTTGAGCACTAACATGACATTAGAAGTGGAAAATTCCACACCTGACTTCATGTGATGGATCATAGTCAAAAATCTGTTTCATGCACAAACGTATTAAAAATATTGTATAAGATTACCTTATACAATAGCTATAAGTAGCTAGGACTACAGGTGCATGCCACCACGCCCAGCTAATTTTTATATTTCTTGGTAGAGATGGGGTTTCATCATGTTGGCCAGGCTGGTCCCCACCTCAAGTGGTCTGCCCACCTTGGCCTCCTAAAGTGCTAGGATTACAGGCGTGAGCCACTGCCCCCAACTGAGCATTAGTTCTTAATTTTATATGTTGTAATTGTTTTCTTCAGAATATATTTTAAGAAAAAAATTAGTATTGTGTTGCTTAAGTTTGGTGATATTCTTTGTTAAAGAGAAGTTCTAAATTTTGATGAAGTCCAAATTATCAGTCTTTCACTGCTTTTCAGTTTTGTCTCATTTAAGGTCTTTACTACCTCAGATCACAATGTTTTCTGTGTTTTTTCTAGTATTTCTTTTTATATGGTGGAGCTAAGATCATTTTTCTAGTATTTTTAAAGTCTTATTTGTACATTTATAAAATCATCTATAATTAATTTTTCTGTATAGTGTTAAGATAGGACTTTTTCTTGTCTTTTTTTCCAAATGGAGATCCAGTCAAATACCTGACCATTTTAATGACTCTACAACACACCTTTATCTGTGACCAACTCTGTTCAGAAAGCTGGCACTTACAGGCATTCAGTAAAAATTTATTACATGAGTTAAGTAGAGAGGGAGAATGTCAGGCATTTTAGGCGGGGAACTCGTGTGAGCAAATGCTGAGGCTGGAATGCACAAGTGTGTGCTGAGAGCTACATGTGGACCTCTCTTGTTCAGCCAGATGATCCCTTCTCAGGCCCACTTGACACCCTGAGCTTTCCTTTCTGCCAATACTGGGTCCCCCTTGGGCCCAGCCTGCTCTCCCTCTTCAATGGCTGCTGGCCATTCCCTCCGTCTCCTACTCATTTCTTTGCTGTAACTAAAGTTGAGTTCATAGGTCCTTTCTTTTCAAAGACTGACCACTGATCACTACCAGAGGACAAACGATAACAAAAAGAATAAAGTTTAGAAATTCTTAATGTTGGGGCCTCTTTTCTGTATCTTTTTGAGTCTTTTACATAAAGTTACTGGAAGTCCTTGTTGAGGTTTTATTTCTGAGGGTGGGGATCATCAACCCTCCCCGCTCTCCCCCACTGTTAGCAAAAGTTATATGAACTTTTGCTTCCAAGAAAGCCCTTCTTCTCAGCCTGCAACCCAAGCAGAACGCATTCCTCAGGTGGCCATTGTACATTCCACAGGCCCGCTAGACCAGGACTGTCCATAGGCTGTGATGATGGAAAGATTCTAGATCTGGGAGGTCCAGTATGGTTGCTACCAGCCCCATGTGACAACGGAACACTTAAAATGTGGCTGGTGCAACTGAGGGACTAAACTGTTAACTTTTTATTTTTTATTTATTTTTTATTTTTTTGAGATGGAGTCTCGCTCTGTCGCCCAGGCTGGAGCACAGTGGCGCCGTCTTGGCTCACTGCAACCTCTACCTCCCGGGTTCAAGCAATTCTCCTGCCTCAGCCTCCTGAGTAGCTGGGATTACAGGCGCACGCTGCCATGCCTGGCTATTTTTTGTATTTTTAGTAGAGACGGGGTTTCATCGTGTTAGCCATGCTGGTCTTGAACTCCTAAGCTCAGGTAATCTGCTCATCTTGGCCTCCCAAAGTGCTGGGATTATAGGCGTGAGCAAACATTCCCAGCCTATTTTTTTTTTATTGACAGAACTAAGCTGTAGTTTATTAAATTTAAATTAGGCTGGATGTGGTGGCTCACACCTGTAATCCCAGCACTTTGGGAGGCCGAAGCAGGTGGATCGCTTGAGGCCAGGAGTTTGAGACCAGCCTTGCCGACATGGTAAAACCCATCTCTACTAAAATTACAAAAATTAGCCGGGCGTGATGACACACGCCTGTAATCCCAGCTACTCCAGAGACAAAGGCACGAGAATCTCTTGAACCCGAGAGGCAGAGGTTTCAGTGAGCCAAGATTGTGCCATTGCACTCTAGCCTGGGCGACAGAGCGAGACCCTGTCTCAAAAATAAATAAGTAAATAAAAAAATAATAAATGTAAAGAGCCAGTTGTAGCTAGTGGCTACTGTACTGGACAGTGAACTCTTTTAAATGTAAGCTTCTCAATCTACTCGCCCTGGCTTGCTTAGAACTGAATCTCGTAGCTAATACTTAAGGGCACTATAATTAAAGCAGTTATCCTTCAATGAATTCTTCCTGTGCCCGGATAATGAGCTAAGAACTTTACTTGAATTATCGCATTTCACTTTACCAAAAATCCCTCATAGGTTTTAAGGTGTTAGGAAATCTGGGTGGCAGTCTAATGTAAAGGGGTTCTACAGATGGGCACCCCATTTTGGGTTTCTGAATAATGTGATTTAAGAAAAATTAATGAAAGAGGAGATGAATTTCCCATGGAGCAGGGGTGTGGAGGGAAGGGAAGTGGTATTTTTAAGCCCTATTGGGCAGTATTTCTTTCTTTCTTTTTTTTTTTTTTTCGAGACGGAGTCTTGCTCTGTCGCCCAGGCTAGAGTGCAGTGGCGCGATCTCGGCTCACTGCAGACTCTGCCTCCCAGGTTCAAGCAATTCTCCTGCCTCAGCCTCCCGAGTAGCTGGGATTACAGGTGCCCACCACCGCACCCAGCTAATTTTTGTATTTTTTAGTAGAGACAGGGTTTCACCATCTTGGCCAGGCTGGTCTCAAACTCCTGACCTCATGATCCATCCGCCTCGGACTCCCAAAGTGCTGGGATTACAGGCATAAGCCACCATGCCTGGCCGGGCAGTATTTCTTATACTTTAACGTTCATACGGATCTCCAGGAGATTTGTTATAAAATAGTGGTTCTGACTCAGTGGGTTTGGATGGGGACTGAGATTTTGCATTTCTAATCAGCTCTCAGGTGATGCTGATGCAGACTGTGAGGCAAGTCAATAGGGGATAAGAGTCTATCTTTTAATTGAGAACTTGCCATATTCCAAAAAAAAAAAGACCAAGAGGAAGTACTCTCTTGGTGGCACTAGTCCAGCAGGAATCCATTGCATTCACATCAAGGTATCACCTAATCCTGCATTTGAGGCCTTGTGCCCAGGCACTGGACATATGCAGTGAAACAGCTAAGAAGGAGATAGAAGACGGGTCACTTGATCAATTCTACCTCCCTATGGAGCACTTCTTTCCAGAACCTTTGTGTTTTGCCTTCCTAGGTTCTGACTTTGGTTTTAGTGAAAATGAAGTTTTGTGTACAATTTTTTTTTTTTTTAAGACAGAATCTCACTCCGTTGCCCAGGCTGGAGTGCAGTGGCACGATCTCAGCTCACTGCAACCTCCGCCTCCCAGGTTCAAGCGATTCTCATGCCTCAGCCTCCCGAATAGCAGGGATCACAGGCATGCTCCACCACGTCTGGCTAATTTTTTTGTATTTTTAGTAGAGACAGGGTTTCACCAAGTTAGCCAGGCTCGTCTCAAACTCCTGATCTCATGTGATCTGCCCGCCTTGACTTCCCAAAGTACTGGGATTACAGGCGTGAGCCACCATGCCTGGTCTGTACAACTTTAGTTATAGAAACCTTGGTTTTATCTCAGTGAGTTCTGGGAGAGTTTTTTTTTTTAGACAGGGTCTTACTCTGTCACCCAGGCTGGAGTGCAGTGGCGCAGTCACAGCTCACTGCAGCCTCGACCTCCCTGGCTCAAGTGTTCCTCCCACCTCAGCCTCCTTAGTAGGTGGGATTATAGGCGTGCAGCACCACACCCAGCTAACTTTTTAGAGATGGGGTTTCACCATGTTGTCCAGGCCGGTCTCAAACTCCTGGCTTCAAGCGATCTTCCCACCTCAGCCTCCCAAAGTGCTGGAATTACAGGCATGAACCACCGTGCCCAGCCCTTGGAAAACTTTTTATGATGAATTTGGTTATGTATAGCATAAATGAACCTCTACACTCAGGATTCTCCTGCTGTAGTCTGAATGGGTTGTTTGCTACTTACATGGACATGGGAGAGGGTGGCACCTCTCTTTTGAAAGCCCGAGTTCTGGCAGCTCTGCTAGTCTGATATGCTTACCCTCTTCCCTGTGATCCTCAAACCTGGTACCAGTACCAAATGGTAGAGAGCTTTCCTTAATTCATTGTTGCCTAGATTCTCCAACAGGTAATAATCATTTTGGGGCACTCGTTAAACCTACGAATTCCTAGATCCCTTCCCTGGAGTATTTGATTGAGTGGCTTTGGGGTGGGACCAGGATGTTATGTTTGTAACAAGTATCTCACATGCTTCTTAATAGAGAAGTGTGGGAAACACTACTTTAGTTAGTGGTGGGATGACTGTCTTTTATTTTAATATTTGGATCTTAGGAAAAAATACGGAATTAGCACAATACATCATTTTACAGTTATTACAGCTTATAGTGAGGCAATATTGAAGTTCAAATAGTGATTAGCTTAAAAAATAAATTGTACCTGTGGATGATAGATATTGTAACAGTTGTGAAGATGCTATTTGAATGACTAAGGTTTAGGAAACACTGTGTTTCATTCTAGAATTACCTATAGATGCGAGACATTCCCGTAGGGGAAGATTAGGAAATATGTGTTGGTGGCAGTTGGGCTGGTCCTCTATTCATTCCACAACTAAGCGCTGATGAATTAAGATAGTTCCCATGCTGCATATGAGGCTACAGATTTGAAAAGTCAGTTCCATCCTTCAAGGAACTCAGTCTCTTGGGAGAACTGACAATTACAGTACAATAAAGCCCTGTATTGGAGGTTTTAGAACAAGGTGAGGAAAGCATAAATGCCCGGATCTTCCCAGAGTGGTTGAGTAGACTACAGAAGAGATGATGCTTCAGTTTAGTACAAGAAAGAATATAACTTGTCAGGTGGCTAAAACTGGGCAGGGCATTCCAGGCAGAGGGAACAGCCTATGCAAAGTCACAAAGGCAGGAAACAGCAGGAAGTGTAGAGGAAGCTGCAAATAATTCAATATGACTGAAGCAGGAAGATATGAAAAGCAAATGGTGAGAAGGTTGGAGAGAGGCCAGGGCCAGTAGTGAAAGCCAGTGCCAAGTTTAGCAGTTCATATGTTATTCTGAGGGCAGAGGCTGACTTTCAGGCATGAAGTAATTTTTCCCTTTTGGGGAAGGAGTCCACTGTGCTCCTGAGATTCTCAAAAGGGGCACTGACCCTCCAAAAAAGAATCAGGCCAATATGAACCACTTAAGGATTTTCAGCAGAATACTGTAGATGAATTTTCATGTTCAGAAGATGATTCTAGCAGCATTGTGGAGGATGGGCTGGAGGCCAGTGAGGAGTCTACTGCAGTAGTAGTCCAGGCAAGAGAAAAGAGGTTTTACATGAAAATATGGGTCTGGGGAACACTGGAGATTTGGCAGCAAATATTTATGTGCCTGCTGGGCATGTGACACTGTATGTTCCCTGTCCTGAAACTCAGAAGCTCTGCCAGCTGAAAAGGCCAGGAGTGGAGAGAATGTCTGGCTCCAGTCCATTCCAGTCCAGTACAAAGGCAAAGCTGCTTGCATTGCAGCCAAGTCTTACACACGTAGAGGTTCCATTCTCTTCAGTGGAATACTATACAGCCTTAACAAAATAAAGAGGTAGATCTGGATGTGTTGGCAAGATTTCTAAGGTAAGTTAAGTGACAGTCAAGATGTAGTAATTTATGTAAGCATGTTACTGTTTATTTTGAATGACTTTCAGGAATCTCTGCAGTGATATATAGCAGACTGTGGATAATACTTCTGCAGAGTAGAGATAGCAAAGAGACTTTTCAGTTGCCTTATTTAAGCTTGAATTTTCTACCTTGAACATGTATCTTGTAATAGAAATACATACTGTTTATATGTAGTGTTAACTAATCCTAAATCCTCCCAGCACTTCCCAGGAGCCTGCCCACAGCTGTGGCTAACATCAGGTGTGAATCCATTGCTGATCCCTCCACCTCCTCTTCCAGGTCTAAGCCCAGACAGTGGGTGCTCCCACAGCACTTGGTTCATCTCTCCACTGTGGCATTTAATATACTGTATCACAAATATGTAAGTCTGTTTTTCTCTGGACTGAGAACTTGTTGAAGCAAGGATCATGCTGACTAACATAGTGCCTGGTATGACAGAGCTTAGGTCCTGGCACACCATGCAGCTTACAAAGTACATTTATACATTTTCATACACTTTGCTTGAGGGCCCACAGTTAAACTTCAGTCTGTGCCTGCAGTACGATGCCAGTACCCATTGTCCACTGGAGCAAGGTGTGGCATGTTTGAGGAATGGCAAGAGGAGGGGGACAATAGTATCTGGGTGTACTTACTCTGTTCTCTTAGTATAGCTTGCTCGACTTCAAGGCCATAAACCCAGAGTGTGGACTTCCCTTTCTCTTTACCTCTGGGACCGAAACCTGCAAGGAAGAAGGATTGCTTTTTGTTCTGGACCTCCACAGAGAGCCATCAGAGTCTGACAAAAAGGACAAAGGCTTTGGAGCCAAGTAGACCAGGAAGTCTCATCACTGTCTAATTCTGTGACTTCAGTCAAGCCATGAAACCCCTTGGGACCCTACTCCTTTGCATAATTAGATAATATATAATGCATGGAGTTGTGAAGGGCAAATAAATGAGATAGTATGCTTGACCATAAATGTTAGTTGCTTTCTTCCTGGTTCTTTTGTAATTTACTGCCCAACTTTGCTCTGGGGACCTAAAGGTCTGACCTATGGTGAGAATCTGACCTGTTCTACCCTTTTGGGAAAAGAGGATTAGGAGTGTAGAGAATAGCTGGGAGTGGCCGGGCACGGTGGCTCATCCCTGTAATCCCAGCACTTTGGGAGGCTGAGGCAGGGAGATCACAAGGTCGGGAGTTCAAGACCAGCCTGGTCAATATGGTGAGACCCCATCTCTACTAAAAATACAAAAATTGGCTGGGTGTGGTGGCAGGCGCCTGTATTCCCAGCTACTCAGGAGGTTGAAGCAGGAGAATTGCTTGAACCCGGGAGGCGGAGGTGGCAGTGAGCCGAGATCGCGCCACTGTACTCCAGCCTGGGCAACAGAATGGGACTCTGTCTCAAAAAAAAAAAAGAGAATAGCTGGGAGCATTGTCTCATATGGGATGTCCCCTTCCAGTTCCTCTGAGGTGCTTACCTCCCCATCCCACACTGACCTCCATGTCTCTGCCATTGTAGGCCTTCCCTTCTTCTTGGTGGTGTTCTTGAGTAAGATAATCTGGACTGGCCCCCGTCTTTGCTTCCCTGCCTGCTGCTGCCCCATTTGATCAAGAGACCATGGAAGTGTCAGAGATTCAGAATCCAAGATTGTCTTTAAGTTTTCAACTGTAAATAAAGTTTTTTTGTATGCGTATGTTTTTTTTTTCTTTTGGTTTTGTTTGTTTGTGGGTTGTTTTTAAATAGTTGTAATAGCCCTGTCTCCTCACACCTCAGCTTTAGCTAGGAGGACTGGCACTCCTCAGAGGCCAGCATGGACCAGAGCCAAGCTTTTGCTGTGTATAGTTAATGCCTCTTGACTTGCAGGCAGTTGTAGCAAACCTAACTCTCTTAGGTTAAAGCTGATGGACAAAGAAGGCACAGCCCCAGGACTTTACAGCTCTACTTATTCCAAGGATGTTCCCAGAAGGATCAATTTGGTTAGTTCTGGATTGAGCCCGTGAGGAAAGGGTCACTAACTTGACCTATCTACTTACCTCAGAGCATCCTTGAAAGAGTCAAATAAGAGAGTGGATATGAAGGTAATTTGTAGTAAACAGCAACAATACCTTAGAAAATGTTAGTTTTGGGACCGGGTGCCGTGGCTCACACCTGTAATCCCAGCACTTGGGGAGGCCAAGGTGGACAGATCACTTGAGGCCAGGAGTTCAAGACCAGCCTGGCCAAGATGGTGAAACCCCATCCCTACTAAAAATAAATTAGCTGGGCTTGGGGCACGTACCTGTAATCCCAGCCACCCATCTGGTGGCTGAGGCACAAGAATCGCTTGAACCTGGGAGGTGGAGGTTGCAGTGAGCCGAGATCGCGCCACTGCACTCCAGCCTGGGTGACAGAGTGAGACTGTCTCAAAAAAAGAAAATGTTAGTTTTGAAAGGAAACAGTTCAACATATAAAGATCTCACTTAGCTGGGTGCTGTAGCTCCTGCCTATAATCACAGCTACTCAGAAGCCTGAGGTGGGAGAATCACTTCAGCGTGCAGAAGTTCAAGACCTGCCTGGGCAACATACCAAGACCTTGTCTGTACACAACAAACAAACAACAGCAACAAAAAAATTAGCTGAGTATGGTGGCACATACCTGTAGTCCTAACTGCTCAGGAGGCTGAGGCAGGAGGATGCTTGAGCCTAGGAGTTTGGTGTTGCAGTGAGTTATGATCGTGCCACTACACTCCAGCCTGAGTGACAGAGTGAGACCCCATCTATTTTGAAGAGGCAAAGAAGAAAGTTCCCTGATGTTTCTTTCATGAGGCACTTTCTGTTTGCTCTCATTCTTATTTGCTTTCTTCTGTCTTGTGGATGGGGATGCCTCTTAACTACTGGCAGCAAGATACTGCAAGAGCAAAGGTAGCAAACAGCTGAATTCTATGACAATAGAACTTGGTTAAAAGTGTTGTTTCAGTGTATCAGATGACAAGAGATGGTGATAAGGGCCCTACAGTACAGACATTTGCAACTCTAGCCAAGGAAACATACTTCAGAGGACATTGTAGAGAAAGGACTGTCATCTAGTGGAGGAGAGATTTTTAAGTAACTATATAGGGTGGGATTGTAAAGAGATGGGGAGGATGAACAGCTGTGATCCGGAGTTGACATTCTTGAGATGGGCTGGTCAGCTGCACTCTGTTACATCTGGCACCTACATTCTATGCCAGTCTCTGTCCTAGGCCCTGGAGCTAGGTAAGATGTGGCTCATGCTTGTGATAGGAGACAGGGACAGTTTCAATGCATGGTGGTATTAGAATGTGAGCCCGTGTGAGGGCAGGGCAGGATATTTGGGTTTTTTGTTTTTCGTTTTGAGACGGAATCTCACTCTGTCGCCCAGGCTGCAGTGCAATGGCGCGATCTTGGCTCACTACAACCTCCACCTCCCAGGTTCAAGCGATTCTCCTGCTTCAGCCTCTCGAGTAGCTGGGACTACAGGCACATGCCACCGTGCCCGTCTAATTTTTTGTATTTTTAGTAGAGACGGGGTTTCACTGTGTTAGCCAGGATGGTCTCGATATCCTGACCTCATGATCTGCCCACCTCGGCCTCCCAAAGTGTTGGGATTACAGGCGTGAGCCACCACGCCTCGCCGATCTTTTTGCTTTGTTTTGTTTTTAGCTGCTGTGTCCCCAACACCTGGAAGAACTGAGCTTCTGGAATCTAATAGATGCTAAATAAATATTTGTTGCATGAATGATAGTGGTATGAGAGGAAGAGGGAAAAAAAACGGAAAAAGGCTTCTTGGAAGAGGTGACACTTGAGGTAAGTATTGACAGGCTTTAATATGCCAGATCAACAAGGTGGCGAGGGCTTTCTAGGAAGAGGGAACTGTGTTCTTAGGCCACAGTCTATTAGAGATGGGGGGACAAGGTAAAAGTTATTTTGCAGAGAAGATTCTTGGGATGAATCCCTTGCCCATCACATCACTTAAAGGCAGGCACTGGAGTTGTCTGTACTGTGCTCACCACGGACAGCTGGATGGTGTGAGCTCCCAGGATGGCAGGGAGACTAGTAAAGCTCTGCAGTGGTGCTCTCCCACTTTGGAACAGTCATGAACTATTGGTGCTTGTAGAGAGGTGGCTACAAGAAAATTATTTTTTGAGACATAGTTTCAGTCTGTCACCCAGGCTGGAGTGCAGTGGCACAATCTCAGCTCACTGTAACCTCCGCCTCCCGGGTTCAAGCGATTCTCCCTCCTCAAACTCCCGAGTAGCTGGGATTACAGGCACATGCCACCATGCCCAGATCATTTTTGTATTTTTAGTAGAGATGGGGTTTTGCCACGTTGGCCGGGCTGGTCTCGAACTCCTGACTTCAAGTGATCCGCCTGCCTCGGCCTCCCAAAGTGCTGAGGCATGAGCCACCGTGCCTGGCTGCAAACTAGTTTCTTAAACAGCTTATCCTCAGGCTCACTGAGCACGAAGAGAGCTGAATGAAGTAACTGGATGAGTAAGTAATGATACTTTTTAAAGTAACATTGAAAAGACAGATGTTACACAATTTGTATTTTTGCTTGAGAAGCCATCCCTTCAAAGCAGTTACATAGTGAGGCTGTTCACTTATTCGTAGAGGTGCTGCTGCAATATTTTCTAAGTGTCTTTGTAACTGGAGAAAAGCTCTCAAGCCTATAGGGCATGCTTTTAAATGTCCTCAGTGTTGGCAGGACTGCCTTTTGGGGAAACATTTTAACATTCAAGTCATCTGGAGCTGGAACACATGAACAACAGCTGTGGAATCCACCCACTCTCCATACACATTGCTGCTGAAAGCCTTTTTCACCTGGATTACTGGCACAGCTGCCCAGATGACCCTTCTGCTGCCAGTACCTTTTTCAATTCATGTTCTACACCATGTCGCTCATTTAACGAATCTTTTAAGGTATTATGTGTCAGGCACTAAGATGCCCAAGGAAGTCACAGTCTGGTGGGGAACATTTAATTAGAGCAATACAGTGTGTTAAGATGGGAGGGATTCTTAACCTAGTAGCATCTGAGCCAAGACCTAGAGGATGAAGAATTAAGCAGGCAAAGAGGAAGGAGGAAAGGAAGAGTGTTGTATGTAGAATTTTATGTAATACTCCAAACGTAACAGTGGCTAAAGGACTCCACTAGATGACAGTCCTTTCTCTACGATGTCCTCTGAAGCATGTTTACTTGGCTGGAGAGTTGCAAGTGTCTATTCTGTAGGGCCCTTGTAATATTTCACCATCTCCCTTGTCATCTGATACACTGAAGCAACACTTTTAACCAATTTCTATTTTCATAGAATTCAGCTGTTTGCTACCTCTGCTCCTGCAGTATCCTGCAGCCAGTAGTTACAAGCACCTGGAAGGTTGGACAGGGAATACAAGAGAAGACTCTAAGACTTCTCTTAGAAGTCATAGAGTCCAGTAAACCACATTATGGAATCTGGACTACCCTAAGGGTAATAGTAGTCACTGGAAGATTTTAAGTAAGACAGTGTCATGATCAGATAGATGTTCTCAAAAGAACTTTCTGGCTGTTGTGGTGGGTAATATTAGAGTAAGAAAGAGGTAGAGAGGTGTGGTTAGTAGCCAACAGCACTGCTCTATGCTAGGGGTCAGCCGACTACACTCCGTTTTTCTGTGGCTCATGAGCTAAGAATACAAATGGTTTTTAAAATGTTTAAATAGTTGAAAATATGTAAAGATTCGTGTCATGTAAAAATTAAGGCTGTTTTCAAGCTCCAAACCTGAGTAGTAAGTCAGAACCATATGGTCGGCCAAGCTTATATTATTAACTATTTGGCTCTCACAGAAAAAGGTTCCTACCCCTTGCTCTAAGCAATTGGTGATGATGGCCTACAGTAGTGACAGTAGGAATGAAAAGACTCTGAATTGACATTTAGAGGGTTTAGGACTGACTCAAGAACGCCTTTAGGAGGTGGAACTCACAGGCCTAGACGGCATTGGTAGGGGTAAGGAATACTGCATTAGCCTCCTAACTGCTTTCTCTACTTCCATTCCTTGCCCCTCTGCAACCCATTCTCCACTCCGCAGCCATTTTTAAAAAGATGCCCCTCCCTACTTATGACTCTAAAATTGCTCTTCTCACTCTTCCCCTCAGGATATATTTCCAATTAAATATACCTAAGTGACTGCCCACCTCTGCAACCCAATGTCACATTCGAGTCTTACTGAACTACTTGACTGCATTTCCCGAGATCTCACCTCTTCTCGCCTGTACCCTGTGCGCGGAAAGTCAGCCCTCCACCTTCTCCCTGCTTCCACTCCCAAAATACTTCGTGGTTTTGCAGCTCTGGAGTATTTACCGTGTTGGCTGTTTAAATTTCTGCCTCCATCAGAAGGCAGAAACTGACTCGCGAACTATTCCATCCCCAGCCGATAGTAGACGCTTAAAAAAGAACGAAAGAAGGTGGGTGGAGGACTTCAGTAACATCAGGTGGCAGCCTCAATTTTATCGTTTGTGAAACGTGGATAGTAATCCCTCTATCACGTGGCTGTTGCAGGAATAAAGTGAAAAAACAAAACAGGCTAGCTTGTTCAATAAATGTGAGTTGAATTAAATCTGATTTGTGGTCAGTAGAAAAAGATGTGAATACTTGGAAAGGAAGACACATTTTTTTAAATATATGCCTGGTAAAACGGATCAGAAGGCAGGTCCCCATGGAGCACACCCTCGCCCTAAACATGCTGAACCCGGGCTGCCATAGCCTGCGTGGTCCCTCCAAGGTGACTGCTCCGACAAAAGGGTACGCTCTTCAAACGCATACGTTTAAGGCAATTCCAGAAACCCTCGGCTGTGCCGCGACTACACGGCCATTAAAGAAAAGACGACTCTATGCCCGCCGTAATGTTCTCAGATCACAGGGACCGTATTTGGAGCTGGGAGGGAGGGAAGCCTTTTCTTCACGGGGGGCTAAGGCGTCTTCGAGCCCCCTTCCAATCCCGGGTCCGGCCGGGTAATCCCTGCCCAGCGTTCGGGCGTGCCTTTTTTTCAGCCGAGACACAACCCTGAACGTGGGGCCCGCCAGCCCGGCGGCTGCCTCGTGGAAGTCACGTTCCTTCTGCC
Organism: Homo sapiens; assembly: GCF_000001405.40. Lineage (NCBI taxonomy): Eukaryota > Metazoa > Chordata > Mammalia > Primates > Hominidae > Homo > Homo sapiens. Next base: position 42,682,160 of record NC_000001.11, read on the forward strand.
CGTCCTCTCGGGTACTCTATGGTTTTCGTGGCCGACTACTCTAATTCTAGTTCCGGTCTCTATGGCGGCCGGCGGAGGCAGGAACGGTTGTAGGTCGACTGAATTAGCCGCCAAAGGTCCAATGAGAATGGAGGACTGATAAAATATTAGCCAATAGAAGCTAGGGATTGGGGTCAGGTGGGCAGATTGACAGTACCACTGGCCAGTGAACAACGCCTAGGGCGGGTCGCTCGTAGGGCTTATCCCGCCTGTCCCGCCATTCTCGCTAGTTCGATCGGTAGCGGGAGCGGAGAGCGGACCCCAGAGAGCCCTGAGCAGCCCCACCGCCGCCGCCGGCCTAGTTACCATCACACCCCGGGAGGAGCCGCAGCTGCCGCAGCCGGCCCCAGTCACCATCACCGCAACCATGAGCAGCGAGGCCGAGACCCAGCAGCCGCCCGCCGCCCCCCCCGCCGCCCCCGCCCTCAGCGCCGCCGACACCAAGCCCGGCACTACGGGCAGCGGCGCAGGGAGCGGTGGCCCGGGCGGCCTCACATCGGCGGCGCCTGCCGGCGGGGACAAGAAGGTCATCGGTGAGGACCGGACAGGGACGGGGGTGGGGCCCTCGGGCAGCCCAGCAGCGGAACCGTTAGCCGGAGCTGGGCGAGCCGGCGGGCGCGCGGCCGGTGGGCACCGACTCCGCGGCGCGCGGCCGCCCATCCCCCCCGTCCCCCCCTCACTCCCTCTCGCGGGGACCCGCCCGGCAGGCGCGCGCGCACTGCCTCCCGCGCCCCCTGTGGACCCCGCGCGGCCGCGCGCCCCTCCCCCTGCGGCCGCGCGCCGCCGACCGCGTGTGCGACGGGGTCCCCTCCCCGCCGACCGGCCTCGTGCGCTCGGGCCCGCACGCCGTTGTTCGCGTCACCCCCACCCAGCTCCCTTCCGCGTGTGCTCGGAGGGCGCGGCGCACCGCCTACGCAGGCCGGAGCGGCTTCCCCTTCCCTCACGTGCTCTCCGTCCGCGGCCTGCGCACACACCCATCCTGGGGCCCGCGCCCCGGGCCTGCCCTGGAGCGCCCCGCGCTTCAGACTCACCCACGTGTGCGGCGGCGGCGGCGACTGCGTGGCCCCGCACCCGGGCGGTGGAGAGAAAGGGCTGTCAGGTGGCCGCGGCGGCCGGCGTGCGAGGGACCGGATGCCCAAGCCGGGCGGATTTGGAAAAGGATAGCTGGTAATCGTGGCTTGTTTTGCTTTGTTTTCTTTTCCAGCAACGAAGGTTTTGGGAACAGTAAAATGGTTCAATGTAAGGAACGGATATGGTTTCATCAACAGGTGAGCTGCCGGGCTCTGAAGCCTCCATCCCACCTTCTTGCTTGCTTCCTGCTCTGTCGGCTTCTCGGGGCTTGGGAAGCCCCAATCCACAGCTCTGTTCTGAAAGGCGTTTACTACCTCTGGTGTATTAGTATGATTTTTTGTTGTTGTTGTTTTCCTTGATTAGGGATTAGTGGATCTAGAGAATGCCTTTGTTTTGCAGCTAAATATTAATTTGAAGCTAACTTAAAAGGCTTCGTCACAGTACAAAGCAATTCAAAAGGCAAGCGGAGTGAATGAGCCATTCCTTAACAGGGTAAACGGGAAACTACGGTCCAGTACATTTTTATCCTTGTCATCTTTTTCTACTTTATTGAACTCGGTATTTGAGAATGTGATCCACTGACATCGGATATTTATACATTGTTAACGTTTTAGGGTAAGAGGATTTGACTATATGAGGTTTTGTCATCTTTACCGAGAGGTTGTATTGCCTTTGTTTCACGTTTCATTTTAATACCTGAGATAAATTTTGTCTTAGCACAGCTTTGACCAGAGAGAACTGTTTTTATTTGCTCATCCAGTAAATAATATATTTACAAGAAAGTGGTTTTTTTTCCTTCTTCCGTTCTTATTTTTCATTCTTCCTTGTCCTAGAATCATAACTGGTTAAGTCGATTTCTGTTAGATCCCTGGCTGTAGCTTATTAGAGTGGCCATAGTCACTGGTAACTTGACATTTTTCTTCCTGTTTGAAGGCAAAGCTGCAGACACGTCTTTAGGACTTACCCTTCGGGTTGTTTGTAGGAGTGGTGGTGGTAACGTGCAGTAGACGCACTGTATTCCATGGGCTCCCTTGTAAGCCGGGCATCATTTTCAAGATGGCTGCCAAGGCTAGTAGTGCTAGTTACATGGGTGCAGAGCACTGGGTATGCCAGTAGCAATCTTGGCCTCACAGGTATGGTACTTAGTGCCATCTCAGCATTGTCTTGCTTGCTTACTGTAGAAGACCTAAGCAGATGATTAAAAGAACAATGTGGAATGGACAACAAATGGGCAAAATCAAGCTTAAGGACAGAATCATTGCCTGATGAAAAACTGTTCATTAATCAATCATAGAGTATTGTGGAAACACTCAGAGTAAGAGATAAGCATTTGGTGATCTATTCTCTACTTTTGCAATTGTGGGAAAATATTTTGTTTCTTCCAAAATCTTAGGATTTTCCATCTTGTTATATACTGTTTGCTTTCCTGGCTGGCCGAAACTACGTTTTTCATTAATTTTTTGATAATGGCTTACTAGCAAGAAGGAAGGGAATGCTTATATATAATTGGCATACTGATAGCTTTTTAACTGATCTCTCTGAACTTTCTAGTGTTTTAGTTTGTATTTCTGTCTTACTCTGATTATCGTTACTAGTCTAACCCTTAAACCAGTGGTTTTCAAATTTAAGTGTGCTTACCTTGGGAGGGTGTGATGTAAGTGGTGAGTTCCTCCTTCTGAGCCTTGGATTCATTAGGTCTGGGTACATTTTTAACAGGAATGATAATGGTCTTCGGGCCATACCTTCAAAATCACTGCTTTTAACCCTTGACCCAATGTAATGGTAACTCTGGTGTGCAAATTTGCAGCCTTTTCAGCGGATAGATTGCAGGTTTTGTATGTGTTGAAGAAGTTTTAGCATGTGCCTTGTTTCGCTGCATTTTTTTTAAGTAGGCATAGGTTATGACATTTTTTGAAATCAACAGTTTTGTCCAGAATAAGAGTAATATCTTTACATTTTTTAAGTATTTAGTCCATGAGATACTGTTCATTGAATATCTCTATTCTGAATTGGAATCAACTCAATTGGTCATCCTCCAGGGCAAGTTATGAATTGGCTTTTGATGGTCCTTTGTTTGGACTATCCTAACCTCAATTATTTTGTCAAATTAACTGGTTAAAATGTTCTTTATGCTTCTGAACTGGTTTTAATGATTCTGGGACTTTTTTAATAAGATGCTGTAAAATCTGACTCCAATTAAATACAGGGAAGATTTGCTTTAATTAAGGAAAATGTATGTGATAAAAGAAATCACTTTGGAAGCTAGCAGTTGGTTCTATATGTAGTTCGTGTAGTGGAACAAATAGACTTGGCTGGAGGCACCTGTCTCTTATGAGGGAGGGAGACAGACTGACACATAACGTGCTGTTTTCTGTATAAAGGAGAGGGTGCAGTGTTCGGGATGACTATTGTGACGACTTTTAATTGGGGTTTTTGGATGCGCTGGATTATATATGCTAGGATTGTAAGGAATTTTTATAATTACAATATTGTATGTAAATTTTCTGCCTTTAAAGACATAATTTCATTGTAAATGTGTTTATTCCAGCCTGAATTACCACCTGATGAATTGTTACAACCTTGTTAGAATTAATTCATGAAAGGGCTTCTCCCTGATGGTTATATTGTGAAGAAGGTGCTAAGTAACATGAGCATAGAGCTTTTAAAAATAGCAGAAGTTTTGGCTTTATTTTGTTAGACTGTGTAATCTAGAAATTCTAAGAAATTCATTGAGTTATTCTTTTGTGAACTGTGTCTACAAAACATAATCGGAGAATGTGACTAGAGGGGTTTATTAGCTCCCCCCAGATTACTGTTGAATTTTGTTAGTGGTTGAGTATTGATCCATATTCACCAAAGATTACCATGAATTGGCAACAGTTTATAGTGACCAGAATAGGAATATTTTTCTGTTTCCAGAGTACTTAAAATGTTTAAATTAATAATTCTTAATGTTTTGAGGTGAAAGAATTTGGAGCAGAGGTCACAAATTTGTGACCTTCTGGCTAAAACTACTCCCAGATGCTTTGATTAGACAGTACAGTATTTTTTAAAGGAATTGGGATTAATTACTAACATTTATAATTCAGGAGATAACACCAAGTAATCCAGATTATTATATTTTTAAGATCTGAACTTTAGCTGGCTTTGGGGGCCTGTATTTCCACATAAGTAAAAACCACCTGGCCATATTGTCACCACATTTAGGTGGGGTATACTTTTTTTACGACAGCCTTCACGCCTGGCCTCTGTGTATGCATTTGAGTTTATTACCCATGGTCTAGGAAGATGTAATAAACCAAGCCAGGGAAAGGTTTGGCTATCTCTCTTTAGTCACGCCTATCAGGTTTAGTCTCCCTTTGGGGTGGGGGCTCCCTTGTGGGGATTCCATATGTACATAACTGATAGGTGACTTCCAACACATGTTGGTGAAAATAGATACAGCTAACAAGTATTTATACTAGGGTCTATAGTAAGTGCTTAAAATGAGCCAATTTACTTAATCTTTAAAAACCTTTGAGGCGTAGGTACTGTCATTCTGAGGCACAAAGGAGTTGTTACTTGTCCCCATAAGCATAGGTGATAAGTGGCAGGATTGGAACTGTTTTTTGACTCTGGAGTTAGTGTTCACCAACTGCTCTTATGCTGTCTCTGAAATAGACCCTAGCCATTTTCAATTTGGTTGTTGTCCACATAGTTACAGATAATTTCTTAGGGTGATTATTTTTAGCCGTTGAAAGACTCTTAAATGATCCAAGTATGTCACTGGGGCTCTTGTCTGCTGACTTGCTAGGTCCTGGATTTGAAAAGTTTTCTGCCTTTCACTATCTACTTTGTGAAGTTTGGGATTGTTAAAAGTTCTAGTTTAGCATGTAGGTCAGCTATACAAATAAAAGGACTTGCTTAATTCCTGATACTGGGAGGTGAAGAATTAAAGGAGAGAATGTTGCACCTTATCTCCCTTAATCTTTTTTTTTTGTATGGCCTGCAAGGTAAGACTGAATATTGCCTTTTTAAAGGGTGATTTTTCTTGAGATGGAGTTTCACTCTTGTCACCCAGGCTGGAGTGCAATGGCACGATCTTGGCTCACTGCAACTCCGCCTCCCAGGTTCAAGCGATTCTCCTGCCTCAGCCTCCCGAGTAGCTGGGATTACAGGCGCCCGCCACCACACAGGCTAATTTTGTATTTTTAGTGGAAACAGGGTTTCTCCATGTTGGCCAGGCTGGTCTCAAGCTCCTGACCTCAGGTGATCCACCCGCCTAGGCCTCCCAAAGTGCTGGGATTACAGGTGTGAGCCACTGCGCCCGGCCTCTAAAGGGTGATTTTTTTTTCTTTTTTAAAGGTGGCGGTGTAAAGTACTTACTGTGTGGTTGTTGGTTGTTTGAAGTGGAGTCTCTCTGTGTTGCCCATATGGGTCTTGCACTCCTGGGCTCAAGTGATCTTCCAGCTTCAGCCTCCCAAATGTGTGGTTCTTAATAGAAGTGTAAACCTTTGGAAGGATGTCATTACCAAAAATCTCTTGGGCTGTTAAAGTCACACTGATCTTAACTTGATCACAGTAGATCCATTGCTAAGCCACATAAGTCATGGGTAGACCGTAACATAACTGACAAAATGTTTTGGCACTAGGGAAGGTTTAAAGACTTTTCTGCAGGTGCTGCTAAGGGAGAGATGTCGAAGGTTCCAAACTGGAACCCTAAAGACAAACATCAATGACATGTATGCAGGAGACATTAGGAGAGATTTGTATGCTGGTTATATTAACCATTGATCTTAAGCTGGCAAGAAGTCATCCGTGTTCACCAAGTCACTGATACGTGACTTGGAGAATACTAGTAGGTCCCACTCCCTGTGTCCTCCCAAAGTACAATCCTTTACTCTTGAAATCTAGGATAGAGAACTAGTATCCAGTTTGACTCGTGAACAATGTGAGTTTGAACCACACAAGTCCACTTACACACAGATTTTTTTTGATAAATATATTGGAAAAATGTTTGGAGATTTGCAACAACCTGAAAACTTCAGATGAACCACATAGCCAAGAAGTATCCCCCAAAATAAGGAAAAGTTGAGTATGTTGTAGATACTAGTCTGTTTTATTATTTACTACCATAAAATGTACACAAATGCATTAGAAAGTTAATACAGCCATTTGCAGTTGAGAAATGTAAACAAACATAAAGATTCAGGCAGCATTAAATCATAACTGCACGACATTCACTGTAGTAATATTGTACTATTATAATATGTAGCCACTGCCTATTGCTACTGCAGTGAGCCCCTTAAAATGCCATGTGACGCTAATCATCTTCACATGAACAGTTTATCTCTCCAGTAAATTGCATGTCAGTAAAAAGAACTTGTAGTACACAGGTATTGTGGTTTAGTGCAATACTGTAAGTCTTCAATAGCACCATGGGACCCATGCAAAGTGGCGCTAGTGATGCTGAGAAAAGTCATGGCATTGTAAGAAAAAGTTCAGTTGCTCGATATGTGCTATAGATGAGGTCTACAGCTGGAATTACCTTTCAGACAGATGTACACTTACCGTATCGATAAGTGCAGTACTGTACATGTATTTTCTCTTACAACTTTCTTAGCATTTTCTTTTCTGTAGCTTTATTGCAAGAATACAGTATATAATACATATAAGACAGAAAATGTGTTAAGGATTTATGTTACCAGTAAGGCTTTCCAGTCACGAGTAAGCCATTAAATTTTGGAAGAGTCAAAAGTTACAGGCAGATTTCAACTGTGCAGCAGGTTGGCACCTCAAACTTCTATCCACCCTCATAGATACTGAGTTATTCAAGGATACACTGTATTACCTTCCTGTCCCCCTAGTCCTGGGGCTGCAGTTGCTGAGTTTGCTACCCTCCAGTCTTAGCCCTTGGAAACATACAGTTTGTCCGAAGGCAGAATCATAGACAATATGTGGGAAACAGAAGTGAGTCTGTTGGGTGTGAAGGGTGTTTAATAGAGAAGAAATACAAAGATAAGTGGACATTATTATCTTACAGTCATCTACAAGGCTTGGAAATTGGTATCTGGTTGCTTTAGGTTATGGAGCATATAGATGGTAAATCCTGGAGTTTTTATAACCACAGGATTGTAAATTAGTGTATGCAGTTACGTGAATTAAGGTGTTAGACTAGTGTGGTCTGGTGATCTGCAACAAAGTAGTAGTATAAGAGCATTTAGTTACGGATAAATTTATGTATAATAAGTCTTATTTAAGGCAATACTGTGGATTGGCAAAAAAGTTTTCTAAAATTTAGCTTATTTTTTATGTAGATATACAGCTAGGATAAAGATAGTTATGTTTTAAAAGGAGTGGGAGGGGGGTCAAACATGGTGAACATGCTGGAGTAGAGTCCGGGAGTTTGGATGGATTGGGCCATGAAAAGCAAATGCTAGAATTCCTAGTTCCTGTGGCATGGAGAATTATCTGGCAAGCTGTAATTGTCTTTTGACTTACTAAAAAGTTTTCCAGGGAAGTTAAATTTTTTTGCCTTTGTTTTCCCATTTTGAGTTGCATTTTGTCTATTTTTAAGACCCTTACCAATCTGGATAGGCCATAGTATAGGAGTGGTAGCAATTAGATTTTAATTTAGAAATCTGGCTAGTATTAGTGAATAGTAAATGCCCAATAAATACTAAAAAGATTTGAGTACCTACCTTAGTAATGTAAGTTATTAAGTGTTTAGTGTAGTTTTTCTCATTTTGCAGGTAAAAAAGCCAATGAGGCAGCTTTCCTAGGTTACACAGCTGTTAATAGTTGAGTCAAGACTAAAAATCTAGCAGGGCGTGGTGGTGCATACCTGTAATCCCAGCTACTCATGGCTGAAGTGCAAGAACTTGAACCCCGAAGGCAGAGGTTGCAGTGAGCCAAGATCGCTACTGCACTCCAGCCTAGGCAACAAAGTGAGACTCCATCTCAAAAAAAAATTGAGTACTGTTATTTCTTTTTCTTTTCTTTTTTTTTTTTTAAGATCTGCAAAGGGGTTTAATAATGCAAATATCACATATATTTCCATTTTTAACACCATATTTAAGTTTTCCATTTTCTTAACAATAGAAAGTGATAAAAATGTTTTTCCCAATGTAATAATACAAATGGAAAATATTATAGACAGTCATACACTAACCCAATGAATAAGATTCACCAGAAGCAAAATCTATTTTGGGGGTCCTATATTGTTACATATATACAGGGCACCAGAACCACATTTAGACTAATACTTTTTATTTCTAGTTAAAACAATGCAGGGCACTCCTGTGACCTGCAAATCTAATTGTACATATGTATGTGTCAGACTGTGCAGGTGGCCAAGAAGAATAGAAAGAAAGACTTTATCCAGCTTTGGAGTTCAGGGCCTGATTGCCCCAGCTTTAGCCCATAGGAACTTGACAGCTTGTTCATACCTCTCATCTTTAGTCATAGTTTCTCTTTCTCCAACCCCTTTTCTCCCTAACTACCCTGTGCCATTTAGACTGGAAATTCTAACAGGTAGCTTTTTCTTTCTGAATTATCTTTACTACTGTATAATTTTTATTTTCAGAATATTCCTTATTTCTACATCTTGAAGACATTTCTTTCTAGTAGATGGGGGAGCTAGAGCTTACATTCACTGCCGGAAAAGGGTCAGTTCCAGTGTTAATTTCCCAGCAAACACCTGAGAGAAAAACTGAACAGAAAAGAATAGTGATGGCTGGCAGAGAGTGACACCTGCACCCAGAAAGCTGCACTGCAGCTGTCTAATATTTGAGGGTCTCTTTTGTTATAACTGCCAGTTTAAACTAGAGATTCTGGCTGGTTGCAAATTCAAAGCAGATCAATACATTTAAATCACTGGTTCAACAAATCACTCTTTTTAATGGTATAATGTTTTTATTGCAATTGAGGACGTTTTCAGTAAATACCTTGAGCTTGAGGCCCTGGCTAAGTATTCCTTTTGCAATACTGTTTTTACTGTCATGACACTGGTCAGTGAACTGTGTTAGTTTCACATATCTATCTATGTACCCACAAAACACCTCCCTGTCTTTGCAGGAGTGACATTACCCTGTGTGTAATGGCAGCCTTGTGCTTTCTCTGTGCAGAGACAGGGTCTTGCTCTGTTGCGCAGGATGGAGTACAGTGGCATGATTATAGCTCACTGCACCCTCATTTCCGGGACTTGAATGGAGGCCCGGCTAATTTTTTATTTTTTATAGATATAGGGTCTCGCCACGTAACTACTTTTAATTATTTTTATTGCCGGGTATGATGATATTGATATGTGAATACCTGTTGTAACTACATTAGAAGGCATAACAAACAGTCAGAGCCACCACAAAATGGATTGATAAAGAAATGATGTATTACCCAGATACCATGAGTAGCATTATCAGTAATGAAAAATTCTCCACAGAAGCTGCATTTTTAGTGAATTTAATGCGTATTAAAACAGTACAGAAATACATACATGACTCAGATAACAATAAACAAATTTACTTTCTATACCAAATCTTTACATAGTCTTCTAGCAACTAACACCCACCACTTCCATTAATGCAGATAGTGCTCCCTATCTTTGGAAAAAAATTTTATTTTTTTATTTTTTTTGAGATGGAATCTCACTCTGTTGCCCAGGCTGGAGTGCAGCAGCTCACTGTAACCTCCGCCTCCTAGCTTCAAGCAATTCTCCTGCCTCACCCCCCAGAGTAGCTGGGACTATAGGCACACACAGCCACGCCTGGCTAATTTTTTGTAATTTTAGTAGAGACGAGGTTTCACGATGTTGGCCAGGCTGATCTTGAACTCTTGGCCTCCCAAAGTGCTGGGATTGCAGGCGTGAGCCACTGCACCCGGACTGGAAAAACTTTAAATACCCTGCCAGGGGAAGTATTGCCCCTGTTGAAAATCACTATTCTAGACTTTGCCTGTATTTGCCTTTCTTACTCTACCAGTTTTTTATTGTATTTCCCCTTAGAGCCTTAGAGTTTGAAATTCAGTCATATTGGAGAGCAGAACTAATAAATGATGGCTGTAATCTGTTTTTGTGGTGCCTATGGAGTTATGGACAGATGGACATTAGGTACAGCCATCATTTCCCTAGGCAATCCTAATCATCTAGCTTGAAAGGTCAGTTTTCAGTCACTTGCCTTAAGTCGCTTTTACAGTTTACCTGTTCTGTTTTTTTAATTATCCTGTTCCCATCAATTAAAAATGTTCTTATAATAATCCAAGCTATAATTTACAGGTCAGATTTAAAGTTAATTTTATGTGGATCCTTTGATGCATATGTTGCCCCCAGTTCAGCAAGAAGCTAACAGTCAGTAAGCCAGTTTGTCCAGTTCATTGTAACCTTTGTTCCCTTTGTCATTAAACGCTAGAGCTACTACTGAGCTTTTTCTCACTCTGACCTGACGGAGTAAAGAGGGTGAGGCAGGCCACTGCAGGCCTGGAAATCCGTTTCCTTCTCCAGTGGTGATTCTTGCTCCTCGTGTTATCACCTTAATCCCAATATCCAGGCTAAAAAGTGAGATTATTCTCTACCCCCTCGCTTCTGACATCCAGTCATCCACAAAGTTTCTCATTTTGCCTCAAAAAGAGATCTCAAATGTCTTTTTATACATGGCTCCGTGGTCTAAACCTTCATCAGTCCTTGTCTGGACTTGTGGAGTAGCTTTTATAACTGGGCTTTTCTTACATTCAAACATACCTTATCACCCAAAGGTCACAGTTCCCATTAGGTTTCACTCTTTGCGTTATACATTCTGTTGGTGGGGAGGGGGGTTCTCATTTTTATGATCTCAAGGAAAGTTGGTAGTTGGGAGATGCAGGATAAGGTGAGAATGTAACTACTACTTCTGTTGGTAACCATGCTCTAGAGGTAAGAGGAGGGTGTGCTAGAACAGTTAATGTTTAATAGGATAAGGAGGGGCAGAATATATTTTGCTAGTCATTGCTACCCTCTTAATTATGGCTCAGTAGGTCACACTTTAATTTCTTAGACTTTTTTTTTTTTTTGCCTATCTTACGGGTAATGAGGCTACAACTGTTTGCAACTGCTGAAGTCTTGAAAGCAGAGAGCATGGTGGCTTGTGTTTTTTGATTTTTGCCAAATTTCCTGGTACCTAATTGGCAGCCAGAGAGTCTCTGGGAAAATTAATCTTTGACAACATGAGATTTATTTCATTTTCTAACTTGTTCAACTTGGTTCTGTCTTGCAGGAATGACACCAAGGAAGATGTATTTGTACACCAGGTGAGTGCTTGTGTAGATATTTGCACTTCTGATTCAAGGATTGTAAGAAGAAAAGGTTAGATATGTTCTCAGCTTTTGTTCCTTATAAAAGGTTAAGTCCAACCACCAGTTTATTTACTTACGACAGGAGTAGTAGCATGCTTAAAAATGTATACGTGGAAATGTGTTAGAGTTGACTTAATTATCCTAGACATTTCAAATTGGAATTTTGTCAACAGCTGTGGCTTTCTCAAATGTTGAGTCAAACTCACTGCATTAAATATTTATACCTAATTTCAGATGAACAGATTATTCCATGATTCTAAAGTTGAACAAATAATGTTGCTATAAATACACAGAAACTTTGGCAAGAAGTTTTCAAAGGCTTTTAGGTGTACCTGTAGGGACAAATCTCCATAATCAAGGGTAAATAAGACAGACCTGCAAAACATAGTAATTGAAGTGAGTACTTGAAAAGTAGCATAAAGAGCCTTCTGCTTACTTTAAATCACTTTGAATGGGTATTGGGTTTTTTTTTTTTTTAAACCTTTGGAGAGTTTTGGCTGGCTTGGAAAATGAAAAAATTTCACTAGTTTAAGGTTAAGTGGGGGGAAGTGTGACAAGGTTGGCAGCTGCTCATTAAATAATTTTTAGATTGGCTTCCAGTGATTTGGGAAGAGAAAACTGTTAACATAGGATGAGTACTGATGAGTACTGCATAGTGAACTTTCTCCCTAAGTATCATTTAGGGAAAATGTTTGCACATTCAGGAATTAAGATTATTACTAATGTAAACCACTGCCAAGTGTATGTTAATACTTCAAATTTAGATATGCTGTAGGCTACATTGAATGTACTTATCCTCACAGATACGAAATGAGTAGGAAAAAATATGTTTGTGCTATCAGTTTTCTCACTAAGGCTTTTGAAATATTGTCAACTTGTATTAAAATTAGAGACCATAACTACTTTTTTGTACTATAATCCAGAAATCAAAAGACCTAAAAGTTAATATCCATACTCACATTTAATTAGATACTAGCTTTTATGGCAGCATGTTTCATAGGAAGGGCTGTCATAGGTTGGTGCTTTGTAGCTCACTGAAGTGTCCTACACAGTATTTGATGACAAGGAGGAAGCTATATCAATTTCTAGTACACCCAAACCCAATCAGGTAGTTCAGGGTCAAATGTAATTATGGAATCATTTAAATTCTAAATGTAAATAAATACAGGACTACTTCAGACAAAATGTTGTTTTAAAGTAGATGTTTTATAAAATTGGTATTCTTGTTTGGAAGAACACAGCTCAACTGTTCCTTACTCCCCTTCTGCATGTTCAAAAGAATGTGTAGACTTAGGAACAAGAGACAGCAAAGTTTCTCGGTCTTGTTGCCTGTTGGCAACCCTTAAGGGTTGGGGTTGGGGCAGGGGTGGAGATGTTGATAAAAATAAAGAGTTGGGATTTTAATTATCCATAATTCTGCTATCCCCTATGACTGCAGGTAATTGATAGTTGGCTATATCTGAAAGGTATGAAAACTATGTGACAGTTTAGATGACAGATGAGATCAATTATTTGACTCAACTCACCCAGTTGTACTGATTCACAAGGTGCCACCAATATGCTTTCATTTTTTTGGAAGTGGTTTCAACATGTAGTTGTTTCTTGGGACTTTGGCTGCTCAGGTCTTAGTGGTGTATCAGGGAGACTGCAGTTCTGGGCAGCTTCACTTAATTGGCCTCAGATTCGTTGATTGTCCTGTCTCCTCTGCAATGGAAATGCATGAGTGATCCTGTAATGGATATAGCTGAGATTTGGAGTGAACATGGGATTTGGAGACCCAATACCTGGGTTTAGAAAGTCTCCTTACTAACTGTGTGACCTTGGGCAAGTCACCTAACTTTAAAGCCTGTTACATTATCTGTGTAATGGGATTAACAATACTTTCACATGTCCTGTCTCATAATGAGATTGAATAGATAGTAAGTGAAAGAATGTTGCAAAAAAATTTCATAGAAACGTGAGATGTTACTCTTCCTCCCTTCTCTTAACAGTCTGGAGAAAGTAGAAGCAACAAGTCTCTAATACAAGATTTATTGAATTCTGGGGAGGTGATAACTAACAATTCCATGCAGTCAGATCATATAAAGAATGACATAGTTAATACACATGAATTGCATTTCCACTGATGTATTATCAGATTGGAAGGGATTTTGGTTGACATTTGTAATTGAGTTTGATACGGTAACACAGGGGCAAAGTTGGTTTGGTCAGCTTTGAAGCATGCAAAACCAAACTCGCCTGTCATCTAAACTGACGCAGTGTGGGGCCACCTTCTCCTATTAAGTGCAGTCCTCAGGGGATAGATGGATATCCTCATTTGTTAAAAGTTATATATAATGCTTTTGCAAAAAGCAGTTTTTAAAATGATGTGTCTGTCTTGAGTGTTAAATTACTTGTTTTAGTTTTGTAAATAGTGGTACAATGCTGGGGCCTTGTATGATTGGAGTGTTTTTGTTGAAGTTGGGGATAGTGTGGTCCCCGCTTTCCTAAATTTATTGATGGTTTGGTCTTATTTAAAGCAAATCTTAAGTGTATATCCAAGCTAAAATAATATTGACTCTGGTACATTTTAAATGAAAAAGCACATTATTCTCCCCTGTTAATCTATTTTTGGAATGTGATATTACTAGACTGCCATAAAGAAGAATAACCCCAGGAAGTACCTTCGCAGTGTAGGAGATGGAGAGACTGTGGAGTTTGATGTTGTTGAAGGAGAAAAGGTGAGGATGCTTTTTGTGTAAAGGTTTGACTTCAGTATGGAAATATTTTGGAGGTCTCATCCATTAGGATGGTGGCTCTAATGTGGATGGATGTGTTCAGGTGACCTCATGAACACAGGTGCATCAAGCCTAATGTTCTGGCTGCAGTTAGAGGGCAATCTCTTCAGAACAGTGAGGAACTGATATTTAGTCATTTCTGTGCACCCCTGGTCACGCAGTTGCGCCCCCCCCCCCTTTTTTTTCCTTAACTTTGTTGTTTTTTGCTTTGTTTGAAAATGTTCTGATTTCCTTTTGAAAGTGTTGAAAGTGTTCTGATTTCCTTTGTCACTATCAATATGTAATGGCTTTTGTAGGGTGCGGAGGCAGCAAATGTTACAGGTCCTGGTGGTGTTCCAGTTCAAGGCAGTAAATATGCAGCAGACCGTAACCATTATAGACGCTATCCACGTCGTAGGGGTCCTCCACGCAATTACCAGCAAAATTACCAGAATAGTGAGAGTGGGGAAAAGAACGAGGGATCGGAGAGTGCTCCCGAAGGCCAGGCCCAACAACGCCGGCCCTACCGCAGGCGAAGGTTCCCACCTTACTACATGCGGAGACCCTATGGGCGTCGACCACAGTATTCCAACCCTCCTGTGCAGGGAGAAGTGATGGAGGTAAGTTTCACCATCAACAACAGCAATGTGATAAGTTCTGGTAGGACTGTTTAGAGCTGTTAATTATATGGAAAGCAACTTGGATTCCTAGTAAGAACCAAAAGGATTAATTTATAATGTAGTCACAATTACTAGATGGTCTGTTTTGTTTGTTTTTTAACTCTTGGATTTATCTGGTTGGGTTTTTTTATTATATTACTGACCCAGTAGGCTTAATTTCCATTGTCTTTTTCAGGGTGCTGACAACCAGGGTGCAGGAGAACAAGGTAGACCAGTGAGGCAGAATATGTATCGGGGATATAGACCACGATTCCGCAGGTATGGTCCACGTAAACATGTTTCTATTAAAATTTCCTCAAACCCGTGTTAGGACTCAGCAATATCATGCCTCTCCTGCAGACTCATTTTTCTGTTAACACTTCACGTTTTCTTTCATCAGATGCCTAAGAGGTGAACCTATTAAAAACAGCTTGTATAGATGAGGTCTGCTTTATACATAAATTTTTTTAGAAAATGATGAGGGTTTGGAATTTCAAATTTTCTGTCCTTGAACAGGTAAGATAATATTTTAAACCACACCTTTTAAACCTGCCTCCTTGGTAGGGAGAAAGGAAAGCATTAGGAGTATCTGAATTGTACCATGGCATTAGTGAAGAATCAACAGTGTTATCACTTGAAATGGCATACATTATCTTCCACTAAACACTTCTCAGTTTAGATATGTACCCCCTTTTTTTTGGAGTTGGGAGTTGTCAGCTCAAAGTTGCAAAATGAAATTGCTCCACCAAGAATTTACATTCTGCGGGGGGAAATCCAGTCTGTCGTTAGACAACTATCTACTTGAGTGGGTATTAGAAATCTTATTAATAGATGTCATTATTAGAGTAATCGAGGAAAAATTCCATGAACCAAGCATATTTTAGTCCATGCCGTAGTATACTTTGAGGCAGTGTTCCCAGTCCCACGGTGGTAGGATAGGATGGTGTAATAGTTGTTTCTCTAAGGGTTTGATATCAAAGCATTGAGTTTTCATAGGTGATCCCCAAAAGCTGACAGGTACCTCTGAAGAATCAAACCAATACAGTAATAACGCATCTTAACTGATCACTTAAATCGCAACTTTTAAATCCCCAAATTTTTAAGTGTCAAGTTTATTATTCTAGAAGTATCCAACATATCCAAAATATACTGTGAGTCTATAAGAGGGGGTTTCTGTATATAGGTTTTTAAATTTTACCAAAGTTGGAGCACTTAGTGAAGTTTTAGGAACTAGGGAATCTAGTCGAGGTTGTATTACATGTATTTATCAGCACATGTACATTGAGAGTTTTGCAAGAGCAGCTGATGTCATCATATTTTTTGTATTAATATGTCTTGTCCTGAGTTTTCAGTTAAAAGAGCTGAGGTCCTAACTGATCACTACCACAATTGAAGATCTCTGATTCAGTTTTCTACCAGGAGATTGTGTTAGCCAGATGCTGGATGTTGAAGATAGATGGGTTTTTATTTTTCAGAGTAGGTCTAAAATAGCCTCTCATGGCAGTCCATCTGTTAAGTCCATGGGTTCCAGCAGCAGAATCTTTGGTTTACCTTTTGTTACACTGAAGAGCTTAAATGTTTTGCCTAGTTTCATTGATGTCCTTAAAAATAGCATAATTTTGTGTTTGTATTCAGTGCTTCAGTTCACCGTTGAGTAAATTGTTTGTCTTTATATTGACAAACAAGCTTGCGGTTGATTTGTCTCTTAGAAAGGTATCTTTGTCCATTGTTACCCCTCCAGTGCAGAGGTTTTTGCCTTTTGGTTTAAGTTAGACTTAATGTCTACGTGTTTCAATGTTTAGAATGCTCAGTCCTGCCAGATAGTTGCAGAAGTAACATAAAATTGCTTGGAAGTTATCAATGAATGCTAGACTTTCCAAACTGTGCAGGAATCTTTTGTTCAAATGAGAGTAAATGAAACATGCTGCCCCTAATGCATGGAATGGTGTGAAATTCTGACTGGTGTGGGTTCAAGAGCAAACTGAAAGGGAAATCTTAAGACAGAGTATAGTACAAGTGTTGCTGAAAATGAGACTAATAGTAGTAAGGGGAAAATGGGGGGTCAAAAAGGGAGGTTTTTTGTTGAGAAATAACATTTATAGGCTGAAATGCAATCCAGGATAACAGTTGATGGCAGGAAAGTGACTGCTGGAACTGTTTTCTTTCTCAGAGAGGGTAGGGTTTTGCCCACAGGTGAAAATGTTGACCTTTTGTTAGGAACCTGCCGTTTTCCTGTGTAAGAAACAAGAATACATGGGCACGCATGTGTTAATGGGAAGACATGGAAGCCTTTGGTTGCTAAATTGAGACGAAAGTAAAGAGGAAGTTTGAAAAGTTTGGGGCAAAGAACCCTCTAGAACAGAAAATAGAGATGGTAAATTTATAAGTAATAGGATAACGATCATAAATTAGAAGTGAGTTCACCCAGCTTGACTCTGTGTTTCTAGCCATTTGGGCATCAGGCTCAGGTTGGGCAGAGAGTTGGATTTATCCAGATTTGGTTTATCCAGATCTGGTTTGATTTATCCAGATCTGGTTTATCCAGATGAAGACACTGGGGTAGGGATTGGTCATATGATTAGTGGTAGACTTTATACTTGGATAAAGAGGGGAGAAAAGGGGAAAATGAGGGTTGTTTTTTTTTTTTTAAATTGTTTTGTAGAAATGGAGTTGCACTGTGTTACTCAAGCAGTCTTGAACTCCTGCCCTCAAGTGATCCTCCCCAAGTGCTAGGATTACAGGTGTGAGCCACTGTGCCCAACCTTGGAGTGAGATGAATAGGTGATAGAATCGCTGTATTACAGGTCCTAGATTAAGAATGAGAAAACAATAAGGAATTACCTAAGAAAAATAGGAAGGTACATAATTGGAAAGTTGAGTGGTATAATTGAAAAAACCCAGGTAGAAAACAGCTGGACTGGGAGGTCAGTCTGAAAGCCCAGGTTATTAGAAGCTGTTACACTCGAACCTTAGTAATAACTGCAGTAAGAAAAAGATAGTAAATGGAGCAGAATCCAAAATAAGATGGAAAGCCTAGTTTTTAGAAACTGGGAGAGTTGATTTAGAAGCCACAATAAGGTTAGAACAGTCACCACTGTAGGGTTGCAGAGAAAAGTCAGAACAATTTTGTTGAAGATTCATCATGAGTTCCAAAAGATGTGGGGAAAGAGTTTTAGAATGTACAAAGGTAAATGTGAATTTATTCCCATGATGACTCATGGATACTAAAGGCCTGGGGCTTTCTGGAGTGCTCAGAGTATGGGCAGAGGAAAGGCCAGGAATCCATCATTTCTGAGCACTGGGGGAAAGAAAATCCCAAAATTTAGTATCTTTATCTTGGTGATTAAAAGACTCAAGCCTGTAATCCCAGCACTCTTTGGGAGGCCAAGGAGGGAGGATAGCTTGAGGTCAGGAATTCAAGACCAGCCTTGGAAACATAGCAACACATCGCTACTAAAAATCAGACATTAATGAGACGTGGGGGGCTTGCCTATAGTCCCAGTTACTCAGGAGTCTGAGGTGGGAAGATCACTTGAGCCTGGGAGATTGAGGCCACAGTGAGCTGTCATCATTCCATGGCACTTTAGTCTGGGCAACAAAGCAAGACTCTTCCCCCTACTCAGCATCCCCCCCCCCCCAAAAAAAAAAACCCATCTCTTTACACAAATTGCCTACAGACCACTTGATACAGAATGGGCCAGACATGGTGAGTTAGTTGTGAACCAACTGGTTACACTGGTGGGTGTGTTGAAGAGAGAAGGTTTTATCATTCTTAAGTTTGACACCGTTCATTGCAGGGGCCCTCCTCGCCAAAGACAGCCTAGAGAGGACGGCAATGAAGAAGATAAAGAAAATCAAGGAGATGAGACCCAAGGTCAGCAGCCACCTCAACGTCGGTACCGCCGCAACTTCAATTACCGACGCAGACGCCCAGAAAACCCTAAACCACAAGATGGCAAAGAGACAAAAGCAGCCGATCCACCAGCTGAGAATTCGTCCGCTCCCGAGGCTGAGCAGGGCGGGGCTGAGTAAATGCCGGCTTACCATCTCTACCATCATCCGGGTAAGCAAGCTTGGATGGCCATCCATTTATGGCAGTCGTGAGTGGTGACCATTTCGTTTTATTAATGCAAGAGTAGAAAAACCTCAGTTCCATCAGATAATGAAAGCCATGTTATTTATAATGTGTTCTGCCCTATTCTTAATTACCTAATATTTCATTTTAGGAATATTGAATATCAGAGTCATATTTGGCCACCCTTCAGCTAGTTCTCAATTCTGACACTGGAGACCTGTATTTTCATGAGTATTTTGAACTATTAGTGCTTTCTATCAACTTTTCTGAATGAATTTTATGATTTCACTAGTAAACAGAGGAAAGTTTTGCTAGCTGTATTCTGAGAAATATGTTAATTACATTATTATTTATGCATTATTTCAAAAAGGAAGTGGGGATAGCTGTTAGAATTAACCTAGATGGTGACAAATAGAGTCTGTTTGGAGAAAGTGGCAACATTAATATAATCTTTTAATCATTTCTAATTGTTTTTTTTTTTTGTTGGTTTATGTTGTTCCCGGAAAAAGACGAGAGTGTTTCGTGTCTAAAAAACTCCTAGAATGACACGTGGTTTATCATGGTTTATTTAAACTGCCTGTAGATTAATAATAATAATTCTCTGGCAGACCACATGATACAATTACGTTCTTGTTACTTTAGCTCATTAGCTCACTTGTTTTTATTACCCTTAATTCCAAAATTAAGGGATTCTTTTTCATTTCGCTTTTTACATGATATCGAGAGGTACGTGATTGTTGTTCCCTCCAAAATTAGCATTCAACCAGTGGTGCTTTTGGTTTTTTCCCGTTTACTATTTGCTGGATGGCAAGAGATCTGTTAATGTCTCCCAATACACAAGTAATGTAAACTAGGGCATGTACTACACTAAATGAAGATCACCATGAATTCTACATGATCATCTTTATTTTTTTCTTTACAGTTTAGTCATCCAACAAGAAGAAATATGAAATTCCAGCAATAAGAAATGAACAAAAGATTGGAGCTGAAGACCTAAAGTGCTTGCTTTTTGCCCGTTGACCAGATAAATAGAACTATCTGCATTATCTATGCAGCATGGGGTTTTTATTATTTTTACCTAAAGACGTCTCTTTTTGGTAATAACAAACGTGTTTTTTAAAAAAGCCTGGTTTTTCTCAATACGCCTTTAAAGGTTTTTAAATTGTTTCATATCTGGTCAAGTTGAGATTTTTAAGAACTTCATTTTTAATTTGTAATAAAAGTTTACAACTTGATTTTTTCAAAAAAGTCAACAAACTGCAAGCACCTGTTAATAAAGGTCTTAAATAATTGTCTTTGTGTAAATTTGTCTAGTTTTGCTTTAGTTTGTAAGTATTTAGCTATTTATAGGACCCTTAGCTTGACCCAGTCTACAAATAGATGATGCTCACTGGTAATTCCCTCAGGTAAAATGTCTCAAAATCTCTAATCCTTTAAGTGGCATGCCTGTGGGCCCATACTAAAAATTAGAAAATACATACTCTGATAACCTGGCCATTTTTCATTGAAGGATTTAGCTCATTTGTAAGAAAGACTTGAGTGTAGATTTTGGGTGGGTCCCTTTGGCTGTGAGGCATTGTTTAAAAGGGCATTGCTCTAGCCTAGACCGACCAGACTCTCATCCTGCTCCACTTAGTTTTGTCACCTTGGGAGAATTTGTTTCAGTGTGTCAATTGAAGATGCCAATTGAAGTGTTAGGACAACCTGTCACACTGCCTGGTGTGGTCATCAAATATTGGTTCAGCTCCTTATGTCCTAGAGATGGAAACAAGTAATATAAAACCCATGGGAAAGCTGCTTAGGAACATGGAGGTTGGTGAGCTTGTAATTATGTGGTTCTCAACACCTTAAATCCTAAGCCTAGTCTGGCTGATCTTTTCTCTTTTTGAGACGGAGTCTTGTTCTGTCATCAGGCTGGAGTACAGTGGCACAATCTTGGCTCACTGCAACCTCCACCTCTAGGTTTAAGCGATTCTCCTGCCTCGGCCACCTTAGTAGCTGGGAGTACAGGTGCGTGCCACCACACCCAGCTAATTTTTGTATTTTTAATAGAGATGGGGTTGCACTGTGTTAGCCAGGATGGTCTTGATCTCTTGACCTTGTGATCCGCCCGCCTCAGCCTCCCAAAGTGCTGGGATTACAGGTGTGAGCCACCGCACCTGGCCTCTCTGGCTTTTGTTTTCTAATGTTTTGTTAGATGTTCTTTGGCTTGCTTTGTGAAATAGTCATGTAGTTGATAGTGACTGCTGCCCCGAAACACTCCAGATCATCCTGGCCAGCTATCAGGGCCCAGGGGAAGCAGACAGTAGGGGTCGGGAGTAGGCCAGAGTGGCACATCAGGAATCCTGCAGTGCTGTGGAAGTCATCTCCTGCTTGGGACTAACTCTTTGCAGAGGACTTGATAAGAGACTACTCAAAAAAAATTTTTTTAACCCTACTTAGTGTAAATATCTGTACTGCAGAAGTGAGTTAGCCTATTTCTTGCTGGTGTTCATGAAAATACTGTGTTGGCAAGAGTGCAGTGGACCTGAAACTTCAACTGTTGGTAGCATCTAAACTGTTACTTACAACTGCAGACGCACACAGTCCCTGACTTAAACAGTGGTTTGACTTAGGGGCTTTTAGTGGGGTTACGGTTTCTACTGAATCAACATTGTTTTCATGGCATCACAGAGTTGAAAAATCATAAATGAAACCATTGTAAGTTGACTGCAGTGTTGCCAACATTAAATGCAGTTTCAACTTAATGATTTTCTGACTTGTGGTTTATGGGGACATTGACCCATCATAAATTGAAGAGCATCTGTATTAGGATATCATGGAAATGGGAAGACCAAAAACATTGGTTAAACATCCAATAATGTTAGAATGAGATTCTCGAAAACACATTGAGGAGGACAGTTGTTTGGGGGAATACAATCTTAGGTGCTAGTGTTGGAAACAGAACTACGTACATGTTTTTAGATACTGTCTCCTGTTCTGTTGCCCAGTATTTTGTGTACTTACGGATTATTTGTAAGGACTACAGAGGCTATACATCTCAAAAACTACCCAGAAAACTTGCAGCCAAGATCAAGGTTTAGAACCTGTTCTGCCAATCAGATACACCAACATGAGACCTGGAGACATTGCTAGGAAGCTATGCAAACTCCTTTTGCTAGCGAGGGTAGTCGCTGTGCTTTGGTGATGCTGCAGCAGCAATGGTTTCCTCCTATCTGCCTCACCTAGATGGTGACACTGAGCCTGGTTCCCCAGCCTTAGCAATTGTGAGATAACCTGTATTCCTTTTTTTTTTTTTGTCTTCCGGAAGAGATGTGCCATTTGGAGCAGAGTGAACTTGAGCAGTGTGAGCACAGGAGAGCAGGAAGTGAGGAAAAAAGCGAGTGTGTCATAGTTTCTTTTGAACGTTGCACTGGAAGACCTAGGGCGGTACAGTTAAAAAAACGGAAGGATTTGGAAGAAATAATTGTCATGCATAGGTGATGCTGGCCACACAGAAAATCCAAAAGATATTGCAGTCAAATTTGAGTGTTTATAATTGGCTAGTTGTGTTTCTGTAATGTCTAGAAAATATAAACACATTCTCATGATACTATCAAGGAAATGTAGTTAGGAGTGAATCTATGGATCTTTATGGAAGGGAGTGGAACGATCAAAAGACAGTGGATTTTTTTTTCCATGTTTATGGATATTAAGACTAGTCAGTTCATCCAGTGATTAAATGTATTTCAGTTTTAAAGTCTTAGGGTTATTAGGCCGGGCGTGGTGGCTCACACCTGTAATCCCCGCACTTCGAGAGGCAGAGGCGTGTGGATCACGAAGTCAAGAGATTGAGACCATCCTGGCCAACATGGTGAAACCCCCGTCTCTACTAAAAATACAAAAATTAGCCAGGTGTGGGGGCAGGCACCTGTAGTCCCAGCTACTTGGGGTGGCTGAGGCAAGAGAGTTGCTTGAAACTGGGAGGTCCCGGCTACTCGGGAGGCTGAGGCAAGGGAGTTGCTTGAAACCAGGAGGCGGAGGTTGCAGTGAGCCGAGATCGCGCCACTGCACTCCAGCCTGGTGACAGAGGGAGACTCCGTCTCAAAATAAAAATATATAAAGTCTTAGGGTTATTGTAGTGTGTCTTGGAAAGCAAACAGAAAGGGGCCTGAAGGGATGTTGAAGATTTAAAGAGAAAAAGATGTGAAATAGTTGTCTTGGGAATGGGAAAACAAATGTACTAGGGACATGCAGAATTACCAGCAGGTGGGGAGTTGGATTTAACTAGGGCTTTGCCAGGTGAATTCAACAAAGGAAGGAAAGAGCAAAGGTATTGAGTATGTATGCAAACCTATATGGTATAGCCTATTGCTCCTAGGCTACAGACCTGTACAGCATGTAACTGCTGAATACAGGCAATTATAACACAGTGTTAAATATTTGTGTGTCTAAGCACAGAAGAGGTACAGAAGGGTGGGCATGGTACCTCATGCCTGTAATCCCAGCATCTTGGGAGACCAGGAATTTGACCTGGTAAAATAACAAGACCTCATCTCTACAAAAATTTCAAAATTAGCCAGATAAAAGGTATTTTCCATTTAACTTTTTTTTTTTTTTTTGAGACGGAGTCTTGCTGTGTCACCCAGGCTGGAGTGCAATGGCGGAGGCCTCCTGGGTTCAAGTGATTCTCCTGCCTCAGCCTCCTGAGTAGCTGGGACTACAGGCACCCGCCACCGCGCCCAGCTAATTTTTGAATTTTTAGTAGAGACAAGGTTTCACCATGTTGGTCAGGATGGTCTCGAACTGCTGACCTCATGATCCGCCTGCTTTGGCCTCCCAAAGTGCTGGGATTACAGGTGTGAGCCACCGCGCCCAGCCACAAACTAATTTTTAAGAACTTTTTGACTCTTAACTTAAAACTACAACTTTATGAAAATACATACTTACCTGTAAGCTTTTTTTAAAAAGTTTAACTTGTAGGTTCAAGGGGGATGTGTGCTGGTTTGTTATTTAGGTAAATTTGTGATTCTCCATATCACTGTCTTTTACCTACACACTTGTCCCACTGAAAGGTCTTCAGGGGCAGTAACTTGAATGGAACTGTCATCTCTTTTGATAACAATAACAGTGCCTGCTGGAATACCTCCTGAAGGACCTGCCTGGGGCTAACAGTTAAAAGTTAACTTTTAAAAAACATACTAGGCATGTATTTTATTACAGTGTCATGTAGTAAATACATAAGCCATTAACATTTATTATTACAAGCTGTATATAATTGTGCTATACTTTATGTGACTGGTAGTGTGGTAGATTTGTCTATTACTGGCATCACTACAAACACGAGTAACATGTTGTGCTATGACATTCCTATGGCTAGGACGTCACTAGGCAGTAGGAATTTTTCAGCTACAGTATCTTTTATTGATACGAAGTATTTTACATATTGTGTACATGTGAGTATTCGTTACATGAATAGAATGTGATGATCAGGTCAGGGTACTTGGAGTGTATCACCTTGAGGTACACCTTGAGTATTATTTCTACTTATTGGTAACACTTCAAGTTCTGTCTTCTAGCTATGCCGAAATTAGAGTACATTGTTACTAATATATAATACGTAGTCACCCTACTGTGCTATAGAATATTGGGGCTTATTCTAACTATGCACCCACTAATCAACCTCTCTTTACCCACCCTGGACTCCCTTCCCAGCCTCTAGTATGTATTCTCTATCTCTGTGGGATCAATTTTTTTTTCTTTTTTTTTTTTGGAGACGAGTCTCGCTCTGTTGCCCGCCAGGCTGGAGTGCAGTGGCGTGATCTCGGCTCACTCCAACCTCTGCCTCCCGGGTTCAAGCGATTCTCCTGCCTCAGCCTTCCAAGTAGCTGGGACTACAGGTGCCTGCCACCACACCCAGCTAATTTTGTGTTTTTTAGTAGAGACTGGGTTTCACCATGTTTGCCAGGCTGGTCTCGAACTCCTGACCTCAGGTGATGCACCTGCTTCAGCCTCCCAAAGTGTTGGGATTACAGGCATGAGCCACCGTGTCTGGCCTGGGATCAGCTTTTTTTTAGCTCCCACATAAGAGTGGGAACGTGGCATCTGTCTTTCTGTACCTGACTTACTTCATGTAATATGCCTCCATTTCCATTTATGTTGCTGCAAATTACATGATTTCATTCTTTTTTAATGGCCAAATAATATTCCATTGTGTATATATACGACATTTTTTTCATTCGTCGGTCAATGGGCATTTAGATTGACTCCCTCTTTGTTCTTTGCTATTGGTTCTGGGTTTTTTGTTTTGTTTTGTGTTTTTAAGACAGTGTCTCATTCTGTTGCCCAGGCTGGAGTGTAGTGGCACCAGCCCAGCTCACTGCAGCAGACTCAAACTTGTGGGGCTTAAGCAACCTTCCCAACTCAGCCTCCCGAGTAGCTGTGACTACAGGTGTGTGCCACCACACCTGGCTATTTTTTAAATTTTTTGTAGAGATGCATTCTCCCTATGTTGCCTAGGCTGGTCTTGAACTCCTGAACTCAAGCAGTCCTCCCTCCTTGGACTCCCAAAGTGCTGGGATTATAGGTGTGAGCCACCACGCCTGACTGCTGCTATTGTCAATAGTGCTATGCTAAACGTGCAAATGGAGGCATCCCTTTGATATACAGATGCTTATTCCTTTGGGTAAATACTCAACATTGTGATTACTATATTCTATGGTAGTTTTATTCATAATTTTTTGAGGAATCTCCATACTATTTTCCACAGTGGTTGTACCAATTTGTATTCCTACCAACAGTGTATAAGAATTCCCTTTTCTGTGCATCCTTGCCAGCATCTGTTATTTTTTGACGTTTTAATAATCACCATTCTTCCTAGGGTAAGATCATATCTCATTATGGATTTAATTTGCATTTCCCTGATGTCTAGTGATGTTGAGCATTTTTCCAGGTATCTGTTGGCTGCTTGAATATTTTCATGTGAGAAATGTCTATTCATGTCCTTAGCCCACTTTTTAATGGGATTATTTGTTTTTTTATTGTTATTTGAGTTCCTTGTATACTCTGGACATTAAGTTGACATATTTTCTCCCATTCAGTAAGTTTTCTCTTCACTCTGTTGTTTCCCCTTGTTGTATAGAAGCTTTTTAGTTTAATATGATCGCATTTGTCTATATTTATTACAGTTGTGCTTTTGCATCCTTAGTCATGACATCTTTGCCTGGAACCAATGTGTGTGTTTGTTTGTTTGTTTTGACAGGGTCTCATTCAGGTTGGAGTGCAGTAGCATGATCGTGGCTCACTGCAGCCTCCACCTCCTAGGCTCAAGCAATCCTTTTAATTTTTGTAGAGACGGGTCTCGCTGATGTTACCCAGGCTAATCTCAAACTCTGAGGCTCAAGTGATCCTCTTGCCTCTACTTCTCAAAGTACTGGGATTACAGGGCGTGAGCCACCATGCCCAGCCCCTATGATTTTTTTTCGAATAGTTTTTATAGTTTAAGTCTTTAATCCATCTTGAGTTGTATATAGGAAGAGATAAGGGACCAGTTTCATTCTTTTTTTTTTTTTTTTTTGAGATGGAGTCTCGCCCTGTCCCTAGACTGGAGTGCAGTTGGCGTGATCTCGACTCACTGCAACCTTCACCTTCCAGGTTCAAGCAATTCTCCTGCTTCAGCCTCCCAAGTAGCTGACTACAGGCGCATACCACCACACCCAGCTAATTTTTGTATTTTTAGTAGAGACGGGGTTTCACCGTGTTGGCCAGGATGGTCTCGATCTCTTGACCTCGTGATCCACCCGCCTCAGTCCCCCAGAGTGCTGGGATTACAGGCATGAACCACCGTGCCTGGCCCCTCAGTTTCATTCTTATGGATATCCAATTTTCTTAGCACCATTTATTGAAGAGGGTGTCCTTTCTCCAGTGCATATTCTTGGCACCTTTATCAAAAGTCAGTTGGCTGTAAAGATGTGGATTTATTTCTGGGTTTTCTATTCTGTACCATTGGTCTGTGTGTCTGTTTTTATACCAATACCTTGCTGTTTTTGGTACTATAGCCTTCAGATATATATATATATATATATATATATATATATATATATATATTTTTTTTTTTTTTTTTTTTTTTTTTTTTTTGGGGGGGGGGGGGAGACAGAATCTCGCTCTGTCGCCCAGGCTGGAGTGCAGTGGCGTGATCTTGGCTCAAGGCAAGCTCCTCCTGGGTTCACGCCATTCTCCTGCCTCAGCCTCCCGAGTAGCTGGGACTACGGGTGCCCGCCACCACACCCGGCTAATTTTTTGTATTTTTAGTAGAGATGGGTTTTCACCGGGTTAGCCAGAATGGTCTCAATCTCCTGACCTCATAATCTGCCCGCCTTGGCCTACCAAAGTGCTGGGATTACAGGCGTGAGCCACCGCACCAGGCCAGCCTTCTAATATATTTTGAAGTCAAGTAATGTGATGCCTCCAGCTTTGTTTTTTTTGTTGTTGTTCAGGATTACTTTGGCTATTCAGGCTCTTTTGTGGTTCCGTATGAATTTTAGGATTGTTTTTTCTAATTCTATGTAAAATGACATTGGTATTTTGATAGAGATTGCATTGAATCTATAGATTGTTTTGGGCAGTATTGTTAACAGTATTAATTCTGATCCATGAGAATGTGATGTCTCCATTTGTGTCCTCTTCGATGTCTGTCTTCAGTGTTTTGTAGTTTTCTTTGTAGAGATTTTTTGCCTCCTTGGTTATTTCTAGGTATTTTTTTTGATAGCTATTGTAAGTGGGATTACCTTCTTCTTTCTCAGCTAACTCATTATTGGTGTATAGAAATGCTACTGATTCTTGTAAGTTTATTTTGTATCTTGCAGCTTCACTGAATTTATTAAATCTGGGAGTTTTTGATGGAGGCTTTAGGTTTTTCTAGATATAAGATTATATCATCAGCATAGAGGGACAATTAGACTTCTTTTCCAATTTGGAAGCCTTTTATTTCTTAATCTTGCCTGATTGCTCTGGCTAGGACTTTCATTACTGTATTGAGTAGGAATGCTGAAAGTAGGCATCCTTGCCTTCTTTGAGATAGAGGAAAGGGTTGGTCAGGTGAAGTGGCACACACCTGTAATCCCAGCACTTCGGGAGGCTGAGGCAGGAAAATCACTTGAAGCCAGGAGTTCAAGACCACCCTGGTCAACGGACTGAGCCCCTGTCTCTACTAAAAAAAAGGAAATTTAAGGAAACAAAATTTCCTGTCAAATGCTTTGGAAAATAAATTAGAAAATTTTAAAAATAAGACTTTCAGCTTTTCACCATACAGTATCATGTTGGCTGTGGGGTTTGTCGTATATAACCTTTATTATTTTGAGATAAGTTCCTTCTGTTCCTAGTTTGTTTGGAGTTTTTATCATGAAAGGATGTTGAATTTTATCAAATGCTTTTTCTTTTTTCTTTTTTTTTTTTTTTTTAAAGATGGAGTCTCAGTCTGTCGCCAGGGTGTAGTGCAGTGGCGCAATCTCAGCTCACTGCAACCTCTGCCTCCCAGGTTCAAGCGATTCTCCTGCCTCAGCCTCCCAAGTAGCTGGAACTACACGTGCATGCTACCACACCTGGCTAATTTTTGTATTTTTAGTAGAGATGGGGTTTCACCATGTTGGCCAGGATGGTCTTGAACTCATGACCTCGTAATCCGCCCGCCTCGGCCTCCCAGAGTGCTGTGATTACAGGCATGAGCCACCACGCCTGGCCTATCAAGTGCTTTTTCTGTGTCTTATGAGATCATATGGGTTTTGCCCTTCATTCCTTTGATATAATAATCACATTTATTGATTTCCTTTTTTATTTTTTTTTTGAGACAGACTCTTGCTCTATCACCCAGGCTGGAGTGTAGTGGCATGATCTCTGCTCACTGCATCCTCCACCTCCTGGGTTCAAGCAATTCTCCTGCCTCAACCTCTCGAGTAGCTGGGATTACAGGCACCCGCCACCACGCCAGGCTAATTTTTGTATTTTTAATAGAGGCAGGGTTTCACCATGTTGGCCAGGCTGGTCTCAAATTCCTGACCTTAAATGATCCACCCACGTCGGCCTCCCAAAGTGATGGGATTACAGGCGTGAGCCACCATGCCTGGCCAATTTCCATATATTGAACCACCCTTGAATTCCCGGTGTAAATACCACTTGGTCTTTGCGTATTATCTTTTTGATGTGCTGTTGGAGTTAGTTTGCTAGTATTTTATTGAGGATTTTTATATCTGTGTTCATCAGAGGTACTGGTCTGTAGTTTTCTTTTTTTGTTGTGTGCTTCTCTGGTTTTGGAATCAGGGTACTGCTGGCCTTGTGGAATGAGTTAGGGATAGTTGCCTCCTCTTTAATTTTCTGTAATACTTACCAGAGGTTTGGTATTAGTTGTTTTCATATATTTGGTAGAACTTGGCTGTGTCTCCATGAGGTCCTGGGCTTTTCTTTGTAGGGAGACTTTTTTTTTTTTTTTTGAGATGGAGTCTCGCTTTGTAGCCCAGGCTGGAGTGCAGTGGTGCAATCTTGGCTCACTGCAACCTCTGTCTCCCAGGTTCAAGCAATTCTCCTGCCTCAGCCTCCCAAGTAGCTGGGATTACAGGCGTCTGCTACCATGCCTGGCTAATTTTTGTATTTTTAGTAGAGACAGGGTTTCACCATGTTGGCCAGGCTGGTCTTGAACTCCTGACCTCAGGTGATCTGCCCCCCTCGGCCTCCCAAAGTGCTGGGATGACAGGCGTGAGCCACGGTGCCTGGCCAGTAGGGAGACTTTTAGTTACTGATTCAACCTCACCACTCATTGGTCTCTACAGGTTTTCTATTTTTCCTGATTCACTTTTGGTAGGTTGCATGTTTCCAGGAATTTACCCATTTCCTCTATGTTTTCCAGTTTGTTAGCATATAGTTGTTCATAATAGTCTGATCTTTTGTATTTCTGTGGTATCAATTGTAATGTCTCTTTCCCATTTCTGATTTTGTTTATTTAGGTCTTCTCGTTTTCTGGCTTAGTCTAGCTAGAGGTGTATTAACTTTATCTTTCTAAAGAACCAGCTTTTTGTTATCTTAATCCTTTGTATTTTTTTTTAGTCTTTATTTCATTTAGTTCTCTGATCTTTACTGCTTCTGCTCATTTGGGGTTTGGTTTGTTCTTGCTCTTTCACTTTCTTGGGGTGCATCATTAGATTGTTCACTTGAAATCTTTCTACTTTTTTGATGTAGGCATTTGTTGCTATTAATTTCCCTCTTAGTAGTGCTTTTGTTGTATCAAACAGGTTTTGGTGTGTTGTGTTTCTGTTTTCATTTCTTTCAAGAAATTTTGTTTCCATCTAATTTCTTCATTGACCCAATTGGTAGTTCAAAAGCATGTTGTTTGATTTCCATGTATTCATAAAGTTTCTCAAGTTCTTCTTGGTGTTGATTGATAGTTTTATTCCATTGTTGTCTGAGAAGATATTTGATATGACTTCTGTTTTTTTAAAATTTGTTGAGATTTGTTTTGTGGTTTAACATATGGTCTGTCCTACAGAATGTTCCATGTGCTGATGAGAAGAATGTCTATTCTGTAGTTAAAATGCTCTGTAAATGTCTCTTCGGTTTATTTGCTCTAGAGTCCAGTTTAAATTCAATATTTCTTTCTTTCTTTTTTTTTTTTTTTTTTTTTTTGAGACAGAGTTTCACTCTTGTTGCCCAGGCTGGAGTGCAATGGCGTGATTGTGGCTCACTGTAACCTCCACCTCCTGGGTTCAAGTGATTCTCCTGCCTCAGCCTCCTGAGCAGCTGGGGTTATAGGCATGCGCCACCATGCCCAGCTAATTCTGTATTTTTAGTAGAGATGGGGTTTCTCCATGTTGGTCAGGCTGGTCTTGAACTCCCGACCTCAGGTGATCCACCTGCCTCAGCTTCCCAAAGTGCTGGGATTACAGGCGTGAGCCACTGCTCCCAGCCTTCAACATTTCTTTATTGATTTTCTCCTGAGGTTTATTTGCTCTAAGGTCCAGTTTAAATTCAGTATTTCTTTATTGATTTTCTCCTGAGATGATCTGTCTAAGCTGAGTGTGGAGTTTTGAAGTCCCAGCTTTTATTGTATTGAAGTCTCTCTTTAGATCTAGCAATATTTACTTTTTGAGTCTCAGTGCCCCAGTTTTGGGTGCATACATATTTAGAATTTTTATATCCTCTTGCTGGATTGATCCCTTTGTCATTATATAGTTACCTTCTTTGTCTCTTTTTACTGTTTTGACTTAATATCTGTTTTATTTAATACAGGTATAGCTTGTATCAAAGCTCCTGCTTGCTTTTGGTTTCTAGTTGTGTGGAGTGTTTTTTCTGTCCCTTTACTTTGAGTCTATATGTGTCTTTGCAGGTAAAGTGGGTTTCTTGTAGGCAGCATATAGTTGGATCATGTTTCTTTATTCATTCAGCCAGTCTGTGTTTTAAGTGGAAAATTTAACCCATTTACATTCAAGGTTATTATTGCTATGTTATATTTTGTTATTGTCACATTGTTAATTGTTTTCTGATTGCTTTGTATATTTGTTTCTTTTTTTCCTCATTGTTTGTTATTGTGGTTTAGTGATATGTTATAGTGGTACCATTTGAGTCCTTCCTCATTTGTGTGTTTAACTTACCAATGAGTTTTATACTTTAGTGCTCTTTAATGATGGTAAATGTTGTCCTTTCTCTTGCAAGTTTAGGACTCCCTTGAGCATTTTATGTAGAGCTGGTCTAGTGGTGTTAAATTCCCTCAGCATTTGCTTCTCTAGAAAAGACTTTATTTCTCCTTCATTTGTGAAGGATAATTTTGCTCATGTAATATCATTGCATGGCATTTTTTTTTCTTTCAGCACTTTGAATATTTCATCCCATTCTCTCCTGGCCTATACGGTTTCTGCTGAGAACTCTGCTGTTAGTCTGATGAGGGTTCTTTTGTAGGTGCCTCTGCTTTTCTCTTGCTGTTTTTAGTATACTCTCTTTTGCTTTGGCTTTAGATAGTTTTGACTGTGTACAAGACCTTTTTGTACTGTTTGGGGATCTTTGGGTCACCTGGATCTGGATGTTTAGGTCTCTTGCTAGACTTGGATAGTTTTCATCTAATATTTCATTAAATAGGTTTTCTAACCCTTTCATTCTCTGTTTGCCCTCAGGGACACTGATAATTCAAATATTCTGTCACTTTTTGTCATTACAGATGTCATGAAGGCTTTTCTCATTGACTGACCGATTTTGACAGAGTCTCACTCTTGCCCAGGCTGGAGTGTAGTAACATTAACATGGCTCACTTCAGCCTTGATCTCCTGGGCTCAAGAGATTATCCTGCCTCATCCTCCTGTGTAGCTGGAGCTACCACGCCCAGCTAACTTTTTATTGAGATAGGGTCTCACTTTACTGCCCAGGCTGACCTTGACCTCCTGGGCTTAAGCAATCCTCCTGCCTTGGCCTCCCAAAGTGCTGGGATTACAGCCATGAGCCACTGTGCCTGGCCTTCTTTTTAATTCATTTTTTTTTTTTTTTTGTCTGACTTGATTATTTCAAAAGGCCTGTTTTTAAGTTCTGAGATTCTTTCTTCTGTTTGATGTAGTAGTCCATTGTTAAAGCTTTCAAATGTATTTTGTATTGCATTCAGTTAATTCTTCTGTTCCAAAATTTGTTTGGTGCTTTTTTTTTTTTTTTTTTTTTTGAGACAGAGTTTTGCTCTTGTTGCCCAGGCTAGAGTGCAATGGTGCAATCTTGGCTTACACAGCCACCACCTCTCAGGTTCAAGTGATTCTCCTTCCTCTGCCTCCCAAGTAGCTGGGATTACAGGCATGTACCACCATGCCCAGCTAATTTTGTATTTTTAGTAGAGTCTGATTTTCACCATGTTGGTCAGGCTGGTCTTGAACTCCTGACCTCAGGTGATCCACCCACCTTGCCCTCCCAAAGTGCTGGAATTACAAGCATGAGCCACCGTACCCGGCCTCTGTTTGGTGCTTTTGAAAAATACGTGTGTCTTTGGTAGATTTCTCATTCACATCCTGATTTTTTTTTTCTGTTTTCTCTGTATTTATCTTGTATCTCACTGAGTGTCTTTAAATCAGTAATTTGAAATCTTTATCTAGGCTTTTGTGAATTTTTGATTGGGATCTGTTGCTGGAGACTTACTATGTTTCTTTGGAGGTGTTATATTTCCTTGCTCTTTCATGTTTCCTATGTCTTTATGTTATTATCTATACATCTGGTATAATAGTTGTGTCTTTCTTTTTTTTAAGACAGAGTCTCACTTTGTCACCCATTCTGGAGTGCAGTGGTGTGATGGCTTGCTGCAACCTCCACCTCCCAAGTTCAAGTGATTCTCATGCCTCAGCCTCCTGAGTAGCTGAGATTACAGGTGTGCACCACCACACCCAGCTAATTTTTGTATTTTTAGTAGAGATGAGTTTTGCCATGTTGGCCAGACTGGTCTCAAACTCCTGGCCTCAAGTGATCTGCCTGCCTAGGCCTCCCAAAGTGCTGGGATTACAGATGTGAGTCACTGTGCCCACCCTCAATTTTTTGACATTGCTTTTGTAGGGAAGTCCTTTTTCTGAAGATGCATCTATGGTGTTGGTTGAGTAGGGCACTTTGATTTTGATTTCGGGTGCATGCAGTAGTATATTATTTCTTCCACTGTAAATAGCTTCAGTGGTAACTGTGATTTCCCTAGTGGCATAGAGTATGGTTATTAGTGGAGGCTGTGGGAAAGTTGCTGGGGACTAGAATGCCAGATGGGCCAGTCTTCAGTCCCTAGTGGTGGCAGTGGTGGGCTGGGCATGCCTGTCCTTGGGTCTTTGGGCAGCTTACACTGGCACCAGTGTCAGTGAATCCAGACAGACTGATTCTTGGGCCTCCACGGGGCTCGCTCAGATGCTGGTAATGGCAGCTGTGGTCTGGGCACCCAGGCAGGTTCTCAGGCCCCTTGGCAGCTGATGTGATGTGGGTGATGGCAGTAGCAGTGGTGGAGCAACCCAAATGTTCATGCTAGTGTTGGTGGTAGCTACAACAGGTTAGACGGGCCAGTCTCTTGGCCTGCTGGTGGTATGTGCAGGTGGTTGCCAGCTGTGGTGGTATCGGCAGGTTGTGTCAGCACAACTTAAGACCCCAAGAGGAGTATTCATATGCCAATGATGGTGGACTGGGCCAGACAACATCCAGGCCCCTGAATGGCATGCTCAATTATTGAGTCAGCTCTATTATAATCTTATGGGACCACCATCATATATGCAGTCTGTCATTGACTGAAACATTTTTGTGTGGTACATGACTGTACTTATTAAGGGAACTGGAAGGATATGAGGTGGTGGTCCTAGGCTGGGATGGGGTATGGTGCAGTTACTTGTATTGACAAAGCTTAGGTTGTGGATATGTAGATGGGAGATGGAGGAGGAAGAATCACAGGCCAACTGAATGTGGAGTCAGACCACGGTGTTCAGTGGATCTTTTGTGTGCATGTTGAAATTGCCACAAGTGATGATGGAAGTAGTTAGTGGGTGTGGAAAGGACAGTGAGGGGATACAGGAATTAAATCTTGAAGGAATGCTTCTGGATAATGAGTTTAATCCAGAAACTCATTGGACTAAATGAATTTTGTCCATCGCTTCAAAGAAGGGGTTTTTGAGGGCTTTGGAGAGAGGGAAAATTGTGGCAGTGGTGGCTCATACCTGTAATCCCAGTACTTTGGGAGGCTGAGGCAGGAGAAATATGTGAGCTCAGGAGTTTGAGACCAGTCTGGGCAACAAAGTGAGACCCCATCTCTAAAAAAAGAAATAAAAAATTAGCCAAATTTGGTGGTGTATGCCTTTAGTCCCAGCTACTCTGGAGGCTGAGGTCGAAGATCACTTGATCCCAGGAGGTTGGGGCTCCAATGAGCCATGATTGAGCCACTGCACTCCAGCCTGCGTGACAGAGTGAGACCCTGTCTTTAAAAAAAAAAGAAAAAAAAAGTGGCAATAATGTAACAAAGGAGACTTAGCCCACCACCAGACACCATGGTATTTGGGACATAGGAGAAAAAAAAACAGACTCCATTGAAAGGGCTCCAAGGGAATAAGGTTGTGGAGGTAAGTATGATTAGAGAAAGAGTAAAAAGCTGAATAAGAACATACACAGAAGAGGCTGTACCTGAATTCCAGCGGGCCCCTGAGAAGGTTGGGAAGGGAGCTATATTGAGTTAGATTAGGAGATGTAGAGAGCTAATGAGAATTAACAGTCAGGCAGTGACAGCTGACTGGGGAAGTTTGGACGCCTAGCTGAGACTGAGGCACACAGTCAAGTGTAATGCATGACAGGTTAGGTCCCAAAGTCCAGATGAGTAATGAGACCTCAACCAGAAATATGGAGTAAGAAAGAGGGGCTCAAGTTTGAGATATTTTCAGAAATCGAGTTGGCAGATGTAGGTAACTAGCTGAATGCACGGATGACTGCAGAATGTTGATGCAGATACTGTCATTCGCTGGAATAAAAACATGCATAAAGAGGAGAGGGGTCTGATAGCTCAGTTGAGATATGTGGAGTTTGAGGACCTGTGGGGGCACCCATGGGGAGTGTGTCGGAAGCTAAGGAGGGAGGTGTAGGCCGAGGCAGAGTGACACTCATCAGGTGGCTATTGGAAGCTGTGATCATGGGTAAAATCATATCCCTTTAGGGGCATTTGTGGAGAGATGAGGATGGAGACACAAACTTTTGGAACAAGGTCAAGACATAGAAGTGATGGCTAGAAAAAGATGTGGCAAATCCAGAAAGGGGGCATCACAGAAAACTGGGGAGCAAAATAGGAAATTGCTCACAACATCAAAGCCAATAGGTCCAAGAAGATGGGAGTTGAAAAGTGTTTACTGGCCTTAGCAACCAGGAGATGACTGGTGAGAGGAGTGGAATGTGGAGGTGACCCTCAGACTGCAGCAGGCGAGGGGTGCATAGGGCAGCTACAGCGCACCTGCTGCTCCCGCAGCCTTCCGCATCTCCACAATGGCTGGTCCATCCTTACAGGTCCATGCCAAAACCCTCAGTCATCCTTGACTTCTCAATTTCCCTCCAATGAGTCTGCAGATTCCATTGATTCTGACTTTGAAACAGCTAGAATCTGACCACTTACCTCTGACCACTTGGGTCCAGGCTGTGGTAGCCTCCCTGCTACCATCTTCCTACCCTAACACCTGTGTCAGGCCTCGAGACACTCCTGCTCAAAATCCTTCAGAGGCTTCCAGTCTCACTTTTGAGCAGAAGCCAGCATCCTCCAGGAGCCTCCACAATGTGCCCCCACCTGCCCCATGCCATCTACTCTCTCCCCTGGTTTACTCCACCCAACCTCACAGGCTTCCTTTTCATGGCACTCTTCCACCTCAAGGCATTCACACCTGTTTTTCCCTTCTGACTGGAAGAATGTTCTGCCGGATAAGTTAGTGGCTTTCTTCCTCAGTTCTTTAGGTCTTTGATCAGCAGGGCCTCCCCTGCCTACCTGTTTAAGATGGCCACCCCTTCCCATGGCCAGCCCCCAATTCCTGGCCTTCCTGATTTTCCTCCATGGTGCATGTCATCTGCTGGCTACATTAACTTGCTTGCTAACTATCTTGCTCTGATAGGAGTTAAGCTACATAAGGGTAGGGATTTCTGTCTGTTTTGTTCACTGCTGCTATATCCCAGCATCTATAATGGGGCTAAAAGAGTACAGAACAAAAGCTCAATACGTATGTTGAAATTAATAAATTATGGATAACCATGAAGAGGCTTGGCAGCTGAGTGAAGGAAACGAGGGCTGCTGCTAGAAAGGGACTGTGGAACCATGTCTTAGCCTGCTTGGGCTGCTGTAGCAAAATACCAGAGACTAAGTGGCTTAAGCAGTAGATATTTATTTCTCATGGTTCTGGAGACTGGCAAGTCCAGGTCAAGGTAACAGTAGATTTGGTTCCGGTGAGGGTCCTCTTCTGACATGGATTGCACAAAGCCACCTTCACCACCACCTCACGGTGTCCTCACATGAGAGAAACTTGGAAAGCAACTCGGAGTAAGAAAACCTGAGCTCTAGTCCTGCCAATGAAACTTCATCTTAAGTCCTAACGATCACCTCCTTTGCCAATACCAGAAGCCACTTGCCTCCGGAATCCAGGACATGGGAGAAAATTAAACACCTAATTAAAAAAAAAGGGGTATAAATAGTACTCACTTCCTAAAGTTGTGAGGATGAAACAAGAATCAATGAAACCACATTTTGTTAGTGCTCAATAAGTCTTGGCTGACTGGGTACAGTGGCTCATGCCTGTAATCTCAGCACTTTGAGAGGCCGAGACAGGAGGATCATTTGAGCCCAGGAGTTTGAGATCAGCCTGAGCAACATAGTGAGACCCAATCTCTTAAAAAAATTTTTTTTGGGCCGGGCACGGTGGCTCACACCTGTAATCCCAGCACTTTGGGAGGCCGAGGCGGGTGGTTCATGAGGTCAGGAGTTTGAGACCAGCTTGATCAACATGAAGAAACCCCGTCTCTACTAAAAATACAAGTGGTGGCGTGCGCCTATAATCCCAGCTACTCAGGAGGCTGAGGCAGGAGAATCACTTGAACCCGGGAGGCGGAGGTTGCGGTGAGCTGAGATCATGCCACTGCACTCCAGCCTGGGCGACAGAGCGAGACTCCGTCTCAAAAAAAAGAAAACAAAAAAAATTTTTTTTTTGCCGGGCATAATGGCACATGCCTGTAGTCCCAGCTACTTGGGAGGCTGAGGCGGGAGGATGGCTTGAGCCTGGGAAGTCAAGGCTGCAGTGAACTATGATTGCACCACTGTACTCCAGCCTGGGCAACAGGGCAAAACTCTGTCTCAAAAAAATAAATAAGTTTTGTGTTATTATTACAGGAATAATGTAAGGATAAACTGAGATAATAGGTATAAAAATTGTAAACTGTAAAAGTGTAGTTGCCACAAGAAAGTGGTTTATAGACCTCCAACTACAGGGAGTGTAATTAACCAAGGGCCGGAGTTGCTTTGCTCTAAAATTTACCACCTTATTTGCCCTGAGGCTCTGCTTACCAAATGCTCCCAAGCTGATGGCTGAGTGTGGCAGGGATTCTAAAACAGGCCTTTTCCTGGGAGACATGGGACTGACAGCCGACTATGCCTCAAGGTCTCCCCTGATGCTCATGCCAAGCTTTCCTTAGACTTATGTAGTGATCTAGGATGCTTCCACCCAGCATCCTGGGCCAGGCTGGCATCACTGTGGGATGGCTCTCCCAGCTGCCTCTCCATTTTCTCTCACAAATATTTCCCTAATAAAATTCTTACATATTTAATCCCACTAGGGGGTCTACTGTTTGGAGGACCCAGACTATCATAAAAAGCATCATTTAAAAAGTAGGAAGGTGAGGGCTGGGCATGGTGGCTCACACCTGTAATCCCAGCAATTTGGGAGGCTGGGGCAGGCAGATCACTTGAGGTCAGAAGTTTGAGACCAGCCTGGCCAACATGGTGAAAACCCATCTCTACTAAAAATAGAAAAATTAGCTGGGCGTGGTGGTGCACACCTGTAGTTCCAGCTACTCGGGAGGCTGAGGTAGGAGAATCGCTTGAACCTGGGAGGCAGAGGTTGCAGTGAGCTGAGATGGAGCAACTGCGCTCCAGCCTGGGCGACAAAGCAAGACACTGTCTCAAAAAAAGATAAATAAATAAAAATTAAAAAATAAAAAGAAGGTGAGAGGATTCTGGGAAAATCCTGGATGAGTAGGAAGCAACAGCATTTTGCCCTGCCCCCACAACACGGACAATAAGTACACTGACAATCTGTTTGATGTAATTATTTTGGAGTCTGTTGAAGTCTTGCAACTTCCAGAGGAGGCTTGGATGTGAAATTGCAGTTAATTCCAATCCATTTCAACTCCCAGCTCAGCTGCAGCTACCTATCCCCTTCTCCCCTAACCCCATGGCAGGAAGCTGTGCATGTGTTCCAGGAGGAGCCTGCAAACAGTTTGCAGGAGCCAGGGTGGACAATAAAGACCAAGTCCTCCAAGTATCAGGGAACTGTGTTCTCATCACTGATTAATGTTAATGATTAACTGTGTTCTCATCACTGATCAAGGAGGTGCAGACACAGAGGTGAGCAGCTGCTGTTGTACCTCTCCTGCTATGCAAACCCCTCCCCTCCAGCTGAAGCGGCTTCCAGGGAATTGAAAGGGACTTCTTATAATCTGGGTCCTTCCCCTTTCATTATCTTTTCCCCTCTTGGGATCCAGACATTAAAGACTAAAAACTCAAAAAGCATATACAGGGGAAATTAGAAAGTCACTGCACATCCCAGGGAAGAGTTCAGGGTGCCAAAAGACCTGGAAACACCTGAAGTTAAACCTCATGCTGATCTTTGATATACAGACAGCCAAAAGCAATACAAACAAACCAAAACCAGCAAACCCTGGGCAAGGGGGAGAATCTGATTTCCAGAGTTAACAACATTATTAGACTCAAATGTTCAGTTTTCAATAAAAAAGATCATAAGGATACAAAAAAAATGGGAAAGTTTGAACCATTGAAAGGAAAAAATAAACCAACAAAAACCATCCTTGAGAAAGACCACATAACCGATTTACTAGATAAAGACTTTATAATAACTGTCTTAAAGATGCTCAAAGAACTAAAAGAAATACATGGAGAAAGTCAAGAAAACAAAGTATGAAAAAAATGGAAATATCAAATAGAGATAGAAAACCAAAAAACAGGCTGGGTGCCGTGGCTTACACCTGTAATCCCAGGATTTTGGGAGGCCGAGGCGGGCGGATCAAGTGAGGTCAGCAGTTCAAGACCAGCCTGACCAACATGGAGAAACCCCGTCTCTACTAAAAATACAAAATTAGCCGGGCCTGGTGGTGCATGCCTGTAATCCCAGCTACTTGGGAGGCTGAGGCAGGAGAATCACTTAAACGCAGGAGGCGGAGGTTGTGGTGAGCCAAGATTGCGCCATTGCACTCTAGCCTGAGCAAAAAAGGGCAAAAACTCCATCTCAAAAAAAAAAAAAAAAAATCTGGAGCTGAAAAGTACAATAACTGAAATAAAAAACTGACTAGCATCTGGGCATGTTGGCTCATGCCTGTAATTGGAGCACTTTGAGAGACCAAGGCAGGAGAGTCATGTGAGCCCAGAAGTTTGAGACCAGCCTGGGCAATGGAGAGAGACCTCATCTCTACAGAAAGAAAAAAGAAAAAAAATTGACTAGAGAAATTCAAAGGCAGACTTGAGCAGGCAGAAGAAAAAAAGCAGATAATTTGCAGAGAGGACAGTTATTAAGTCTGAGGAACAGAAAGAAAAAAAACTGAAGAGAAGTGAACAGAGCCCAAGGGACCTATGGGACACCTTCAAGCAAACCACAATAGATAGTGAGAACTCCAGAAGGAGAAGAAAAAGAATCAATGCCACTGCACTCCAGCCTGGGTGACAGAGCGAAGCTCCATCCCCCATTAAAAAAAAAAAAAAAAAAAAAAAAAAAAACAAGAAAAAAAGAAAGAAAAACAAAGGGGCAGAGAAAATATTTGAAGAAATAGCCAAAAAATACCCAAATTTAATGAAAGACATGAATATAAACATCCAAGAATCAGAGGCCGGGCACAGTGGCTCATGCCCTGTAATCCCAGCACTTTGGGAGGCTGAGGCAGGCTGATCACCTGAGGTCAGGAGTTTGAGACCAGCCTGGGCAACATGGTAAAACCCCATCTCTACCAAAAATACAAAAATTAGCCAGGCATGGTGGTGGGTGCCTGTAATCCCAGCTACTTGGGAGGCTGAGGCAGGAGAATCGCTTGAACCCAGGAGGTGGAGGTTGCAGTGAGCTGAGATTGCACCACTGCACTCCAGCCTGGAAAACAGAGCGAGACTCCATCTCAAAAAAAAAAAAAAAAAAAAAAGCCGGGCGTGGTGGCTCACGCCTGTAATCCCAACACTTTGGGAGGCCGAGGTGGGTGGATCACGAGGTCAGGATATCGAGACCATCCTGGCTAACACGGTGAAATCCCGTCTCTACTAAAAATACAAAAAAAAAAAAAAAAAAAAAATAGCCGGGCGTGGTGGCAGATGCCTGTAGTCCCAGGCGGGACTCGGGACGCTGAGGCAGGAGAATGGCATGAACCCGGGAGGCAGAGGTTGTAGTGAGCCGAGATCGCGCCACTGCACTCCAGCCTGGGCAACAGTGCAGACTCCGTCTCAAAAAAGAAAAAAAAAAAAAAATCCAAGAATCTCAATGAGCTTAAAGTAGAACGAACTCAAAGAGACCCATAGTGAGACACTTTATAATCCAACTGTCAAAAACTGAAGACAAAGAACCTGAAAGCAGCAAGAAAGAAGTGACTTGTCACATATAAGAAACCCTCAATAAGAATTATAGCAGATTTCTCACCAGAAACTTTGGATGCCAGAAGGTACTGAGCTGATATAATTAAAGTGCTAAAAAGGGAAAACAAAACAGAACTGTCAATCAACAACCCTGGCTGGGCACGGTGGCTCATTCCTATAATCCCAACCCTTTAGGAGGCCAGCTGAGACAGTTCGAGACCAGCCTGGCAACATAGCAAGATCCTGGCCCTACAACAAATTTTTAAAAATTAGCCGGGCATGGTGGCACATGCCTGTGGTTCCAGTTACTCAGGAGGCTTAGGTGGGAGGATCACTTGAGCCTGGGAGGTCGAGATTGCAGTGAGTGGTGACTGTGCCACTGCACTCTAACCCCAGGCAATACTGCAAGACTGACTCTGTCTCAAAAAAAAAAAAATGTTGGAGAGAAAGCCGGGGGCGGGGGTGTTTAAAAAATAGGTTGAAAGTGAAAGGAAGGCTGGGCACAGTGGCATTTGCCTGTAATTCCAGCTACTTAGGAGGTTGAGGCAGGAGGATCACTTGAGCCCAGAATTTCAATTACAGCCCAGGCAACATAGTGAGACGCAGCCTCTAAACAAAACAAAACAGTGAAAGGATGAAAACAGATATTTCATGAAAGTGGTAACCAGGCGGGGCGTAGTGGCTCACGCCTATAATCCCAGCACTTTGGGAGGCTGAGGCAGGCAGATCAACTGAGGTCAGGAGTTTAAGACCAGCCTGGCTGACATGGCAAAACCCTATCTCTACTAAAAATACAAAAATTAGCCGGGCGTGGTGGTGGATGCCTGTAATCCCAGCTACTTGGGAGGCTGAGGCAGGAGAATCACTTGAACCCAGGAGGCCGAGGTTGCAGTGAGCTGAGATTGCATCACTGCACTCCAGCCTGGCGACAGAGTGAGACTGTCTCAGGAAAAAAAGAAAGAAAGGAAGAAAAACCCACGAAAATAATAACCAAAAGAAAGCAGGGATGGCTATACTATATTCATTTAAGATAAAATAGACTTAACATCAAAAAAAGTTATTATTAGAGACAAAGGAGGACACTATATATGTATATATTAATAAAACACTTAATATAGCAAAAGATATAACAATTATGAACATTTAGTTACCTAATAACAAATCATCAAAATATATGAAGCAAAAATTGACAGAGTTGAAGGGAGAAACACTTCTAGAATGATAAAGTCTTCAATTTTCCACTTGCAGTAATGAATAGAACTAGAGAGAAGAATAGAGGACTTGAACAACATAATAAACCAACTAGATCTAACATACGTTCCAAACACTCTACACAATGACAATGAAATACACATTCTCCTCAGGTGCACATGGGATATTATTCAGGATAGATCATAGGTTAGGCTAAAACTTAAGTTTCAATAGATTTAAAATGATAGCTATCATATCAAGTGTCTTCTCTGACCACAAAGTATGAAGTTA
Source organism: Homo sapiens (assembly GCF_000001405.40). Taxonomy (NCBI): domain Eukaryota; kingdom Metazoa; phylum Chordata; class Mammalia; order Primates; family Hominidae; genus Homo; species Homo sapiens. Next base: position 42,724,841 of record NC_000001.11, read on the forward strand.
GAAAGAAATAATAGAAGAAAAACTAGAAAAATTACAAATTTGTAGAAATTAAACAATTTGAGTGTATTGTTTAATAAGAACCAATGGATCAAATAAGTCACAAGGGAAATTAGAAAATACTTGGAGAAGCCAGGCACATGTTTCACCCCTGCAATCCCAGCACTTTGGGAGTCAGAGGCAGGAGGATCGCTTAAGCTTAGGAGTTTGAGATCAGCCTGGGAAACATAGTGAGACCCCATTGGTACAAAAAATAAAAAAATTAGCCAGGCATGGTTGCACATGCCTGTAGTCCCAACTACTTGGGAGGCTGAAGTGAGAGGATTACTTACGCCTGGGAGGGCCGGGCGCAGTGGCTCATACCTATAATCCCAGCACTTTGGGAGGCCAAGGCAGGCAGATCACCTGAGGTCAGGAGTTTGAGACCAGCCTGGCCAACATAGTGAAACCCCATCTCTACTAAAAATACAAAAATTAGCCAGGCACAGTGGCGTGCACCTGTAATCCCAGCTACTCGGGAGGCTGAGGCAGGAGAATCGCTTGAACCCGGGAGGCGGAGGTTGCAGTGAGCCAAGATCATGCCATTGCACTCCAGCCTGGGCAACAAGAGGGAGACTCCATCTCAAAAAAAAAAAAAAAAAAAAAAGTGTGGGAGGTCAAGGCTGCAGTAAGCCACAATCATGCAACTGCACTCCAGCCTGGGTGACAGAGCAAGACCCTGTCTCAAAAAAAAAAACAAAACAAAAAAAACTGCTTAGAGATAAATGAAAAACAAAAACTCAACATACCAAAACTTATGGAAACCAGTGAGAGCAATGCTAAAGGAGATATTTATAGCCATAAATAAACACATTAAAAAACAACAAGGAAGATCTCAAATCAACTACCTAATTTTGCAATTTAGAGAACTAGAAAAAAAAGACAAACTAAACTCAAAGCTAGCAGAAGGAAAGATTAGAGCAGAGATAGGCTGGTTACGGTGGCTCACACCTGTAATCCCACCATTTTGGGAGACAGAAGTGGGTGGATGGCTTGAGCTCAGGAGTTTGAGACCAGCCTGGGCAACATGATGAAACCTTGCCTCTACAAAAAATACAAAAATTAGCCAGGCATGGTGGTGTGCACCTGTAGTCCCAGCTACTCAGGAGTCTGCGATGGGAGGATCGCATGAGCCCGGGAAGTCAAGGCTGCAGTGAACCAAGATTTTGCCACCGCACTCCAGCCTGGCCAACAAAGCAAGACCCTGTCTTAAAAAAAAAAAAAAAGTAAAGAAAAGAAAAAAAAAAAGAAAGAAAAAATAATTGCAGAGAATGCATAAAACAAATTAGCTCTCTCTAAAAGATGGGAATATAAAATGATACAACTACCTTGGAAAAATAGTTTGGCATTCTCTTAAAAAGCTAAACATACTCCCCACCATTCCACTCTTAGGAATATACCCAAATGAAATGAAAGCATGTGCCCACATAAAGACTTGTATATATTGTAGCCACTTTAATTGTAATAATAGCTCCAAACTGGAAATAACTCAAATATTTATCAAAAGATGAATGTATAGGTTCATACAATGGGGTATTACTTAGTAATAAAGAATAAACACACAACAAAAAGGATAAATATTGAAATAATTATCTGAGTGAAAGAAGCCGGAGCCTAAAAAGTACATAGTCTGTGATTCCATTTATATCAAGTAGTAGAAAATGCAAAGTAGTTTATAGTAATAGAAACATGGCTGGGTGCAGTAGCTCACATCCATAATCCCAGCACTTTGGGAATGTGAGGCAGGTGGATCACTTGAGGTCAGGAGTTCAAGACCAGCCTGACCATCATGGCAAAACCCCATCTTTACTAAAAATACAAAAACTAGCTGGGCATAGTGGTGTGCACCTGTAATCCCAGCTACTCAGGAGGCTGAGGCAGGAGAATCGCTCGAACCCGGGAGGTGGAGGTTGCAGTGAGCTGAGATCGTGCCACTCTACTGCAGCCCAGGCAATAGAGCAAGGCTCCATCTCAAAATAATAAGAAAGGCCATTTAAGGAGAATTTGTCATTTGTATATCACTTTCTTTCTCATTTTTGTAAACATTGCTTAAAACAGGCTTCATGTGCTCATTATATAATTTTTGAAATACATACTTTTAAAACACTCAAGTAATAAGTTTATACAATTTTAAACCAATTTTGTGGTATTTTAATATCTAGTAATTCTGTTAATTTGAATTGTAATGAACAATCTTGTCACAGAAGAGAAAATAATAAACAATAATGTTCTACTTGTGCAAGAATTTTGAAATGTATCCTGAAATTATATGATGGCATTTTGAAAAGATTACTCTTGACTTCCACATTTGGTAATGTTGGAGCAGCTCTTCTGCTGAAGACAGCTAAGAAAACTATACAAAATACTTTAAAAAATCTTTCTAGATGCAAAATATACAAAAATCTTGAGAGATTTCCAGGCTTGGGTCCAGGAGAACATGGTAATGTAGGAAAGTAAGTCTGATGCTCAGGGTTGCTTTTGCCCTCGAATTATTTGCTAATCTCTTAGAGGGAACTGAGAGACTGAGTGTTGATTTGGAAGCATAAGCGTTTGCTTATCTGGGAGGGGCAATCGTACGGTGATAGAGGAAAACATCTAGATACAGTCTGGTAACCTTTATAGACTACCCAATGCTTTGAGTTGGGGACCCTGGATAAATGTGCCATAGTGGTAACTTAAGCTGACACTCACGTGGATTGCAACCTGACTGAAGACCCAGAAATCTTTAGTCCTGAACTTAGATAAAAGTGATCCTGGATTGCTGGCGCCCTTAGGCACCTCGCCAAAGAAAATAAAATATTACTAAAGGAAAATAATATAATCCTAGGCTCAAAAAAATATTAAAAATTAGCCAGGTGTGGTGGCCTGTACTCTTAGTCCCAGCTGTTTGGGAGGCTGAGATGGGAGGATGGCTTGAGCCTGGGAGGTCGAGGCTGCACTGAGCCAAAATCACACCACTGCACTCTAGCCTGAGCAACAGGGAAAGACCTTGTCTCAAAAAAAAGTAGAAGAAGGAAAAAAAAGACAGGGTCTCACTCTGTCACTCAGGCTGGAGTGTAGTGACAATCGTATCTCACTGCTGCAGCCTTGAACTCAGGTGGTCCGCCCGCCTTGGCCTCCCAAAATGCTGAGATTACAGGCGTGAGCCACTGCGCCCGGCCCGCCTTACCTTTAAGGGTATAACATTTGGTATCTAAATTTAATGTCTGGAGGATCTGATAGATCCCCCACTGTAGGTGAACCAGGGCTTTCCCTTCTTTCCCCATTCTAGGAGATATTTAAGTGTGCTTAGATTTTTAAATGTCCCCTGAGAAGAAAGCTTCTCTAACTTTCCTAAGACATTTTTTAACTTTTAATCCTTTTTTTTTCTTTGAAACTGAGTTTCGTTCTTGTTGCCCAGGCTGGAATGGAGTGGGGCAATCTTGGCTCACCGCAACCTCCACCTCCCGGCTTCAAGCAATTCTCCTGCCTCGGCCTCCCAAGTAACTGGAATTACAGACATGTGCCGCCATGCCCAGCCAATTTTGTATTTTTAGTAGAGACGAGGTTTCACCATGTTGGCCAGGCTGGTCTCAGACTCCTGACTTCAGGTGATCCACCCACCTTGGCCTCCCAAAATGCTGGGATTACAGGCCTGAGCCACCACACCCGGCCTTTACTTTTAATCTTGAAATAATTTCAGAGAAAAGTTGCCAGAACAGTTCAAAGAATTCCCATACGTCCTTCACTTCGATGGTTCAATTAGTATTATACTGCAAATATTTCATATAACTTCTTGCGCATCTCTGTATATTTTTTTTTCTGATGCCTCTTTATCCTCTTGTATTTCCTTAAAAAAACAAAGACAGTGTTCTACAAAACCACAAGGTAACTGTCAAGCTCAGGACATTAACTTTGCTGTGATACTACCGTCTAAACCACAGATATAATTCCAGTTTCACGGTCATCCCAACGTGTCCTTTATAGGTCCAGAATCCAATCCAGGATCACTCATTGCATTTTGTTGTAATATATCCTCAATCTTTCCTTGTGTTTCTTAGCTTTGACAGTTTTGAAGGGTACAGGTCAGTGATTTTATAAAACAGTCCCAATTGTGTTTTTCTGTCTCTTCATGATTGATTCAGGTTATGCACCTATAGCAGGAATATCATGCAAATGATGTTGTGCTGTGGTTTTCTCCATGCACTCCAGCAAGGGGCATCCGTTTCAATTTGTCCCGTTCCTGGGGTAACTCTTATCACTTGATTAAGATATGTCTTGGCCAGGTGCAGTGGCTCACACCTGTAATCCCAGGACTTTGGGAAGCCGAGGCGGGTGGATCACCTGAGGTCAGGAGTTCGAGACCAGCCTGACCAACTTGGAGAAACCCTGTCTCTACTAAAAATATGAAATTAGCTGGGTGTAGTGGCGCATGCCTGTAATCCTAGCTACTCAGGAGTCTGAGGCAGGAAAATTGCTTGAACCTGGGAGGCAGAAGTTGCGGTGAGCTGAGATCGCGCCATTGCACTCCAGCCTGGGCAACAGGAGCGAAACTCCGTCTCAAAAAAAAAAAAAAAAAAAAAAAAAAAAAAAAAAATATATATATATATGTATATATATCTGCTATGTTTCATCACTGTAAAGTCATGATTTTTACTTATTTGTTAATAAGTTATTCATATAGTCATTTTACTGTAAGATAGAACTTTTTCTTTTCCCCCACTTAATCAAATTGGTAAGGACTAGTAGATTCTTATTTGTATCCAGTGAGTTGAAACCCATTATTCATTATTATTTATTTTGATGCTCAAATTATCCCAGATAAAGCAAGTGGGACCACCTTTAATCCAGCTTCTGGATCCCTTAGACACATCATCATCATTCGTTGAGCACTTTTTGCTTCTGGAATACCAAGATGCTCCAAGTTTCTTTTGTAGTTTCTCTACTCCAGTTCTGAAATCAGTCATTTTTCCTTGGAGCCTGGTCACTTTTAGTGGAGAATGGTATTTAGAAACCAAGATATGGCTTAGTGGCTTAGGTGTGCCCATTGCTACTGGGGTATCATGACTGCTAAGCCTTCCTAGGGGGTACAGCTCATGGATATATGCATCACACGTGTGCACACACACACCCGTATTCATTTCAATATGTATCTACATATGTTAAAAACCACAAGTTCATCCAGATACCCCCAACTGGAATTCAACACCACAGAATTTACTCTAATTTTCCCCCTTTCCATCTTTGTAAGCCTGGCTCCCATTTTCTTCAGGATATTTGCATATTTGTTTAATCCCCTTATATGTAACTAATCTCCAGCCATGCCAGCCAACCACTCCTCAGCGTTGCGGTGACCTCATGGGCCACCATGTGGCTGAAAGGGAGAGGAAAAGCTCTTTAGGCTTTGACTTGGTGATTCCATAGGATCCTTGTCAGCCTTTTGAGGCGTTGAAGAATTTTTTACACTTCACCCATTTTTAGTTGTTTTCAACAGGAGGGTTGGCCAGAATGAAATTGCCTGCAGTATTCTCATAAGTTGAACAAAATATATTTTTATGTTTGATGAGAAGAAAAAATTGGAAAGTACTACTTTGGGTGTTGCCTGTCTTCATTTGAAATTTTGCCTGTATCTTTTTTTTTTTTTTTTTTTTTTTGAGACGGAGTCTTGCTCTGTCACCCAGGCTGGAGTGCAGTGGCACGATCTCAGCTCACTGCAACCTCTGCCTCCCAGGTTCAAACGATTCTCCTGCTTGAGACTTCCGAGCAGCTGGGATTACAGCCACCCGCCAACACGCCTGGCTAATTTTTGTATTTTCAGTAGAGACGAGGTTTTACTACGTTGGCCAGGCTGGTCTCAATCTCCTGACCTCAGGTATCCGCCCACCTCAGCCTCCCAAAGTGCTGGCATTACAGGTGCACACCACCATACCTGGCTAACTTTTTGTTTTTTAAATAAATGTTTTTAAATTTTAAATAATTGAAACAGGGTTGTTGCCCAGGCTAGTCTCAAACTTCTAGCCTCAAACAATCCTCCTATCTCGGCCTCCCAAAGTGCTGGGATTACAGGTGTGAGCCACCACACCTGGCCTGGATCATGCTTAGTTGTAGCTCCTCATAATTTGCCAGCTGTAGACAAAAATCATAAAATGAACCACTTTCAATATACCTAATATGCAAATGACGGAGGAAAACAGGACAAGGTCAATTGAAATTCTCCCCTCAAAAAGGAGAAGCACCACACAGCTCTCACCAGCTTCACTGGTGTTTCTCAAACTTCACTGTGTGTCTGAATCACCTGGAGATCTTGTTAAAAATGCCACGTCTGAGTCACAGGGTCTGGGGCGGGGCCTGTGAATCTGCATTTCTAATGTTTCCAGGTGATGCGTTGCTGCCATCTGAGGGCTGTGCTTTGAGTAGCAAATCTCTGGAGTGTCCATCATCCTTACTTCCCTGGTCAGGAGGATTATATTATATGATACAACCAGCAAACCTTAGAGGTATTTTTAAACCTTTTATTTTTTTAATTTACAAACATACATAAGGAGAACCCCTAAGTACCACTGGGGTTCACCCATCTTATTTTATAACTTTCACTGCCTCTGAACTTTTTCTTTGTTATTTGAAAGCAAATGCAACCATTATATCATTTCAGCATGCACCCCTACCAGATAAGAATAATAAGAAACAAAAAAAAAGTATCATTATCACACAAAACTAACAATATTTGTAACACAAAATTAACAATAACTCCTTGATAATCTAGTAGTCAGTCCATACGCTCTATTCTCAGCTGCACAGTTTTTGAGCCTCTTCCCAAGCAATAGCATATTTTCCTGATCAGCTTCTCCAGGGGCTCAGGTTCACTCCTTTTTGCTGAACATCTTCTGTTTCTGTGCTCCTTGGCCCTGGGGCTGAGTACATGGGTGTATTCCTCCTACAATCATATTTTATGGCCTGCCAATTTCCTTCTGGGGTGGGGGGGGCGGGGAACAGGACGACTCTGTTTAGTAATACACAATGCTTTAGAATAAGGCAAAAGCCTTAGAATCATGCCTTTTGAGTCTGAGCCCTACCTTCCTGGGTCTCTCCCCAGTCCTTTAGCCTTAAGGCTAGGACAGTAAACAACAACCTGGACATGACGCCCGGATTATCAGCCCTGCCTCCAGTTGGCAGCCCAGGTGGCCTTGTTGTAGATATATGAGTGGGTTTGCTTCAGGAGAAGCCTGTGGGAACAGGCATCTCAGTCTTTTAGCTTCAAATTCCTCTGGTTTTTTCCCAGATATCTTCTCATTGCCAGGATCTCACTACATTTTAAATCAGTGTGTTAGTTGGTTGTTTAATTCAGCGAGACGTGTGGTTCTCTGACCCTCTGCATCTTTAATCCCTGGCTATAGGCAGAAAGGGCTTCCCCTAAGGAACAGACTGAAGCTTGTTCCCACTTTGCCATCAGGCACCCCCTCCAGCGCTCCCGCCGCCCCCCGCCACTTGCATGTATCTTGTCTGTCTTGCAGCCTATCCCTGAAACCCACAAGAAGTAGCCAGCACACTCTATCCTCGCATTCTCCATTGGACCCTGAATCTCAAGAGAGAATGACGTGTGGTTTCCTGGCCAGCTGCTTCATGACCAAATAGCAAGGACTGCCCAACACCCAGCCTAGAATAGGAGGATGATCCCACCCCTGCTCCACTGGCACCATATAACAGGATTCCGCAAGGCTGTGCTGAGTTTCCAGGTTCCAAATCCTGTTAGGTAGGGCTCTTCTGGCTGTGTGGGACAGGATTCAAACTCAACGTTTTTTCAGCCAAAAGGGGAATTGATTGGGAAGATGTGGGCGTGTCACAGAACAGCCTGGTATTGGGAAAGGCAGGAGTGAGTGGGGCTTCCTCTCCCCACCTCTTTTCTTTCTTTCTTTTTTGAGATGGAGTCTTGCTCTGTTGCCCAGGCTGGAGTGCAGTGGCACAATCTTGGCTCACTGCAGCTTTCGCCTCCTGAGTTCAAGCAATTCTCCTGCCTCAGCCTCCCGAGTAGCTGGGATTACAGGTGCCCACCACCACAGCCGGCTAATTTTTGTATTTTTTAAAAATAGAGACAGGGTTTCACCATGTTGGCCAGGCTGGTCTCGAACTCCTGACCTTGTGACCCACCCACCTCAGCCTCCCAAAGTGTTGGGATTACAGGCATGAGCCGCCACGCCCGGCTACCCACCTCTTTTCTTTTCTTTTTTTTTTTTTTTTTTGTGATGGAGTCTTGCTCTGTCATCCAGGATGGTGTGCAGTGGCACGATCTTGGCTGACTGCAACCTCCACCTCCCGAGTTCAAGCGATTCTCCTGCCTCAGCCTCCCGAGTAGCTGGGATTACAGGTGCCCACCACCACAGCCAGCTAATTTTTGTATTTTTAATAGACACGGGGTTTTACCATATTGGCCAGGCTAGTCTCGAACTCCTGACTTCAGGTATCTACCCACCTCGGCCTCCCAAAGTGCTGGGATTACAAGCGTGAGCCACCGTGCCTGACCTCCACCTCTTCCCTTGTGGGTTCTTTTCTCCCTCTGCAGACCTCACAGAGTCACCTGGGCTTGAGGCCTCATAGAGGAGCCCTCAGTGCTGACCACACACTACAGTCCCCTGAGGAGCTACATGACTTCTGATGCCAGGTCCACCCAGACCAATGAAATAAGAGTGTCTGGGGTTGGAGCCTAGGCATTGTGCCCCCAGGTGATTCGAATGTGCATGCAGGGTTGGGAACCATTGCACTATAGCTTCAGGCACCCAGAGGAGAAACTCCTGCAGTTCTCATTCATTAGAGGGGCAGGACTCTGGGGAACCTATTTAGGGTCAGGTGGCCACATCCTCTGACCAGAGGCTGGACAAGTCCCTGTTGTGCCCCGGTGGATGTGCAGCACCGGCCAGGCCAGGCGCCGAGGGGTCAGTCCCCCAGCAGCTCCCTGCCATTTGTGTCATTCCTCCCCTCCCTGCCCTTGACTGCAGTGTACATGGCAGTCATCTCATCTGACTTGGTTTCCGTCACTTTCCCTCTCAGAGTCAAGCTCGAAGGAGAAGCTGAGCTGCGTTCTTGAGATCTGGGGACGTGGTGGGAGATGTGGTCACAAGGCAGGTGGTGGAGGAGGCCAGAATGGAGCTGGCCAAGGAAGGTGCGTGGCAGGGAAGGGGAGGTTCTGTGATGGATGCTTTCCCCAGAAGCCTGATACGCAGTGGCCAGGGAGACTGAGTCCCGGGAGAGGGTTTGGGGTGGGAGAGGTCTGAGCATGAGGGGCAGGGCACACTCTGGTTCAGGGAGATGTAGGACAAAGGACTCTGGCCTTGGGACTGATCTGGGCTGGTTTCCTTACATTCCTCTCAGGCCCTTCCCCCTGTATGCTAAGGGGGGATGGTACCTGGACTTCAAGACCAAAAGCCCTTCTCTGACCGCACTGCTGAGTGCAGCAGGCAGCTCCACCCACAGTCTCTGGGCAGCCCCAGGCTGTCCCCTCCCCACTCTGATTCTAGGACAAAGACCTTGGACCTCAGCTGGATGCTGGGGATCAGGAGAGGAGGAATGGTAGGTGTGGAAACAAGGGGCAGGATTCGGGGTGAGCAGAGCTGGGGGCTGCAGACCTTGCTCAGGACAGTCCTAATGCCTGCAAGCTCCTAACGCCCTCCCCACATTCCCTTTTCTACATGGGGAGCTCCTACACTGTGTCCCCTCACCTATCGCTGATCCCCAGCATCCAGCTGGAGGGCCTTCCAGGAACTGTCCCTTCCCTTAGGAGGTCTCTGGAGCACAGTAACAGGGGCAGGGTTTACTACCTTGGGGCCTCTTTCCACACCAGGGGCTCCCTGACCCTGGGGACTGCTCCTAGAGCTGGGCCAAGCCTCAGGGGCAGCCTCCAGGAGTGAGTGGGATCTCCTATCAAGGAGGACTTTGTGCCAAGGCCAAGGCCAGGCTTGGGAGGGGGGTCCCTAGACAGAGGGTAGGACCTCTGAATTATTTCTTGCTTAGCCCTGGATGTGCTATGTAACCCACCCTGGACCTCTGTCTCCTCATCTTTCTGCCCAAGAGCCCCAGGGGTCAGCACTGACCACTCTGACACAGGCCCCGTCCAAGCCACGCTGAGGACAGACCGAATGATACCATGATTGGGGCTGGATGTTCACTTCTCTTTCCAAAAAAATATGAAACACACAGTCTAGGTATGGCAGGGGACAGAGCCTGGCTGGGGACTGGACATTACACACCCAGGGGGCCCTTGGCGGAGGCGGGCAATTTAACAACTGGTCTGAAAGTCAAAAGAGAGAGAGCTGGTTAGTGGAGTGAGCTGTGGGGTCGGGGGCAGGGGCTGTGCATTCAGGCCCGGACATGGGTACTGGCCAGCGTGGCCAGACCTTGGCCCTCACAGCAGCCCTGCCTGGGGCCCATTCCCGGGGGCAGGGGCGCCATGGTCCGACCTCACCATCTGTGTAGGTGGCCCCCAGCCCTGGGCGCACTGGAAGAACCTGAGACCTAAACTCAGACCCTCCCTGTCCTTGTGTGAACGTTCAGCATCCCGGCACTGCCCTTGTGGGGTTGCTGTGAGGAGCCCATGGGACTGGGGAGGGTGAAGGTTTCTGCTCACCCCAAGGACCTGGGTACTAAGGTACGTCTTGGCCACTGCTCTATCTCTAGGGCCCAGCACGTAGCAGACACCCAAGCAGCTCTTCAGTGAGTAAACAGCCGGGCTGGTGCCTGAGGGCCTGTCTCCAGGGATGCATGCTGGTGCCCACCAGGCTGTGCAGACAAGACCGTGCCTGGACCTGCATCTGTGTGTATGCCTGGGGGCTGGGTCCTGCCTCTGGTGTCTCTCTGAGGATCTGGGTCTCAGATTGCAGGGTGGGTGCTTGTGTTGAGGACAAGCTGCTCAGAGCACCTATGCCCATCCTATGCCCCAGTGGCCCTGCCCAGGGTGCTGCGAGGCTGGCTGGATGCTGGGCAAGGGGGCCACTGGGTGGGGGGCTGGCCAGGGCAGGCGGAGCTCAGACGTACTCTCGGGCAGCAGCAGAGGGTCCAGGCCGATAGGGCTGTGGGCTGCTGTTGGGTCTCTCTGGCTCCGGGCATGTGCAGCAGAGGAAGGAGCCGCCCAGCACGGCCAGGCCAGCTGAGGCCCAGCCCACGAACAGGGCTGGGCCAAATTCATACCTGCAAGGGGTAGGGAGAGTGGCATCAGGTGTGGCTGCCGTCTCAGGTTGTTCCCAGTCCCTGCCCTGGCAGAGGAAGGGCAGAGTGTGTGGAGCTGGAGGCTGGAGCCTCACAACCTCTTCCATATCTCCAGATAAATTGAGGTGAATGCTCTTCCTTTCTCCCTCCCCCCCAGCCCAGAATATCAACACCACACAGGGTGACCCGGCCTGGGGTAGGCGTGAAGGCTAGAGGCTGGGCCTCCAGCTCCTGCTCTGAGCAACCTTGGGCTCATTTCCTGATCTGGCCAGTGGAGGGGGCATGGGAGGGCCTGAGAGGTCTGCACGGGAGGAGTGGGGCAATCCCTGCCATGTTTTTTCCCAGTCACATTCTGGCCCACAGAACTCCCAGCCAAGACTGCTCCCGCTGCCCTCTGGAGAAGGCCAGACCCTTCCACCTGGCACTCTGGGCTCTCCACACCCAGACCCTGCTGGCCAGGCCAGCCCTGCTCCTGGTTCTCACTGCCTTGGTGCCTTTGCACAAGGCACCCCCAGCTGGGGCACCAAGCCCCCCAGCCCACCACTCCTGTGCCTCCCCTGTTCCTTCTCTGCCTTCAGAGCCCAGTTCAGATGCCACCTCTTCGTGGGGTCTTTCCTTGACATCCTCTGTGTTCACCCCGCCCCTTGCGCCGACTCCACTACCATGCTTTCTCCAGGAGGCCTCAGCCCCTTGCTTGTCCGGCTCCCTGGGAAGCCCCTTGAGGGCAGACAGAGCCATCAGTGTCCCCAGGACCCAGCACAGGGCCTGGCAGCCCAAGTGGCATTGGGGACTGTTGAAGGGATCGGGGGCCGAGTCCTATCCTGACATGCCTGAGCTGGACCTTGCTTGGCAGACTTTGTGGCTGCAGCCACCACCCAGGGAACAAACCTTGTACCTGAGATCTCCTCCCTCCCCTTGCCTCTCAACACCTCTGCCTCCTCCAGGCATCCCTCCCGATTGCAAAAGCCCAGACATCTTTTCTCATCCTCTCTCCACCCCAAGGCCCAAAGCCCATTGGGATGTCTAGGGTTAAGACTGTCCCATTCTCTGCTCCTGGCTAGGCTGAGAAGTGAGGGAGGAGCCAAGGTGGGCCCAGGCCCTTTGCAGAGCATCCCCTTCAGTTCCCATGCCCACAGTCTTACAAGTCCTGGTTATCTCCTGAATATCAGCCTGCTTTCCACTGCTCCCTCCCTGTTGCCCCAAACTCTCTGCTCAGACCTTTGGGACAGCCGCCTTCCTGGTGTCACTCCCTCCCCACCATTCTGCACATCACAGCCAGAAGGACTGCCGCTGCCTCCACCCAAATGAGGAACAAAATCTTCCTGTGGTTGCAAGGCCCTCCACGATCTGCCCTTATTCTCAAGTTTCTTCCTGGCCCAGAATAACTGCTGCCTCCTGCAGGAAGTCATCTCAGCCCTGCTGCCACCAGCAGAAATGAAAACAGCTCAGGCTTGCTGGGTACTGTCCAGGGCCCGGGCACGGTGCCACACCCTCACCTGCATCCTGCTGGATCCTGACAACCATGTGTGAACTGGTGCTCAGGTTCTAGCTCCATTTCACAGAGGAGGAAACTAGGCACAGAAAGATTAAGTAACTTGCCCAGGTGACACAGTGCATGCAAAGCTGGGATTGATTGATCGTTTGATTTTTTTGAGACAAAATCTCACTCTGTCACCCAGACTGGAGTGCAGTGGCGCAATCTCGGCTCATTGCAACTTTTGCCTCCCGGGTTCAAGCTATTCTCCTGCCTCTGCCTCCCGAGTAGCTGAGATTACAGGCGCCCGCCACCATGCCCAGATATTTTTTGTATTTTTAATAGAGACGGGGTTTCACCATGTTGGCCAGGCTGGTCTTGAACTCCTGACCTCAGGTGATCCACCCATCTTGGCTTCCCAAAGTGCTGGGATTACAGGCGTGAGCCACTGCACCCAGCCAGAGCTGGGATTGAAACCCAGAGCCAGGGCACTTAGGTCCTTAGAGAGTCCTTGCTGCACCTGGGTGCCCATCACAGGCCTCCCGCCCCTATGGAGGGCCCCACCACACTCCTCCTGGCGCCCCCCTTTAAAGCTTCTTGGACAGCAGCTGGATCCTGTCCCCACTTCCCCCGCCAGGTGATCCAGTGGACAAAGGTCAGTGGCCCCAGAGGAGGTAAAGCAAAAGACCCAAGCCCTGGCACCCACCTGGCATTGACAGGTGTGCTTGGGTTGAAGAACTCCTGGGTCACCAGGGTGGCATACCACGAGACAGCAGTCAAAGTGCAGAGGCCTAAAGACAAAGCAGAGGGGCGCTCAGCTCTGCTCTGGCCCCCCGAGGCCACTGGGGCTGGGGCTGCCTGCCATGGTTGTGATTGTGCAGGAGTGAGGGGCACTCACCTGCCAGGATGAAGAGGGCTCCCCCGGCGATGGCAACACGGCCCTTGGCAATGGGGTTGCTGTCTCCCACCCGCGTACACTTCATGCCAACTACGCTGAGGACCATGGCCACGAAGCCCAGGAGCACGGCCACCACCATCAGGGCCCGCGCTGATTGGATGTGACCTAGGGTGGGCGGGATGACACTGAGTCGGGCTGGCGGGGATGGGGGTTGGGTCGGTGCCTGGGGTCGGTGGAAGGAGCCCAGCTTGAGAGGGGCTTGAGCAGGAGCTGGCCTGGGGGGTCAGACCACCTTCTGGCAGGTGCAGGATAGTGAGGAGTGACAGCCCGGGCATGAGGACAGGGTGTGGGGGTGAGAGTCCCCTTCACTGTCAACGCCATTCTCCACTCGCCCTTGCAGGCTTTTCCGGTAGTATGATTCACTCTGCTGTTGCTTTCTGGCCTGGGGACTCCCTCTTGGGCTTGGCCCATCCTCCCAAGCAGCTGAGGGCAGCTCCAGGGTCCCCTCAGGTTTGGTAGGTGGAAGAGCTGGGGGTATCTGAGGCCCAGCTCAACTCAGCCTGAGCCCCGCAGCAACCCCTCCCCAGCAGCCATTCAGACAACAGTCACTTTCCCCTCTGCCCATGGCAGCTGGAAGCTTGCCTCTTCACGGGTGCATGGGTCCATCCTGGGCCCTGGGGGGTGCTCAGGAGACCTGGGTCCCTCAGCGAGGCTAGATGACCTGCCTGAACTGACCTGCCTGAACTGGCACAATGGGGCTGGTTGAAGGCCGCTCTGCTCCCAGCTCCCATGGGGAGCAGATTGTCCCTGGGGGCTCCTGGGCAGATTGCAGGTGGATCACCTCCACCCCAGAGTTAGAACTTCGGCGGTGCCTGTCAGGCTCATCTCCACACCCCAGAAGGAGAGGGACTGCATGCAGACACACCTGTCTGTGCATGCATGTGCACGTGTGTGCGTGTGCATGCGTGTTTGCATGCATGTGCATGCACCCATATGCTGGCACACAGGCCTGGGAGCAGGACTAGGGAGCAGGTGTGCATCATACAGTGTGTGTCTGTCTACTGACTGTGGGGAGAAGTGGATGAAGGGTCTTAACTGAGTCTTTCAGAGTGCCACAGGTATTAGTATTCCCCTTTAGAGATGAGAACATCACAATGGGAAGAGGTTTGGTGACTAGTTCAAAGTTATAGTGACAGAGCAGGAATCTGGACCCACAGCCGCCAGACCCTAGAGCCCTCCCCTCCCACAGGGCAGCAGGCTGGCCTGGACCGTCAATGGGCACAGGGCAGTAGTGGGGGAATTGTAGAGCGGAGGCTGGAGGTTGGAGCCCAGCGCAGATAGCAGACTGTGAGGAAAACTTGCTCCAGACTCCCCTGCTGTTCCCACCTCCCATCTCCCACCCCGCCGGCCTGGGGCCTACCGTCCAGGGCGAGCAGCGAGTCGTAGAGCTTGCACTGCACTTGCCCAGTGCTCTGGGAGGCGCAGGACATCCAGAGCCCTTCATAGAGGCCCACGGCAGTGATGATGGCGTCGCCTGCGTAGGAAGACTGCTTCCACTGTGGCAGGGCTGTGCTAGCAATGATGCCCACCCAGCCACCCAGGGCCAAGAAGTAGCCCAGGAGCTGGAGGCCTGAGTTGGCCATGGCCCAGGAGAGAGGACCGAGGGTCCCAGGACTCAGAGCTGGGCCAGGGTGCCAGCAGGGGCTTTGGTCATGGCCAGGTGGGAGGAGCAGCTGGGCAGGGGGAGCAGCGAGAAGGAGGGTCAGAGGCAGAGAAGGAGAGGTGGTGCGGCGGCAGCGGCTGGAGCAAAGGCAGTGGCTCTGGACTCCAGAATGCAGGGGGAGGCCCAGGGGCTGGAAAAGGCCAGGGCCCGCCCACAGCAGCCGCCTAAGCCAGAGCAGGGTCCCCAGCAAAGCTCATGCCCAGCCCCCTGGGGGCGGAGGGCCGGCCCATGGCCCAGGTGGTGTCCCTGCCCCGCCCCGTTCCGCAGGGATAGGGAAGGGAGGGGCTGAGAGGAATGACCCAGCTGCCCTCTGGGCCTTTCCCCACAGGGAAACCCCTTTAGGAACCTGATTCGGGTGTCCTAAAATTCGGATAATCCCTAACCCAAACACCAGCCCTGGGAGGATGGACTTTGCTCTTGCAAGGCTGATCTAACCCTTGGGGTTTTCTGCCCTTTGACTTTAGGACAGAAGGGAAAGGAATGCCAGTTTGCAGCGGGTAAAACTAGAGTTAGATGTCAAGGATAACTTTTTGGCAGGGGCTCTGAAGCTGGATGTGGGGAGGCTGAGCTAGCGGTGGGGTGTTGGGAAGAGGGGTCATGGGTACCTGGGAGCTGTGTGTGCCAAAAATCAGGGAGGCCAGACCAGGAAATATGTACTGTGGGGTCTTTTTGAGATCTGAGGGGGACAGAAAAGGGGCCCTATCGAGGCTGGGCCAGCGCTGGCTGCCGGCCAGCAAGGGGCCTGGTGGGGAGCTGGGGAGACAGCCCCAACCTTCTGGCATCAGCCTGAAGGAAGGCGGATTGCTCAGCCCCTTAATCCCCTTGCTGGCTGGCTTAGTAGCTCCTGCTGGGACTGGAACACTGGGCCCTGGCCCCCAACTCTAGAGCAGCCTGGCGCGGAGCAGTGGCCTCTGCACATTCCCGGGGTTCAGGCTGCCCGCTCCGAGCACCCCCACCTCCCTCTTCTCTCTCCCAGTCTCTCTTGGTCTTCAGGAGTAGGGGAATGTTTAACTCTCTTCCACCTCATTAGCAATCCCCTCACGTTCAAGTGGGCCCCACTGCAGCGTGGGTGCAGAAGGAATGTCACAACCCTGCTTCCACTCCTGCCAGCCCCCCGCCGCCCCCTCCGTCCCCAACAGCCCACCCACCCTTCCTGGACTGCACTGGGGGAAGGCAGGGTCCTGCTGCAGACCCCTGCTGGCTTCCTCCCCCACAGCCCCAACCCCCCTCTGAAGGGACAAGTCCCCAGCCCGCTCTTGCATTCTTCACGTGGCTATGCAAACGAGAGGGTGCCAGGCGCTGAGCAGACAATGGCAGCCCTGTGTGCCCGCCCAGGGCGTAGGCCTCTGGTATGGCCTGCAGCTCTGGCCAGAGATGGGGGAGTGGTCTGCCATCTGAGGGTCAAGGGTGGGCACTGCTTGACCTGTGGTGGTGCACACTGGGACCCTCAGGCTCTCTGTGCTGGGAGGGTCAGAGCCACGTGGATCCGAGCACACACAGACCTGCTTCCTGGACGACCTGTGGGTCCCAAGACCAAATGGGGTCTAGGACAGTGGCAGAGAAGTAAGTCCTGAGCTCAGATTCTTCTACCACAATGACAAGACAGTAGGATTGAGGGGAGCCTCCTCCATCCTACTGGGGCCGCAATGGGCACCCTGTGACCAGTGCATTAATTTAAGCATGTGGGCCACTGTTGCAGGCAGCAGGCCTCCTAACAGTAAGGAGACCACGGCAGAGGGAGGTAATAGACCCCCAGCCAGGAAACAGCAGGAAGGGCTTTCCGCTTGAAACTGTGTGGTGCTGGCCCCTGTGGTCTCTCTCCCACACTCCTCCCTTTTTGAGGGAGGCACCAGGTCCAGATTGAAGGGGGCTGCGGGCAGTGACAAGATGCTCCCCAGGGGTGACCTGAATGACTGTGGTGCCTCAGGGTCCTCACTCTAAATGGGAGGTTTGCTTCATGGAGTTGTGGTGGTCCGTTAAAGTAAGCGATGTCTGGGGAGGGCAGGGGCCTGGTGCTGGGTAGCTGCTCCGCATATGCTCCTCCAAAGGCAAAGTCCTCCTTCTCTCCACGCTGGGCCTTGGCCCCTTTTCCCCGCCATCTGCAGGCGCTCTCTCTGTAGGGAAGATCCAGGGGTCATTCTGGTTTCAGGGGGACCTGGGTCAGGAGCCCAGAGGCCAGTCAGAAGCATGCCTCAGAGACCATGGGCTGCGGCCCCCTCCATTGACAATTTGAGGGCCAAAGAGAGAAAGGGAGCCACGGGTCCACAGGGCCACAGAGCCAGCAGGAGGCCTGCATGCTCCTCCATCCTGGGTGTTCCCAGAGCCTCTTCGTGATCCGGAACAGTGCTCTCCTCTTCCTCTGAAGTGCTTCTGTTTATCCCTTCTCTTTGTTATTTGAGGCTTTGAGTCTGTTCTACCAAAATATTCTCTCCTACCCTGACGGCCTTCCCTCATTCTTGTTCCAAAGCCTTTTGGAATTCAGATTCTGCTTCTGGAGCGGCATTCCTTAACCTGGCACAGCTTCTCCACCCAGGACACCTACCACTCCTGGTGCCCCCCCTTGCAGTCCAATGACTCCCAGACATGCGGGGAGAACAGGAAGGCTCAGGGTCACAGCCCAGCCTCCATTAAGAGCTCACTGAAACTGCCCTGGGGTAGCACAGCACCCTGTGCTTTCACTCAGGCTATGAGAAGCCTACAGTTCTAGCTTTACCCCTGCCACTGAAAAGCTATGGGACATTAGCCAAATCCTCAGCTTCCCTGGGCCTGGTTTCTCCATTGAAAAGTAGGGATAATAACACTTGCCCTGTCTGATGCATGAGGGAGTTTACAAGGATCAGATGATAGGTGAGAAAGGCTGTTTGAAAGCATAAAACGCCTGCAGAACTGTGACTAATGAAAGCTCTGTTCCAAAAAGACTCCCCGCACAGTCTGCCCCTCCAGCCTTCGCACTCTGGGAGTGGGCAGACTGCCTGTGGCTGAAGACCCACTGCCACTTCCTCTGCAACAGTGCCTGACCGAGAGCCAGCCTTGCTAGGTATGTGTTGATCATTGACTGATTGGTATGAGGATTCAATGCTTTTGCCTCCCTCCCTGTGAAAAATCGGAGACCTTTCCACCGCCCTCTCTCATTGTCAGTTAGGAGGGTCCGATTCAGTCTTTAGCAATCTAGCACCTTCTCTGCAATCATCATTTGAAATTTTGGAGTTCTTATCACCCTCCCAACTCAGAGTCTGAGATTCCCGGAACTATAAGCTTGGAATGGAGACTACTTGCCTCAGGGCGCACAGCTAGAAAGCAATACAGCCAGCTGTGTGGCCACCCCCAACGATTCTGCCTGCCCAGGCACGGCTAAGCATCCTGATCTGCAATCCCATCATACTCTTGGCATATTTCCATTCACTGCACTTATTGCGTCGTTTACCTCCTTCCTAAGGTCCCTGAGCACCTTGAGACTGTGTTAGCAGACACATTTTTGTGTTCCACCCTCTCGCCCGGGCCCTGCGCCTCTGTGACACATGTGGCTGTCCCATTTACCTGTGCTAACCACACTGAGTACAGCATCTGTCTCTTGATGCCCCTGCTGAGAGCTCTGCTAGATGCCTGGGGCGCCAGAGACCAGCGGCGTCTTCCACATCCAAATCTTCACTGTGTTTGAGGAGTTGCCTTTCATCCCCTCCAACCCTCCCATGGGCTCTCTCCTTTCTTCTCAAGCAGTCATCCTCTCATTGCTCGCGCGCCCTTGCATGTGCGTTACCAAACGCAGACCGAAATCACAGTCGCATCTCAGCCGGGCTGCCATCACCCCATGCTTCCAGGAGGACTCGCCCCACTCTATATACACTTATCTTGGGCCTGCTGCCTTGAAAACATCTGGCCTTTTGTGAGCTCAGTTAAGAGGCTGCTGCCTGTATCTGTTTAGCATAAGTTGAAACTGTAAAGTCATCTGCCTTGATGTGGAAACTTCTGGAAAACCAGAATTAGGCTGATGTAGTCTTCTGTAATGTTGATGTCTACCATGGGCTAAGTGTCGTGCTGGTTGCTTTGTGAGCATTCCCTTGTTCATCCGCTCAACCATCGCGGGAAGGACTGTGATTCCATTCCGCTGGTGAGGAAACACATACAGGTTCCCTAACTTGCTGGAGGTCACACAACTCCACATGGTGGAAGTGGGAGTGTCACCCAGCTCAGTGTGTGGGTAAAGTTCATGCTTTTTGCACTAACGTGGTCCTCTCTGTACGCCGAGTGAGCCACCCAAATAGGATGGCGGGGATCAACCATGATAAAAGGAGGAGTGACTGTCTTGACTGGATCATTCCCACCAGCCAACTAACACGCAGTGCTATCTCCCAGCTCAAAAAATAATCGTTTCCTAAAAAACAATTTTTCTTTTTTAATAGCAATACGGTCTTCCAATGTTGCCAAGGCTGGTCTTGAACTCCTGGGCTTAAGTGATCTCCTGACTTGGCCTCCCAAAGTGTTGGGATTACAAGTGTGTGCCACTGTGCTCAGCCCAATAAACTTTTTAATTGAAATTTTTGTTTTTGTTCTTATTTATTTATTTGAGATGGAGTGTCACTCTTGTTGCCCAGGCTGGAGTGCAATGGCGTGATCTTGGCTCACTGCAACCTCCGCCTCCTGGGTTCAAATGATTATCTCGCCTCAGTCTCCCGAGTAGCTGGGATTACAGGCGCCTGCCACCACACCCAGCTAATTTTTGTATTTTTAGTAGAGACGGGTTTCACCATGTTGGCCAGGCTGGTCTCGACCTCCTGACCTTGGGTGAGCCACCCACCTCAGTCTCCCAAAGTGCTGGGATTACAGGCGTGAGCCACAAAGACCAGCCTTGTTCTTTCTTTGAGACATGGTCTTGCTCTGTCACTCAGGCTGGAGTGCAATGGAGCAGGCTTGACGTCCTGGGCTCATGATCCTCCTACCTCAGCCTCCTTAGTATTGGGACCACAGGTGTGCATCACCATGCCTGGCTTTTCAAGTTTTTTTTAGAGATAGGGTCACCCTATGTTGACCAGGCTGGTCTTAAACTTCTGAACTCAAGTGATCCACTGGCCTTCGCCTCCCAAACTGCTGGGATTACAAGCGGAGCTACTGAGCCTGGCCTAGCTTCTTCTTGATGCCTTTTCTCACACCTCACATCCAATCCATCAGCAATGCCTGTTGGCTCTACTTTAAAAATAGGCCCCCAGACACCCCTGACAATCCACCACTTTCCTTTTTATTTGTTTTTAGAGTTGGGATCTTGCTTTCTTGTGAAGGCTGGAGTGCAGTCGGGCGATCATAGCTCACTGCAGCCTCGAACTTCCAGGCTCAAGCGATCTTCCTGCCTCAGCGTCCAGCTGGGACTACAGGCACGTGACACGTCTCCTGGCTAATGTCACCATACTCTTTCTTGACCAATCTACACCGCCACATTGGCTTCCTTGTTTTTCCTCCACCTTGGACCCTGACTTGTTTTATTTTCTACCTCTAAGGGTTTTACACACACACACACACACACACACACACACACACAATTTACATGTGTTATCTGTTTCTCCTACAAAATACAAGCTGTATGAAGGTGGGGACTTGTTCACTGCCACGTTCCCAGCACCAGGCACTTAGCTGGTGCTCAGTAAATACATATTGATTGATGGAAGAAGTGAACACTCATGTGCAGGTTCCTACACTCAACGCCCTGTGGCATCTCAAGCACAGTAAAAGCTCTGGACCTAGTACCAGGGATGTAGCCAGAGGAGCTGAATCTCCATTTCCAGTGTTTCCTAGAGTGTGTCTTCCTGCACAGGGAGGCCGAGATACAGGACACTGAGGCCAGACGGCAGAGCAGGAAGCATGTGGCTGACATAGGGGTGACGTGCCAGAGCACTGCTGACCGCCGCTCCCTGCCAGAAGAGGATTAACAATAATCCCAACCATTCACCCAGAGCTTTACCGTTTACAAAAGTGTTGTCACATCCGATATTGCATCTGGGCCATACAGCTGCCCCAGAAGGTGAGCAGAGGGAGGACTATGATCCCCATTATACAGATGACAACCCCGAGGTGCTGAAGGTTAAGTGTCTGGCCTGTGGCTGCACAGCAAGTGGTTGAGCCAGGTGCCAAGCCAGGACTTCTCGTCCCACACCTGCCACTGGGTCCTGCCTAGAGCAATTTTTATCAAGTGAGACCTCTGGGACAGAATGGGCAAATTTCCATTGTCTGAACAAACCAAGTAAAAAAAACCATGAATCATTTATTCTTTGGTTGTCTACACAGACACTTAAGTACTGTATCGCTGTCATGCAGCGGCCTGTGGAGGCCCCTGGGGGTGGCTGGGCCTGTGTCCTGAGCCCTCAGCCAGATCCAGGGGGTGCGGTGTCTGGTCATGTCCACTCCAAGAGCAGTAGCACCATGTAGAAGGCTGTGAGCAGGGTCCCCTCGGCTGAGTGGCAGATGTAGGCTCACTGCTCTGCAGCCCCGAGGGGCTGGCCAGCTCAGAGTGCAGAAGAGTTCCTCTCCATGGGTCTAGTCACCCATCCGTCTGACCTGGACGCTGTCATAGCTCATCCTTGGGCTTCGATTCACTGCCTGAGAGAGACTCTTGTGCAGGTTCGGGGGGGCCCTGCTGGGCATCCAGGGGCTGCTCCTGGGAGAGGTCCATCTCTTCTGGGCTGAAGAGCATCTTCACCAGGTCATCTGCCTGCACCCTGTCCTGCAAGGACAAACCCCTGCCCATTCAGAGAGGCCTCCGCTCCAGACACTCGCTATCTCTCAGCTGCTACTTCCCAGGGGACAAGGAAGGTTCCTTAATGGCCCCAGGCTCATCTCCTTCCCAGCAGGTCCTACTCTCTGGAAAAGGACAGCTGAAGTGGGGCCCAAGGAGGGAACCAAGAACTCAGCATCGCTCCCTGTCTTGACCTCTTTCCCCACCTGGATCCCGTTCACAGCAGGCCCAGGGAGGACAAGGCAATGTGACCATAATGACAGGGCGTTGGAGCTGGTGTCCCAAGTGCTCCTTTCGTGTCTCAGCCACTGGCAATGGGATTTGGGGAAGAGAAAGGCAAACCAAGGGCGCTCTGGGAACGGGTCACCACAGCACCAGCTGCTCTCACCCGCTCGAGCTGCTCTCACCCGCTCGCTGTGTCGAGGGTCCAGGGTGAACCACAGGGCGATGGCACAGCGCTGCCCCCTGGTGACAGCCTTCACTCCATGTGGGTTTTCAGTGCCTGAAGAGAATCCCACGGCTCTTCCACACTGAGGCTGCACCTCTGCCTAAGGGGGACAGAAAGGGAGGGGGGTTGCACAGGACAAAGACTGTAATCCACTCTCAGAAGAGACATGGGCTCATTAGGGCTCACGACCGAGGGCAGCTCTTCAGTATGGCTTCCCTAAGACCAGAACTAAAGAGAAAGGGTGACTGGTTAGAGGAGTGATGGACACGTCTCAAAGCCCCTCTGGATGGGGGAAGGGTACCGCCCACTGGGAAGCCCAGTTGGTTATTTTTGTCCACTGCACTTTGGGAACATCAGCTGTAGAAAACAGACTTTTTATCTCCCAGGGACAAGGACAAGGGAGCACTCACCGTCACGGTCTTGGCATCCAGTTCAGTGAAATAAAAGTTTCCGCCATCGAAGTCCCCATTTAGGTAAAGGATGGCGCTGGGAAAGGCAGAGACATCTCATCATGGCCCTTCCCTGCCTCCCTTTCCCCTGAGCCTTCACCTCCAGGTGCTCTCAACCAGCAGCAGGAGGGTGGCTTTGTGTGGGAGGGAAACCTTTAAGAACCTATACTGATGCCGTACAAACTCCACCTTTCCACTCTCCACCCTCGCCTTAGAGTCCCCTGTGCCCACTCACACTACCGTTCTTGTCACACCACGATATGATTCCCTCTTTGCCTATCTTCTTATCCAGCGGGTTTGGGGATAAAGGATTGGACTCTGGGAACAGCTAGCCCCAACCAGTGTGTGTGTGCTAGGGTGGGGTAGTAGAGTGCAGGGCACTGTGGGGCCTCTGAGGAGGGCACAGACCTCCTCACCCTGCACCTGCCCCGCACTCACCTGTAGTCGCGGAAGGTGTAGGCTGGGGGCTCTTTGACACACACGAGGGTCTCGGCATTCAGGATGCAGTTGTCCACGTGGACTGGATGACTATCATCCTTCCTCTCTGCCTGGACCTCTGGGGCCAATGTCACACATGTTAGCAAGGGAGCACCTCGGGAGACGGCATAGCTCTCTTCTTGGCAGGGGAGGTGCTTCCCAAAATGTGTTTGAGTCTACGGAATGCCCAATGAACTAGGGGGGTGTCTTTGGCTAAGCCACAAGCCTAGGGGTCAGGACAAGTCTGCAGGCTTCCTAGGACAGTTCTTGGCAGAAGTGAGCAGGGTGTGGCAAGCAGGAATGAAGGGCTCCAACCAAGGGCAGATCCTGGGCAGAATGGCACAACCCTGGTTTGTAGCTGGACTTTACAAAATACAAAGGCCCAGGGAAGTGAGAATGAGGGATCAGGAGGTGGGACGGACGCAGGGCAGAGTGGGTCAGTCCTCCATCAGGACTGCAGGAGATGGGGCTGAGTGGCAGGAAGTGGGGCAGAGAAGAGCTGGCTAGCAAAGGGAAAGCATGAACTTCAGTGGGGCTCTGGGGTGGGGTGGGTGGAGAAACCATGCAGGGAGAAGGTCACGAAAGGGAACAGACCGGGCTCACTGTCAAATGCCAGGCAGACCACGTCTTTCCCCAACGCAAACCTTTGGCATGCTCTATGTAGGCACCGTCACGTCGTGGTGGGTGCCTCCTTCTCCATTCCCACTTGTCCAGCCAGTCACCAGGTCCTGTCCATCCACCTCCTGCACCTTCCCGGGGCCTCACTTCTCCCTCCTCCCACTGCCACTTCCTGAGTTTAGGGCTTTGCCCTTGTCCACAGAGGTCATTGCTGACCAGCTTCCCTTTTTGGTTTGAAATCTCTCCACACACACAGCAGCAAAATGAATCCTTTAAAAGTCAAGGCCTCACCACGTCCTTCACTGCTTGATGAGGCCTCCCTGGCCTCCTGGCACCTGTGCTTGTGCTCTCCCACCGGGGGCTTGTGACACACCCAGTTGTGTGTCTGACTGGTCCCTTTGGGTGTGCCCAGATTGTGACAGAATTCCAAACATTCTGAGGTAGAGGAAAGCCCTCTGATCTGTGCCACGTACCAATGGCCATCACTGCCAGGGGCCTGCTGGAGGCTCCAGTATGACAGAGCCGGCTCTGGGCCACATAGGATCCTTGCAGCACTAGCTGAACCTCTCCCCTTCTTGGACATGCAAAAGGGAATGTGGGTGGGCGAGGGAATGAGGAATAACCTCCAGGCCACTCTCACTTGTAAATCACGAAGCTCTCTCACAAATTTGGTATTTAACAATTAGTAAAAGAGAATCTGCCACATAGCTATGGTTGAGCTAAAGGATAAAAATTCCCTTGAATGTAGCTCTCCAGGATTTGGCACCTTTCTTAGTTCCCCTGACTACCAGGCTGCACAATGCCTCCACTCCTGTGCAAACACCATCCCACCACCCGGAGTACTCCGTAATCGTATTCATCCTGCAAAACTGCCATTGCTTCCTCTGGGAAGCCTTCTTTTTGTTGTTGTTGTTGTTGTTATTATTTTTGCTTTTAACAAGCCCTTCTGTTGAGGGCTGTCTTTCAACAGATGGCAGCGAGGGAGCTGCTCAGCTATGTATGAAACCCTAACCCGGAGGCAGGTCCTCTATGAATGGTTTAGCACCAGCTTCCCCATTAAAGTGCGTTGTGTGACAAGTGACGGGTGGCCCCCTTTCTGGCTGCACCCCATTTCCCTCTGGGAAGCCTTCTTGATCCCCAGGTAGGTTGACTATAACTTCCTCCATGCTACTGTGGCATGCATCACACTGGGATGCCACCCATGTATTTACATTGGTTCCCCAACTGAAGAAAAGGGACCGCATCCTGTTCTCTCTGTGTCTTCAGCATCCAGCACAGAGCTGAGGTACAGCATGCGGGGGCGGGTGCTGCAGGGGTAATGAGGCCCACCTTCGATGGCAGTGCGGCACACCAGATGAGAGTAGGAAAAGTAGAGGGGCGTATCCAGGCGGAAGTAGGACTCCATGATGCGCCGCACCTTCTCCGTCACGTTGTAGTACAGGTGGGCACTCTGCAGAGGAACTTTGCCTTCTTGCCCCAGCTGCCAAGGAGACAGATGGTCAGCTGCCCTCAACGACTGATATGGTTTGGCTCTGTGTCCCTACCCAAATCTTATCTTGTAGTTCCCATAATTCCCATGTGTTGTGGAAGGGACCTGGTGGGAGATGACTGAATAATGGGGGTGGATCTTTCCCGTGCTGTTCTCATAATACTGAATAAGTCTCACGAGATCTGGTGGCTTTAAAAAAATGGGAGTTTGCGTCCGGGAGGTGAGGGGCGCCTCTGCCCGGCCGCCCCTACTGGGAAGTGAGGAGCCCCTCAGCCCGGCCAGCCACCCCGTCCGGGAGGGAGGCCGGGGGGGGTGGTCGGCCAGCCGCCCCGTCCGGGAGGGAGGTGGGGGGGTCAGCCCCCCGCCCGGCCGGCCGCCCTGTCCGGGAGGTGAGGGGCGCCTCTGCCCGGCCGCCCCTACTGGGAAGTGAGGACCCCTCTGCCCGGCCAGCCGCCCCGTCCGGGAGGGAGGTGGGGGGGTCAGCCCCCTGCCCGGCCAGCCGCCCTATCCAGGAGGTGAGGGGCGCCTCTGCCCGGCTGCCCCTACTGGGAAGTGAGGAGCCCCTCTGCCTGGCCAGCCGCCCCGTCCGGGAGGGTGGTGGGGGGGTCAGCCCCCCGCCCGGCCAGCCGCCCCATCCGGGAGGTGAGGGGCGCTTCTGCCCGGCCGCCCCTACTGGGAAGTGAGGAGCCCCTCTGCCCAGCCACGACCCCGTCTGGGAGGTGTGCCCAGCGGCTCATTGGGGATGGGCCATGATGACGATGGCGGTTTTGTGGAATAGAAAGGCGGGAAGGGTGGGGAAAAAATTGAGAAATCGGATGGTTGCGGGGTCTGTGTGGATAGAAGTAGACATGGGAGACTTTTCATTTTGTTCTGTACTAAGAAAAATTCTTCTGCCTTGGGATCCTGTTGATCTGTGACCTTATCCCCAACCCTGTGCTCTCTGAAACATGTGCTGTGTCCACTCAGGGTTAAATGGATTAAGGGCGGTGCAAGATGTGCTTTGTTAAACAGATGCTTGAAGGCAGCATGCTCGTTAAGAGTCATCACCACTCCCTAATCTTAAGTACCCAGGGACACAAACACTGCGGAAGGCCGCAGGGTCCTCTGCCTAGGAAAACCAGAGACCTTTGTTCACTTGTTTATCTGCTGACCTTCCCTCCACTATTGTCCTGTGACCCTGCCAAATCCCCCTCTGCGAGAAACACCCAAGAATGATCAATAAAAAAAAAATAAATAAATAAATAAATAAATAAATAAAATAATAAAAAATAAAAAATAAAAAAATGGGAGTTTGCCTGCAGAAGTTCTCTCTTTGCCTGCTGCCATCCATGTAAGATGTGACTTGCTCCTCTTTGCCTTCCACCATGATTGTGAGGCTTCCCCAGCCACATGGAACTGTAAGTCCAAGTAAACCTCTTTCTTTTGTAAATTGCCCAGTCTCGGGTACGTCTTTATCAGCAGTGTGAAAACGGACTAACACAACGCCCCTCTTTAGGGGCCAGAGACAATGAGTACCAGGCCCATCCCACGTCCCCACACCCCCACTGAAGCTGCAGCCTCTGCTGCCCACGCCCAATACCCCTACTATATTCCTCTTCCTCCTGTCCTTCTTATCTCTCTTTATGAGCACACTGTGCATCCTGCACAGAAGCACAGCCCTCTAGAATCAGCCTTTCTAAAGAAAGCATTCTCATAGCTTTGGCGAACAGTCTTATCCTGCTCACTTTGTTTTGATTACACTCGGTCTAACAGGATTCAAAAGTGAACCTCACGCAACATAACTCATCCTCGCTTCCTGGCAACAAGAATGTTGGCAGGTGGACCCTCTTCACCTTTCCTGCCACCAGCCCCAACTCTTCCTCAAAGCCTGAGCTTCCCCCTTCCCCACCCCTTTCTCCACACTCTAGAATGCCCAGTGTTGATCTTACCTTGAGGGCTTTGAAGACAGTGACACCATAGAACTTTTCATTGGGAGTATGTGGGGAGGTCTGACCCCGGTAGCCATCTCCTGAGGTTGCTGCCACCTACAAGGCCCAAAACACAAGGTGATGTTAGCCAGGGCAGCTGAGGGCTTGAGAAGAGGTGGTCAACTGTGGCCAGGAAGAGGAAGGCGAAGGCTACCACCCAAGGGGCACTTGGTGGGGGGATGCTGGACCCTTGGGGGAAGGTGCAGTCACTGGGCTTCCCTTACATTGGTCAGTCTCTGCAGCTCCTG
This sequence comes from Homo sapiens, assembly GCF_000001405.40. Lineage (NCBI taxonomy): Eukaryota > Metazoa > Chordata > Mammalia > Primates > Hominidae > Homo > Homo sapiens. Next base: position 42,752,561 of record NC_000001.11, read on the forward strand.
ACACTCGTGGTCAGAGATTACGCCGTCCATCACCACCCGCTGGGAACCATTCAGGAGTTTGGAGTTCATGGTGAGACTGATGCCTTCATACAGCAGGGGGCCACCTGCAAAGCAATGACAAAACTCTAGCTAAATCTAGCAGCAGCTAGACCAAAGACTCTCCATTGGATATTGCCTCCTCGTCACAAATAGAAATTCCAGCTGTTTCCTTTTCACCAGCAAAATCTCCCGCTAGGTCATTTTCAAAGGTAGAATAGTCCAGAGGACAGAACATAGAGCTGAAAGATGAGATTCCCAGTCCCAGCTCCATGACCAAATAGCTGCTGGCTTTTGGGCCATGACACACTCTTGAGGAAACATCAGAAACACAATCCTAAAACATGAGCTCGGGAACGAGGAAGAACTGACTTTGACTCCTAGATCCTCCATTGATTAGCTGTGTGACCTTGGCAAGTTACTTAACCTCCCTGAGGTTAATTTTAATTAATTAAAATGTTCTCATCTGTCAAACAGCATCTACCTTATATGTTTGATGCCAGTATAATGTTAAGAACAAGGAAGGCAAGTTAAAAGCTTAGTACAATATTTGGCATATGGTAAGTCCTCAAAAGTTTGGCTACCATGGTATCATCATCATTATTCATTTAAAATAAGGATCTTGCAATCTGCATGACTCACCTCTCAGTTATAAGAATCAAGAGAAATAACAAAGTGAAAGTGGTCTGAAAACAAAGGAATGCTGGACAAATTCTTTTCATACGCTAATCTTGTTTAATTAACCACTGTTAATTTAAGCAACTATAGGGCAAAGGTCAACATTTCTCTCTTACAGTTCTCATGGTGTTTCTCTGTGCTAGGGACATACTAATACTAGAGACTCAGTTCAACTCCACTTGATAACTGAGGCCTCAGTGTGTACCAGGAACTGTGCCAGATAGGGTGAGAGATGAATCCTAGAAGACAGTACCTGTTCTCTAACAATTATGCAAATAACTAGCATAAGACAGACCATAAATGCCCTAAGAAGTTCAAAAGAAAGGAGGGGACTCCAATCATCTGGGAGGTTAAGAAAGGCTTTACGGCAGGGCACAGTGGCTTATGCCTATAATCTCAGCACTTTGGGAGGCCAGGGCGGGTGGATCACAAGGTCAGGAGTTTGAGACCAGCCTGGCCAACATGGTGAAACCCTATCTCTACTAAAAATACAAAAAAATTAGCCAGGCATGGTGCCACATGCCTGTAATCCCAGCTACTTGGGAGGCTGAGGCAGGAGAATTCCTTGATGATCCCGGGATGTGGAGGTTGCAGTGAGCCAAGATTGCACCACTGCACTCCAGCCTGGGCAACAGAGCAAGACTCCATCTCCAAAAAAAAAAAAAAGAAAGGCTTTGCAGGGTATATCTCAGATGCCCTCATGGGCAGGGATGGTGGGAAGCGTACTAGGAGAGCCAGGCATAAACACAGACTGGTGGGCAGTGGGCGGGCTCACGGAACAAAGTGCAGTCCTGTGTGAAGAGACGGTGTAAACAGGACAAGAGTAGAACATTCGGTTAAGGGGCAGGCACGGAGGATGGGTCAGAGGCCAGTGTCTGGAAGACTGGCCTAGCTACCTTGTGTGGGCAGGGGCAAGGACAGGCCAGACGGGGAAAGGGTGGGTGCAGATAGGAGGTGCCAGGGCCTGAAGGAAGCCTGAGGCAATGAAAAACGGAAAAGGCTGGGGAGAGAGCTGAGAAGCACTGCAGAGCAGAGCCACAATCAGTAGGCCTTCCCAGCAGCTTGCAGAAAACGGGCACAGGAGGAAGAGGAGCCAAAGGAGGCCTGAAGGCGTTGAGTCTCAGTAAAGGGACGAATGGTGAAAACCGGGAGAAAACAGTTTGGGAGTGGGGAGACAGGATGAGTTAATACCTATGGAAGTGGACAACACTAGTCACTCATGTTTCTGTGACACAGAAGTCTCATTTCTTTCTTTTTTTTTAAAGATGAGGTCTTGCTATATTGCCCAGGCTGGATTCAAACTCCTGGGCTCAAGCGATCCTCCTGCCTCAGCCTGCCAAGTAGCTGGGATTACGGGTGTGCACCACTACATCCTGGAGTCTGATTTCTGAGCCAAAGGCTGATTCTCAGTGCTCTTTCCAGCTGAAAGTCCCGCTGGTGAGTTAGGAAGGATGTCCACTGAACTTGCACCCTAAGGGTGGCTGGCTCATGGTGAGCTCTGCAATGCTGGGGTGGAGCGCTGCCTGGCAAATGTGGGGTGACCTGCCTGGCTCCCTGACAACAGCCAGACATGCCCCTATTTCTGTCCTCTCACCTTCCCGGGTCAGTCTGCTCACATCCAGTGACTCCTTGGTCTTCTCTTCCACAAGGGTCTCGATTTCCTTCATAAGGTTCCCAATCTCCTGGGAGATGCGTACGGCTGTTTCCCGTTCTGACCTATGAGCACAGCCGCTCTGAGGACTGCATTCCAGGGCCAGCCCTGGGCTCCACCCCGACTTCCCAAACTGGACCTGCCCACCCCTTGCCAGGAGTTCACATCTGCCTGGGCTCAGGAAGCCTCAAGTGCTTCATCAGACTGATCCAACCATGCAGTTTCTTCAAGGTCCTCACTTCTGTTTCTCTTGCAATCTCTTGGGAATCACTTCTTCTGGAGTCCATGAATCCTAAGTAGGTCAGGAAGAAATGAAAAAGGTAAGATGATCTACTTAATCTTCCAGGTGTCTCAATGCATAAAATAAGGCCCACAGGAGTAATCCAGCTTATCACCCTCTTCCTTTCAGGAGACAAAATGGGAGGTTTCCACATCTAAGTCCCTTCTAGCTGCCCAGTGTTCCCCTTTCATCTGTCTCTCATCCCTGCCTTGCACAGATCCCAGGCTAGGCTCAGCCTCCAGCAAGTTTTCTCTCAGAATCGCACAGTGTTCCCCTCCTCCCCATTCATCTCTCCTGCTCACTCTTTCCCCGCTCCCTTCCGGCTCCTGTACCCTAGCTCACCGGATCCACAAAGGGAATTCCAAAAACATCATAAGCGAAGAAAAGCAGTTCTTTTTCCAGTAGGCTTCGCTGTCGGTACTCCTTGGCACTCTGAGGGTAAAAAAGCAAACAAATCCCCCAGAACTCAGCCCTGTCTTTTAACCTCTGGGAGTTCCCCTCCCTGGCACCCCACACTGATGCTCCCATGTGACCTGAGGCCTCCTCTCCCTACCAATGCTCTCTGTCTGTTCCCCAGTTTGAGACAAAAGTCTAATTTCTGTGTCCTCTGCCTGGCACAAGCAACAGTACCTCTGAGGTACTGGAATAACCAGGCTTTCCTTAAGGGAAAAAGCCCTGCTCCTCCCCCATCCCAACCCCCATTAGTCTCTAGGACAGATAATCTGATGATTCTCAAAAGTGGAAATATTCTTCAAAGAAGGAGAATTCCTTCTTGACTTCTACAGGAGTCCACAAAGCAGGAAAAGGAATCAGGCATTAGGCAACTGACATGTTATTCATTTGATCTTTTATAGCCACATCTGAGGTTGATACTAGTATGCTCATTCTACAGAGGAAGCATCTGAGGCACAGAGGAGATGTACCACTGTCTAAGGTGACACTACAGGACATGGGAGAGCAGCGACCTACAGTCAAACCCAGGTCTTCTGTTATCTTTTTCTTTTTTTTCATAGCAGAATGTGCATTTGGACAGATAAAGCCGGGTCTTTACAGTCCTAAAGCCCATGTGCTTTCTGCTCTGCCACCTGCCTCCTCTCAGACCCTAACCAGACCACACCCCTCCCTGAGGATAAGCAGCTAAAGGGGAGGGCCTGGCACTCTGGGCTTCCCACATGGACTCCCAGGCAAGGCTTACCCAGGGCAGGGAAACTGAGTACTTTCCGGGGTCACATCTTTCCCTAGGTGCCCTGCTAATCTCCAAGCAGCAGGAGGAGGAAGGAAGAGAAAAAGGAGACATCAGTTGAAATAAAACATGAGGCAGTTCAAGGAGGAATTAAAGGAGTCAATGAATCCTATGTCATCTACTATATTTACCTAAGAGGAAGAGAGACGTTTTCTCTTCAGGAGTTTACATTACTGGCTTCTGTCACCAAATGCTATGTTATCTCATTTAACCCTCTCCAATGACCCTATAAGGCTGCTATGAAGCAAACCCCACTTCCATCTTTATTCATTCGATGCTGATTTACTGAGTGTCAGCCATGTGTCTGGAGCTGTGCCTGCACTGGGTCCAAGCAGGGAACAGATTCCGGTCACCACTGACTGGCCACAAGCCACTGCACAAGTTACTTCATCTCTCAGATGCTAACAGTCCTCATCCCTAAAGTGGGAAGAAGAGTGCCAACCTTGCAGGGTGGCTGTGATGATTAAATGAGATGATGGATACAGCCCACCCCGCACAGAGCTTCGCCTGGACAGCGGCTCAACAAATGTTAGTTGCCTTCTTTCCAAAAGGGGACTTCTAGTTAAAAATGCTAGATTGGCCACGTGGGTTTATTTCCCCTCACTCCCCTCAGACTCCCCTTAATGGCCATAAGGAAGGCAGGGAAAAGGTATTAACCAAACAAGACAAAAGAGACCGGAAGTGCCATCTTAAAGCCAGATGGTCACCATCTAGTGGCTAAAGAGGACAACTACAATGACAACCCACACAGGAGGGGCAGCAAGAGGCTGTTTCTACTGGAGGCTCTCAGACTCCAGAGCTCGGAAGAAGAGCCTGGGTGTCTCCTTTCAGCGCAGCAGTCTTTGTGTTATACAGATATTTCTCCTGGTTTTGGAGAGAGACAGGGAAAATGCTGAAAGATGGGAGAGAACAAACAATGGCAGGAAGAAGAAGAGATGGGAAAGAAAATGGAGACAGAAAACAGGTGAGCAGAAAAAAAACAACCAGTATTAAGTGAAAAATGATAGCTCTTGGCCAAATAATATCGAGTGTCCAAGTTAGGGGTGCCAAGAGGGGAAAGAATATGCTCACCGCGCAGTTCTGCGGGACTCAGAGAATAGACTTCTGGGCCCAGATAACGCTAATTGAGGCTCCTGTGTACTCCCCACACTCCCTCCCTGTGCTCCCTTCTCCTCTGAATAACAAGCCGAGTGACTGAACTCACATCTGGCCCCAACACTGACATCTGGCCCCTGCCCTGCACGCACAGCGCCTACTCCCCTCTGCTACCCCACTCTTCCGCCCTCAGGTCTGAGTTCAGCTGGCAGCTGTCATAACAGAAGGAAGTCTCTCACCTCACGGGGGCCGATGGATCTGGTGTGTTCTTCTCCAAGCATAGCTGCATAATAGGCCAAATTTTGGTTCATCACCTCGTCATTGGGGAAGAAGAGAAGATAGGTCTTGGCACATTCAACAGCCTGTGTATAATTCCCAACTGCAAAGTGGAAAGAAGAATGGCTGAGAGGAAAGAGTCAAAAGGAAAGGATAAAATCCTAGCACCAGGGACCACTTAGTGTTCAGTCTCCACAAAGCTTGAGGCAATGGCAGCATGACAAGCTGGTGCCTGCTACTTAACATGATGGCCTGATTTCAGGGGCAGGAGTTAAGTAATACACATAGAATGTGTGATTAATTTTAAGGTGAGGTGGTCAATGTCCTCAGGGCTGCCTAACAATGAAACAGAAAAGAATCAGAATTCTCTGCATGCCCACATCTTTTAAGATTCACAAATAATTCCAATACTCCTTAATATTTTGCCTCAATACACTCAATCATTAGATCAATTTCCCTGTCTTCCTACCTTCTTTTTTCTATAGATTTTCAGAAGACAAGGAAGATTACAATAGCAGATTGTCTCTTTGGCAAAATAGTTCTTGTTGATATTTGTTAGTCATCTCAACTCAACTGTAAATATTGTACACTCATCAATATGTTTGTAATGCTTAGCACACAGTAGGGACTCTGCAAAGAGTTGGTTTTCTGGGTATTAATTGGCAGCCCCACAAAAGCATCAGTGCTATACCAGGGAGAGGGCTAGCAAATGTCCTCTGAGCTAGTTTAAACTGTGGCATACCCTTATTTTGCTATTAACTTTAATTCAAAAGCAAAAATAGATTACAAGTTATAGAAGGGACAAGAGATGAGGTCCTAAGTCTCCCTCCCCCAGCTTTTTGGGTTGCTGGTATTGGCTTCCTAGGCCAGTTGTTTATAACAAACTACCCAGGGATCACTTGGCATGGTGCCTCCCATAGCTACTGAAATAAGCCAAACACCTTGAGGAAGTAAGTGGCTGTAATCCCTGCCCACCTTGCCTTTAGCTTCTTAGTTAGCCAGCAGAGAAAGAGGAAGGAAAGTAGGCCTTACTGTTATAGTAGGCAAACTGCAGATAATTATAATGCGATGGGAGGAAGTCTTCAAAGGGCTTCTCTCGACTTGGGTGGGAAGCAAGCTCCGTGACACAGTTCTGCTTACAGTTGAGGACCTGGATGTAATGATCTGAAAGGAATCAAACAGAAGGAATAACTATGAGGTCACTCTTTAGAACTCAAATTCTGGTTAAGATGAACAAATTCAAATGGAAGCAATTTTTCATCAGCTTCTCAGATTTAATAAATTGAGGAATGAGGGTGAAGAGTCCCCATTTATATTATCAGATGGTGACCTTAGAGTCCCAGGAGGCCTGGCTGAAGGTCTGGCTCTGAACTGCACGCACCTGTGATGGCCTGGAAGAGGTCAGCGTTGTACTCAAGGTAGTTGTAGCCATCGTAGTCATAGGGCCCTTCGCAGAGGGCACGGCACTCCTCATAGGCCACAAAGTATTCTTGCAGCGCCGCCTCTAGGTGGGGCACAGCTTCCTGTGGCTGTTCCTCTGAGTAGAGTCGCACTCCCAGTCGAAATTCTTGCTACTGGGAAGAAGGAGCACTCAAATGCAGGCCACAGAGGAGGAACCCTCTCTCCTTGCCCTCAGCCACCTTCACAGGGGTCCTAATTTCCTGTTCCTCAGGTTATGGATGGAAAGGGGTGACCTGGGTACCACTATAAAATGAAGGCCTTTTGTAAATGGTCTTTACAAAATATTTAGCTCTGGAAATTTAAAAACATTTAGCTCTTTTTTTCTTTTTTTGAGACAGAGTCTCACTCTGTTGCCCAGGCTGGACTGCAGTGGCACAATCTCAGCTCACTGCAACCTCCACCTCCTGGGTTCAAGTGATTCTCTTGCCTCAGCCTCCCTAGTAGCTGGGATTACATTGTGCCCAGCTAATTTTTGTATTTTAGTAAAGACGGGGTTTCACCATGTTGGCCAGGCTGGTCTCCAACTCCTAACCTCAAGCAATCCTCCCAACTCGGCCTCCTAAAGTGCTGGGATTACAGGTGTGAGCCACTGTGCCTGGCCAAAAAACATTTAACTCTTAATCTAGATGAAAGATATCTAGGAGTTCATTATGATTTTCTTGTACTTTTCTTCCCCCCCCATTAGTGACAGATTCTTGCACTTTTTTTTTTTTTTTTTTTTGAGTCGGAGTTTCACTCTTGTTGCCCAGGCTAGAGTGCAATAGTGCGATCTTGGCTCACTGCAACATCCGCCTCCAGGGTTCAAGCAATTCTCCTGCCTCAGCCTCCAGAGTAGCTGGGATTACAGGTATGCGCCACCACGCCTGGCTAATTTTGTGTTTTTAGTAGAGATGGGGTTTTGTCATGTTGGTCTGGCTGGTCTTGAACTGCTGACCTCAGGTGATCTGCCCGCCTCGGCCTCCCGAAGTGCTGGGATTACAGGCATGAGCCACCGTGCCTGGCCTAGGTTCTTGCACTTTTTTGTAGGGCTAACAGTTTTCAAATAAACACAACTTACTTTTTGTTTTGTTTTGTTTTGAGACAGAGTTTTTTTTTGAGACAGACAGCCCAGGCTGGAGGGCAGTGGCATGATCTCAGCTCACTGTAACCTCCACCTCCTGGGTTCAAGTGATTCTAGCGCCTCAGCCTCCTGAGAAGCTGGGATTACAGACATACACCACCACACCTGGTTAATTTTTGTATTTTTAGTAGAGACAGGATTTCACCATGTTGGCCAGGCTGGTCTTGAACTTCTGGCCTCAAGTGATCCACTCACCTCGGCCTCCCAAAATTCTGGGATTACAGGCATGAGCCACCACGCCCGGCCAACACAACTTACTTTTTTTTGTGTGTGTGATGGAGTCTCGCTCTGTCACCCAGGCTGGAGTGCAGTGGCACAATCTCGGCTCACTGCAACCTCCGCCTCCTGGGTTCAAGCGATTCTTCTGCCTCAGGCTCCTGAGTAGCTGGGAATACAGGCACACACCACCACGCTCAGCTAATTTTTGTATTTTTAGTAGAGACAGGGATTCACCATGTTAGGCAGGACGGTCTCAATCTCCTGACCTTGTGATCCGCCCGCCTTGGCCTTCCAAAGTGCTGGGATGACAGGTGTGACCCACTGCACCTGGCCACAACTTACTTTTAAAAGTCATTCTTTTTTTTTTTTTTTTTTTGACTGTTGCTCTGTCACCCAGGCTGGAGTGCAGTGGCACAATCTTGGCTCACTGCAACCTCCACCTTCCAGGTTCAAGCTATTCTCCTGCCTCCATGTCGAGTAGCTGGGATTACGGGTGCATGCCACCATGCCTGGCTAATTTTTGTATTTTTAGTAGAGATGGGGTTTCACCATATTGGCCAGGCTGGTCTCAAACTCCTGACCTTAAGTGATCCACCCACCTCGGCCTCCCAAAGTGCTGGGATTACAGGTGTTAGCCACTGCGCCTGGCCTATAAGTCATTCTTATATTGTTTCTAACATTCCTATTTTATAATTAAAATGTAAGGAACCATAAACTCTCTATAAAATGCTATATCATCACAGACAGTCCCTCCTTTGGAACTTTTCCTGCTAAACAAATAGAATGAGAACATTGAAGGATACTGTAACATTTATTGTAGTGAAAATCAAAAACATACATGACCAAAAAAATGTGACTAGTGAATTAATATAGTCTCTGCATAAGATGGACTATCATGCAGCCATAAACAATTATGTTTTCAAATAAAACTGAAGACATGAGAAAAGACTCATGATAATAATGTTAGTTAAAAAATGATGATGGGGCTGGCCATGGTGGCTCACACCTGCAATCCCAGCACTTTGGGAGCCCAAGGCAGTAGGATCGCTTGAGGCCAGGAGTTTGAAATCAGCCTGGGCAACACAGTGAGACCCCGTCTCTACAAAAAATAAAAACAATAGCTGGGTATGGTGGTGCATGCCTCTAGTCCCAGCTATTTGTGGGGCTGAGGCGGGAGGATCACTTGAGCCCAGGAGGTCAAGGCTGCAGTGAGCTATGATCACACCATTGCACTGCAGCCTGGACAACAAAGTGAGACCCTGCCTCAAAAAAAATAAAAAAGATGATAAAAAATGCATACATGATATAACACCAAATTAGATGAAAAAATTATATACGGAAGACTTAAAAAATAGGGCAAAATATAAACTGGTTTTCTTAAGGTGGCGGTATTACAAATGATTACTTTTTATTTTATACTTACCTACATTTCTACAATGTTATACAATGAACATTCATTACTTCTGTAATGTAATTAGAAAACAACCTTAGTAATGTCATTTAAAAAAAAACAAAAGAATGCATGCCTGTAGTCCCAACTACTCAGGAGGCCGAGACTAGAGGGTCTCTTGAGTCCGGGAATTTGAGGTTACAGTGAGCTATGATCAAGCCACTGCACTCCAGCCTGGGTGACAGAGCAAGACTCTGTCTCTAAAATAAATTTAAAAAGAAAGAAAGAAAGAAGGGGATAAAGTTTTTTTCACCATATGGGGTTGAGTCTCAAGATCCTTGAAGTCGGCCTCCTTCACTCCAGACATGGTTTGGTAATAGTCTAGGTTCTGCTGCATTTCCATGTGCTCAGGATTGCCCACGAAGAAGGTGTGTGCTGCAGCAACAGCTTTCTCCAACTTGTTGATCTAAGAATGAAGCATGAGAAGGTGGATAATGCTCACATCCAATCTCTGAACGTTTGTGTCCACATGAGCAGTCCACATAAACAGGAAATCCCTGCCTCCCTGAGCCCTCCACTCAGCGTGCCCAGCCCCTGCCAGCCCCAGGAAGCACACCTATTGCAGGAACTACCCACGACAGATTAGGAGCATAGTGCCCTGGGCAGATTTGTAGCTCTTTCCCAAGTCAGATTTAGGGGTTCCCCAGATTACAGGAAGTAGCAATGTTCCATTTTAAAACAAAGGTCATATTGTATGGGGAGTGCTGTGAAAGACTGACTGCCCACATAATATGTTTTCATGCTGGGTGCGGTGGCTCAGGTCTGTAATCCCAGCATTTTTAGAGGCCGAGGCAGGTGGATCACTTGAGCTCAGGAGTTCAAGACCAGTCTGGGCAACATGGTGAAACCCTGTCTTTACGAAAAATACAAAAATTACATGGTACTATATGCCTGTAGTCCCAGCTACTCTGCAGGCTGAGGTGGGAGGACGCTTGGGCCTGGGAAGCAGAGGTTGCAGTGAGCCAAGATGGTGCCACAGCACTCCAGCTTGGGTGACACAGCAGGACCCTGACTCAAAAAAAAAAAAATACATATATATATTTCATGAATCAAATGTAATGCCTGAGCTGAAGAAATTCTGTGGCTTCAAGGATTTAGGGGTAGAGAAAAAAGAGCAGCTAACAGACTATGCCTAAGAATTTTCCTAGAAAAAAATTTTTTTTTGCATAAAATAAAATGAAGAATTTTTGAGACATTTAGGGAAAAGGTGGATGGCTAAAAATTCTAAGGTCCTTTACTAAGTCCAGACATAGTATTTTCTGACTCAAAGCTCAGGGCTCATGAGGTTCAAACAAATAGCTCTAAGAAATCTGAGGGGGTGGTCGGGGGCGGTAGCTCATGCCTGTAATCCCAGCACTTTGGGAGGCCGAAGGGGGCAGATCTCTTGAGGTCAGGAGTTTGAGACCAGCCTGGCCAACATGGTGAAACCCCGTCTCTACTAAAAATACAAAAATTAGCTGGGCGTTGTGGCGCACACCCGTAATCCCAGCTTCTTGGGAGGCTGAAGCAGGAGAATCGCTTGAACCCGGGAGGCGGAGGTTACAGCGAGCCGAGATCACAGCACCATACTCCAGCCTGGGTGACAGAGCGAGACTCTTGTCTCAAAAAAAAAAAAAAAAAAAAAAAAAAAAGAAATCCAAGGGGGGAGAAATAGGCTACAGACCACAATGCCCACAGCAATGGACTCCAGCATGTCAAAGTAACACAGGTTTCATATATAGAATCCAACCAAATAAATCACTGATGATCTAGTAATTAACTATGTGGACACTGGTATCAAAGAGACCAGCCGTGGCCAGGCACGGGGGTTCACGCCTATAATCCCAGCACTTTGGGAGGCTGAGGCGGGCGGATCATGAGGTCAGGAGTTTGAGACCAGCGGATCATGAGGTCAGGAGTTTGAGACCAACAATAGCTGGGCGTGGTGGCATGTGCCTGTAATCCCAGCTACTCAGGAGGCTGAGGCAGGAGAATCGCTTGAACCCAGGAGGCGGAGGTTGCAGTGAGCCGAGATCGCACCATTGCACTCTAGCTTGGGCAACAAGAGCGAAACTCCGTCTCAAAAGAAAAGAGGGCTGGGTGCGGTGGCTCACGCCTGTAATCCCGCACTTTGGGAGGCCGAGGCAGGTGGATCACAAGGTCAGGAGATCCAGACCATCCTGGCCAATATGGAGAAACCCCATCTCTACTAAAAATACAAAAATTAGCCGGATGTGATGGCACGTGCCTGTAATCCCAGCTACTCGGGAGGCTGAGGTAGGGGAGTCACTTGAACCAGAAAACCAGAAGTCAGAGGTTGCAGTAAGCCAAGGTCGCCACTGCACTCCAGCCTGGCAACAGCGAGACTCCATCTCAAAAAAAAAAAAAAAAAAAAAGAAAGAAAGAAAAGAGACAGGCCAGCATCACATCTGGGCTTAATGACTCACTGACTGGCTGGGCAGTAGACAAGATACTTAAAGTTTACTTTCTAAACTCAGTTTCCCTAATCTATCATCTGGAGATAGCATTCTCTAGCTATCTCCTAGCATTGTTGAGAGTTCAACGAGATAATATGCAGCCTGTAATACATGGTGCTGGGCACAGATTAAGTGCTCAATAAATTTTAGGTGGTATGATTAATATGCTAAGAAAACTTATTTTCTTATCATTGGTACTAGTAAAGGCACACTAAAGGAGTCAGCCCTGGTTAGGTGACCCAAGGTAAATAACTCCCCATCTCTGTACCTCAGTTTCTTTAACTGTAAAATTAGAAATTTTTTCAGGTCTGTCCCTTTCATGGAATTACTCTAGCTCTTGTGTCTTTCAGCGCTGCTCCTGCCTTTCTCTGTTCTCCCTCATGTCCTCACTCCTCTCTCCACCCCCAGCCTTCTTTACTCTCTAAGCACTGAGGTACTTAACCTCCTCTCTTGTGGACAAATGTCTGCCTCCTAATCAAGTGCCACCACTTTCTCCTTCTTCCAAGGCTCATTCACCATGGCTTCCAGAATAAGCGTTTTAAAACCCAAATCTGAGGATGGCTCCCTGCAGTCCGCAGAATTCTCTTCCAAATCTGGCCTCACTGACTTTTCTAGCCGCCTCTCCTACTACTCCCCACACACATCTCGACATTGCAATCACAAGAGTTCATTTTTTTTCCTGAATACATCATGCTTTGGTTCTACTTTTCTCTCTATCTGGAGGAGCCTTCTTTCCTCTCCCCCTGGCAATACTTAGGGCAGGCTTCAATATTACCTCTTCTTTGAAGTCTAATTTCTCTGAGATAAAGCTAGAGTCTCCCTCCTTTGTGCTCCCGCAGCCCTAAGTATATGCCCTTGCAGTAGCCCTTACTACAGTAACTCTTAACAGCAAAGCAAGACAAAGCAAAGACGTTAGTCGAGCATTTAATTACTTGTACAAGAACTGGAATGCAGTAGGTATGCAATACATGTTTGTCAAATAGTTTTAGAAAGTGCTATGATGAAGCGACATAACCAAAGACATAACGCAATTATTTTGATTTCAAGTCCAGCGCTCTTCCGAGTAACTAGGAAAAATGAGGGGAACTGTGTAGGCAGAATGCTGTGGAGGGGTGGAAATCTGAGGTCCCCAAGAGTCTCTAAGTGTCTCTTTAGATCGAATCGAAGGTCTTTTAAACAACAGATATACCAGATATAATGCACAACTCTTTCTCCCCCCACCCCCAATACAGTGGGACTAATAACAGCATCTACCTGACAAGATATTATGAAGATTAGGGCAAATGCGTTAATAAATGCAAACTGCTTAAAATAGTGCCTGGAAGTATGTGCTGGCTATCATCATCATCATCATCGTCACCATCACCACCACCAAACAAGCCTGGAACGCTCCAAGCCCAAGTGTACACTTGGACACATGGCACTCTGGCATTCCGAAAAATACTCATTTTCTTTGTAAACCTGGCAGACTAGCCAGAGGGTCCCCCCCCCGCCCCCACACACACACAGAAAGGGCCAGGCAGCCCCTGCTGGCGACGTGGCAACCTCACATCCTGAAAGAGAGCTGCTGAATCAAACAGCAGGAAAAGCACCACTGGAAAACCAACCGGAAGGGAGATATTGTAGACCGCTACTAGCTTCTCACTCGGACACTTACAATGACATCAGAATGGGAGACCCAAACTGCCGCTTTAATTCCTTCCAGGAGATTTCCCAGGGAACAAAATGGCCATGAGTTTTGCTTGGCCTGTGCCCTAACCCCAGGCTGGACCTTTGGGGTTAGCATCTGCCCATGCGAACTGGGCGAGGAAGGTCTCCTGCCAGGGAGCAGCTCTCCCCGGCTCCGAGGAGAGCTCCCCAGCCAGGAGGCCACTTTCCCCTCCCTGCGGACACTTCCCCGATCCCCCAAGCTCCTCAGGTCCCCTGCAACACTCCTCTCCCCAGAAGGACCCCGGCCGCCTGGTTCCAGGCAGGTCTGCACCTTGAAGTAGGCGACCTGCAGGTAGTTGTAGGGGCTCCGCTTGCGGAACTCCAGCTCCATCTCTTCGCTGAGCGAGTGGGCGGCCGGCGGCCCGAGGCAGCGGCGCAGGCAGGCAGCGCGACGCAGAAGGCCCCCGAAGAAGCTCAGGTCGCGCAGGGCGGCGGCGCCCGAGGCCTGGGCCGGGCTGGGGGACCAGTCGGGGTCCAGCTCCCACGGGAAGTCGGCGGCACACTGGGTGCGGCAGCGCAGGCGAAGGGCGCGGAGGGCTGCCCGGGAGCGCAGCGCCCGTTCCATGCTCAGGACCACCCCGGGCCAGTCCCCGCGCGCGTAGGCTGCGGTCCCCTCGGCGAAGAGCAGATCAGGCGTCACCATGCCCCATCCTGCCTCGGACTCGACCTCGGCTTGGGAGGCAGCGGCCACGACAGCCAGCAGTGTGGTCAGCAGCTTCAACGCGCGTACCGCCATCGCTCCCTCAGACCTAACGGAACCGCCAGCCACCCGCCACCAAGGCCGGAGTCCTACCCCCGGCGAAGGCCCGCCCCCGGGCGAAGCCCCACCTTCCAAGCCGGGCGGCGCATGCCCACGAGGCTTGCACCGCCTCTTTTCCTTTCAGTCAGCCCGGATCCCCCCACCGGCCCTCAGCGAATCCCGGCGCGTCAGCCGGAGCCCCGCCTCCGAGCTCAGGCCTTGCTCAGTCGAACTGACGCCCAGTAGACAAGAAAGACGGAAGCTCCGCCCACGCGCCTTTATGCGCAGGCTCTTCCTACTCGCACAGCCCAGGGAGTGGGGAGGATAAGGCGCTGTCATGGAGGACGCCGCCGCGCCGGGGCGGACCGAGGGGGTCCTTGAAAGGCAAGGAGCGCCGCCAGCTGCAGGCCAGGGAGGTATGCGGGGCGGGAGTCAGCAGGGGGAAGTCAGCTCCCGCGAGGCAGCCGGTCTCGGGGCTCCGCGGGAGGCCGACGGCGGGAGCTCACGGCTTGTGTTCCTGGGTGTGTGTCGCAGGAGCCCTGGTGGAGCTCACCCCGACCCCCGGCGGCCTGGCCCTGGTGAGCCCCTACCACACCCACCGGGCCGGGGACCCCTTAGACCTCGTGGCGCTCGCAGAGCAGGTGCAGAAGGTGAGGAGGCGCGGCCGGGGCAGCGAATAACCATCTTCGTTCACGTTGTACTCTGCGTCTTTCGGCTCAGACCTCACTACCACCTATGGTGGGGGTGGCATTTGCTCTTGTCTCCATTTTACAGACGAGTAAAGCCGACTGTCATTGTGAGTCGGTGGCCTGATTCGAATGACCTTCTGGGACCAAAGGTTCCTCTAACTGCAACTTGAGTGCCCATAATCTTCCTTCGTGGGAAGGTTTACACAACACTTTAGTGTTCATTATTTCATTTGCACCTTAGGACAGCCTTGTGAGGTAGGCAGTACAGAGTTATTCTTCCCATTTGACACAAAGAAAAGTTCTTCGGGAAGTTTCAAGGTCCGCTTATTTTAAGCTGCTTCCCATAAGATCTTTGTTACCTGAGAGTTTAAACATCTTCTAGCAGGGCAAGGACTCCAAGTTTAGTCCTCATTAAACACAGTATTCCCAAGCCCAGTGTTTATATATGGATGGCCAAAATAAGTCAAATAAGGAGGAAATGTGAAATAATGGAAAAAACACTGGAAGTTTGGACACATGAGTATTAATCCCACTTTTGATACTAACTTGCAGTGCGACTTAAGGCAGATTACTTCTCTCTGGACCTCAACTATTTTATCTGTGAAGTGAAAGGTTTGAAGTAGTAGAGCTCCAAGATCTAAAGTTTTGTCATTATTCAATGAAAAACCAGATTCCTTCTTATCTCTTATCAAGACTTCCAGTTGTACACCCTCTTCAGTGTCCACAGATGGAGGGTCCTGCTGTTTTAAAGATTATCATGGCCCCTTATCCCTGTATACACTATCAGATTTGGCCTTGATTATGTTCCAGGGTCTTTGCTTTGCCCAAAATTATTTAATGTGCTCAAATTCCCTCACATCTCTTTTTTTTTCAATGATCCTAGAAATCCTTCGAATCCTTTTTTTTTTAAAATTAAGAAAAATTCAGATACGCAGAAAGCTCCTTTAATTCAAAACTTGGCTTTCTTCTTTTTGAAGAGCTGGGGAGCAAAGTGCAACTTTTATTTATTAAGAGAATATGCATCTAGTTAATCAGATTACTCTTATTGGGAGGGAGGTTGGCAGGGACAGAATCTTGTGCACACAACGTATTCATGTGCTATTGAATGACTATCGTGTTTATTACGATGGCCTGAACAGATGGAAGAAAGAACACAGTTTTTGTCTTTCATCCTATAATCTTATGAAATACAGAGGATGCATTATTATGCTGCCTCTGTTTCCCCAATACAATCTGTATTTGAGAAGCTGAAGAAAAAAAAAACTTTAGAGACAAACAAATTGAATCAAACATATTAACTATCTAAAATGTACTTTTTGGCCAGGTGCCGTGGCTCACACTTGTAATCCCAGCACTTTGGGAGGCCAAGGTGGGTGGATCATTTGAAGTCAGGAGTTCGAGACCAGTCTGGCCAACATGGTGAAACCCCGTCTCTACTAAAAGGTGTGGTGACTCATGCCTGTAGTCTCAGCTACTCGGGAGGCTGAGGCATGAGAATCGCTTGAGCCCAGGAGACAGAGGTTGCAGTGAGCCGAGATCGCACCACTGTACTCCAGAATTGGTGACAGAGTGAGACTCTTAAAAAAAAACAAAAAAATGAGGCTGGGTGTGGTGGCTCACGCCTGTAATCTTAGCACTTTGGGAGGCTAAGGCGGGAGGATTGCCTGAGCTCAGGAGTTGGAGACCAACCTGGGCGACATGTGAAACCCTGTCTCTACTAAAATACAAAAAATTAGCCGGGCATGGTGGTGTGTGCCTGTAGTCCGAAGCTACTCTGGAGGCTGAGGCGGGAGAACTGCTTGAACCTGGGAGGCAGAGGTTGCAGTGAGCTGAGATCACACCACTGCACTCCAGCCTGGGTGACAGAGCAAGTCTAAAAAGAAAAAAAAATGGTGGTGGGCTGGGTGCAGTGGCTCACGCTTGTAATCCGAGCACTTTGGGAGGCCAAGGCGGGTGGATCACGAGATCAGGAATTCAAGACCAGCCTGGCCAACATAGTGAAACCCTGTCTCTACTAAAAATACAAAAAATTAGCCGGGCATGGTGGCAGACGCCCGTAATTCCAGCTACTCATGAGGCTGAGGCCGGAGAATCACTTGAACCTGGGAGGCAGATGTTGCAGTGAGTGGAGATTGTGCCACTTCACTCCAGCCTGGGTGACAAAGTAAGACTCCGTCTCAAAAAAAAAAGTACTTTTTTAGCAAGACTGACCCAGGTATTGGTGTGTGTTCAGAAAGCTCAGGAGGCCTGGTATTAAGGCATGAATTTTGGAATCTGACCTGTGTTCAGATCCTTTGCTGTTTATTATCTGTGAAACCTTGGACAGGTTGCCTCATGTCTGTGAGTCTTAATTGCTAAAATGAGAAAGTGAGGTTATCATCTCCAGCGTCATAAAGGTGTTGTGAGAAGTAAATGAGATGAATGTAAAGGGCCTCAGAGTAGTTGAGGCCAGGGTTAGTGCTTAGTAGTTGTAGGTACTCTTCCCTTCCTTTCTTTTTTATGAGGCTCTTTTGTTTTTAAGTTGTTCGTGAAATATTTTGCATTTTTTTTGTTTGTTTCTTTTTTCCTTTTTTTGGACCTCAGACTAATCCATATTTTGCATTTTATATTAACTCTTCAAAATATAAATTCAAATTTTGTTTATGAGATTTATTGCTAACACCTTAAGAAAAGGGAGGGTTATTATAAGGCCACCCCTAATCTGGAACTACCTTAGCTCTAGAAATACCTACTCTCTCCTTGGCCATATATGGCTCCTCCTTTCTTTCTTTCTTTTTTTTTTTTTTGAGATGGAGTTTCGCTCTTGTTGCCCAGGCTGGAGTGCAATGGCGCCATCTTGGCTCACAGCAACCTCTGCCTACCGAGTTCAAGCAATTCTCCTGCCTCAGCCTCCCAAGTAGCTGGGATTATAGACATGTGCCGCCATGCCTGGCTAATTTTGTATTTTTAGTAGAGACAGGGTTTCTCCATGTTGGTCAGGCTGGTCTCAAACGCCCGACCTCAGGTGATCCATCCGCTACGGCCTCCCAAAGTGCTGGGATTACAGGTGTGAGCCACCACACCTGGGCTTTCATTCTTGGAACAAAATGCAAATTCTTTTACCATGGGCTACAAGACTGCACAATCTGGTCTCTGCTCTCTTTTTAAACCCTGTTCTACACATTGCCCATCACTAACTACTCTTCAGCTGCACTGGCCTCAAATGCCTGCAAACTTTTTTTTTTCCAGCTTTTTTCATGGTCGGTCCTCTCCTTTCATTTAGACCCAAGTCAAATGTTATATCCTTGGTGAGGCCTTCTTGTCTGAAGAAGACCGTACCCTACCCCATCCAAATGACAGTATTATTAAATTGAATTCAAATACCTCTAGGCTACATATACTTTCCAATTCCCCACCACTCCCTATTATTAAACTTCATAAAAATGAAGTAGCTTTTTTACTTAACTCATTTGTTATCTTTAACCTGCTTCTACGACATAATTGTGGTTATTTCCTTCATAACAGTGCATTGTTATGAGTACATATAATATTAGCTTTAATCATCTTTACTTTTTGGTATCTATTACTCACTGGAGCTGTGCTTTAGGTAGCCACTAGCAACATTATGTCTGTTAAGCACTTGTGTTACGTTGTTAGTGTGGCTGAGGAACCGAATTTTGTATTTTATTTGATTTTAATTAATTTGAATTTAAAAAACCTGATAATTACTTCAATTATTGGAACTCAAGTATATTGGAACAATTTGAGTATGTGAATCAACTTTTTCACATATAAATTTTATTAAGTTTAAATACAGATGAAGTATTTCTGATGAAAATTTAGCATCCAAATTGAGATGTGCTGTGAGTACAAAATAAACACTATATTTTGAAGGCTTAATATCAAATGCAAAATATGGATTAGACTGAGAAGGACCAAAAAAAGAAACAAAAACAAACAAAAAATGCAAAATATTTCATTAACAACTTACAAATAGTGATTACATGTTAAAATGAAAATGTTTTTGATATATTAGGTTAAGTAAAATGTATTAGCTGAGCACGGTGGCTCATGCCTGTAATCCCAGTACTTTGGGAGGCTGAGGCAGGCGTATCACTTGAGGCCAGGAGTTCGAGGCCAGCCTGGCAAACATGGCAAAACCCCATCTCTACTAAAAATACAAAAATTAGCGGGGCATGGTGACGCATGCCTGTGGTCCTAGCTACTCAGGAGGCTGAGGTGCGAGATTTGCTTGAACCCGGGAGGCGGAGGTTGCAGTGAGCCTCTGCACCACTGCATTCCAGCCTCCGTGACAGAGCGAGACTCTGCCTCAAAAAAAAAAAAAAAAAGTATTGTTAGAATTAATTTACTATTAACGTGGCTACCAGAAAATTTAAAATTTTATATGCAACTTGCCTCATATTTCTGTTGAACGGTATTAGACTTGACTTGCGATCTTGACAAAGGCAGGGACTTCTCTTTCCTGTTTGCCAGTACACCCAGTGCCTAGTGTGGTGTCTGACACATAGTAGCTGCCTAATATACATCTGTGGGACAGATAAATGACTCAGTTTACTTGTGTGGTTTCTGTTCACTCATAACACTGGTTTATACCTGAACTTTGCCTTAAGACTCCTCAACTAACCAGCAAATTCTCTTTAATATTTCTTAGTTCAGGTTCTAGTTTAATCTCCTCATTTCTTTACCTTAATTGTGTATAATCAGCTTTTCTTAAAAGTAAGGTGGAAGTTTTTGACAGAATTCTATTGCCTGAGTGGTAATCCTTCCCAGCACATGAATTTGTCACATTAGTCTCTCCTAGCTTTGAGAATTTGATCTATTTTAAGAAATGTCCTGGCTGGGCTCAGTGGCTCACACCTGTCATCTTAGACCTTTGGGAGGCCGAGGTGGGCGGATCACCTGAGGTCAGAAGTTCGAGACCAGCCTGGACAACATGGTGAAACCCTGCCTCTACTAAAAATACAAAAATTAGCTGGGCATGGTGGCGGGCACCTGTAATCCCAGCTACTCAGGAGGCTGACATTAGAGAATTACTTGACTCCAGGAGGCAGAAGTTGCAGTGAGCCAAGATTGCGCCATTGCACTGCAGCCTGGACAATAAGAACGAAAACTGTCTGAAAAAAAAAAAATGTCCATTGCCTTCAGTTGCACTTTGTGGCACGTGACAGGTAGTCTTGTGTGTACATTATAACTCTGTTTCAGGTCCACATCATAATGCAGTCTTTTAAAATACATTTTAAGTAATAATTAGAAATGCACATATAAGTTAACATTTAAGTAGTTGTGATGTAAATAACTGAGGAAATGGTCAGATTAACGCATACTTTCTCAGTTCAGGGGGTGTGGGGGTCACACAGAAAAACCCGAATACTTTCTATGTGTATCTAGATTTCTACCTTAGCAGATGATAAGGGCCAGATCACAAGTGTCTTTTAATTATTTAAAATCCATCCCTGATTTCACAAGTGTTTAAACATGAGAAAATGGAGACCTGAGAAATGTGTGGTGTTTGTTAGGTAAAGAGCAGGAGGAAAAATGGATTGGTTGGAGGAGAGGATATATTCAGTATATTTGGTAGCAGGAGAGAGAAAGAGAGAAGGCATGCTGGAGAACCAAAGAAGTTCAGTGTAACTGCAGTTCATAGCGAAGGGGTGGAAAGCTATGGGAAATAGAAGAGAGCACTTAACTCTGTGGCGTGGAGTCATGTCAGGGTGGCCTTCTCATGACAGTGCTATCTGAGTGGGGCCTCGGATGAGTGGGAGGCTATGGGGCAGTGGCAAGAATGGGAAAAATATTTTAGGCAGAAGCAAAATATTAACATAACCCTGGGATCAAGATAAGAACATCATAGAAGTCTTTTCCTCTTTCAACCCACAGTTTAGTTTTTTCTCACCTGTAGGCTGATGAATTCATCCGAGCAAATGCCACCAACAAGCTGACAGTCATAGCTGAGCAAATCCAACATTTGCAAGAACAAGCCAGGAAGGTAAGGAATGACTGTTAGACAGGCTTTCATTTTCTTTATTTAGTTCTCAGGATTGGCTGAACTTGTTTATAATCGTTGTGACTTTTTATGTCTTTAATACCTCCTAGAAATGTAGAGGTGTTGAGTAAAATAGAAGGAATAAGCTTAAGAGGTTAAGTATAAGTTTTTGTTTGTCTGTTTGTTTGTTTTTGAGACAGAGGTTTGCTCTTGTTGCCCAGGCTGGAGTGCAGTGGCATGGTCTCAGCTCACTGCAGCCTCTGCCTCCCGGGTTCAAGCGATTCTCCTGTCTCAGCCTCCCAAGTAGCTGGGATTACAGGTGCCCGCCACCACACCCTGCTAACTTTTGTATTTTTAGTAGAGATGGGGTTTTGCCATGTTGGCCAGGCCTGTCTTGAACTCCTGACCTCAGGTGATCTGCCTGCCTCAGCCTCCCTTGTTTTGTTTTTTCCAGGAGAAGGTTTCATGAGGTAAAGCATTTAACAGGGGATTATGTTTTCATTTATAAAAGAAATGTACTTAGCACAGAAAAATAGGAAAGAAGCTTAAAAATTACCCAGGGTCATTAATGCTCAACATTTTGAAATATCTTTTTTTTTGAGATAGGGTATCACTGTATCACACAGGCTGGACTGCAGTGGTGTAGTCTCAGCTCACTGCAACCTCTGCCCCCTGGGCTCAAGTGATCCTCTAGCCTCAGCCTCCCAAGTAGTTGGGAGTACAGGCATATGCCACCACACCTGGCTAATTTTTTGTATTTTTAGTAGAGACAGGGTTTTGCCATGTTGCCCAAGCTGGTCTCCTGAACTCAAGTGATCCACCTGCCATGGCCTTCCAAAGTGCTAGGATTACAGGCATGAATCACTGTGCCTGGCTTGAAATATAATTTTTCTAAAGGCATTTTTACAGCATAGCAGCATAGTCTAATTTTTGTTTCTTCAGAATAATCTGGATCTCAGAAGTGATTCATTGCTATGGGGGAGCAAGATCCTAAGCACTGAATGGTTTCCAAATTTTAATTGGGATGATCACCAAATGTGGGTGCCTGTTATCTCCAATACCTAATTTGTTACATATCTGTGATTCATAGGTACTGGAAGATGCTCACAGAGATGCCAACCTGCACCATGTAGCTTGTAATATAGTGAAAAAACCTGGCAACATTTACTATCTCTATAAACGGGAGAGTGGTCAGCAGTATTTTTCCATCATTTCTCCAAAGGTAAGAACATACATTGTTTGCCCAAAAATCTACTCCAGCCTCTGAGAAATTCTTGGTATATGTGTGAAAATGTAGACATGTGGATTGGTATATGGTTTCTTAGAAAATTGGGGGTGATGTGAGCCCAGACATGACTCTAAAAAATATACCTGTGCTTAAATTATTTCACTCATTTTCTTCATTAAGGGAGGGATCTGATGTGTAAGGTAACTGCGTTCCAAAGGTTGTTCTGACTAGTATGAAGTGAAAAGCCAAAAAAGAGATTGTGGCATGATTAGGAAATGAGCTCAGTTTGTTTACAACCCACGCTGATGGGAACTGCCTCCTTTGCCTTCTCTAGGAATGGGGGACAAGTTGTCCACATGACTTCCTTGGTGCCTACAAACTACAGCATGACTTGTCCTGGACTCCGTATGAGGACATTGAGAAGCAAGATGCTAAAATCAGCATGATGGACACGTTGCTAAGCCAGTCAGTGGCCCTGCCTCCGTGCACTGAACCCAACTTCCAGGGACTGACTCACTGAGAGTGGGCTTTGACAAACAGCTCTCACAGGACCTGGCTGTCAACCTCCTTGTTGCCCCCACTGTTGCCTTGAGAATTGAAGACATGTAGGTGACTCACAAACTTCTTGGAAAGAGACCCTGTGTGAATGTAAATGCTGTCATTATGACTTTTAATTGGGATGGGAATAATCATTGAGACAGAGTCACTGTCTTTCGGGATCCTCTTTGGACCACAGATACCCAAGTCAGTCAGTTTCAGAGTATTGGCCAGTGTACTTTCCTTCTTCCTCTCCATCACTTCTTCCCTTAAGTTAAAGTGTTAGAGAAGACCTTCTTCCCATAAAAAGGTTGGTGGATCGTTTTCCAGAGAGAACTGTTTTCAGTCTTTTATATATATATATATATATATATAACTGGTAGTATTTAACATTGGGGTTGAGGCTGTCTCACAGTTGGTGCAACTCCAGTTTAAAATTCATCTGGGAACGAGAATGTTGAGTAATGGAGGGTGATTTAAAAAACAACAACAACAACAAAAAAAAAAACACTTGGCTTGGCTGGACCAGAGAGTGTGTGATTCTGGGATTTCTGTGCTGTTGATGAGGTTTGTCTTGCCCCTTTTGCTCTCTCTGCCTTGCTAGAGTGACAGAATCTGAGGCAGCAAAGGCCAGGTTTGGGGAGAGTCAACTTTGAAACTCACAAATTTTAGACTTGGAAGAGACATTGGATGCTGCCACTAATCATTATAGAGTCCACTGTGTAGTCTCCCAAGTTGGAAATCCCAGGCTCAGCCACCTGCAGCAGAACAAACCCATTTAAATGGCTACTTAACACTGTGGAAGAGAGTAAGGCAGTAGAGTGAGAAGCAAGAAAAACAGCCAAATTGTTGACTGTGAGTTAACTCAGATTGAAATCCATTTTGACCAGAATTATTCAAGAACTTAACAGGGTTTTGGCAAAATTACTGTAGTTCTTATTCTGACTAGGCTCTTGTAGGACTCTACCTTCTTTCCTATCTGTTTGGTGGAATTAGCTAAGTTTATGGATTATTTCGCATGGCTATAATCTATTGCAATATGCTGTAAAAGGAGGGAGAGATGTGTACTTGAACTGACAATTGGCCAAATTTCTCTCTGGGAATGATGTTCCTGATGCTGATCTGTTTGGTAATACCCTCCCCGGGCCGCCCCCCGATTCATGGTCTTTCCTCATAAACTGCATTTCTTGTGAGCTGTAAGAGGTCTACCTAAGGCCTAGCACAGGATGGGGCTAGAATCTAA
Source organism: Homo sapiens (assembly GCF_000001405.40). Lineage (NCBI taxonomy): Eukaryota > Metazoa > Chordata > Mammalia > Primates > Hominidae > Homo > Homo sapiens. The sequence goes on from NC_000001.11 coordinate 42,776,655, forward strand.
CAAACTCACTCCGATGATACTTGGTTGCTCGGTTCACATGGGAATGCTCTTTGGACTCAGCTGCAGAGGTCTTTTGCTCAGGTGCTGCAGAGCCGGATGGAAGAGACATTAGTGGTAGAGTAGTGGATTCTGACTACAGAAAGTTTCCCAGGTTTTCAGAAGGTTCTGACCTGCATGATGATGACACATTTTGAATAGGTGCTTTATTAGTTACAGATAAACAAATTACTGCAAACTTAATGGTTTAAAGCAACACCTATTTATTTCAGAGCTTACAGGTTAGGAGTTCAGGCACCATTTCATTGAGTCCTCTGCTTCACAGTTTCTCTGAAACCCTGGAAGGCTGAAATCAAGTTATTGGTCAGGGCTGTTCTTATCTGAAGGCCTGAGTGGGGAAGGATCTGCTTCCAAGCTCACTTAAATTGTTAGCAGAATTTCTTTTCTTTCCTTTCTTTTTTTTTGAGACAGAGTCTCGCTGTATTGCCAGGCCTGAGTACAGTGGCTCAATCTCAGCTTACCGCAACCTCCGCCTCCTGGTTCAAGTGATTCTCCTGCCTCAGCCTCCTCAGTAGCTGAGATTACAGGCGCACGCCACCATGCCCAGCTAATTTTTTTATTTTTAGTAGAGACAGGGTTTCACCATGTTGGCCAGGAGGGTCTCTATCTCTTGACCTCATGATCCACCTGCCTCAGCCTCCCACAGTGCTGGCGTTTGAGCCACCATACCTGGCCTGTTGGCAGAATTTCAATTCCACAAGGGTTGCTGGCTTCCGGGGTTCCACTAGCTGACTGTTGGCTGGAGGTTGCCCTCACTTCCTTGCCACACGAGCCTCTATAACATGGCAGCTTTCTTAAGCAAAGTAAACAAGGATTAGAGTCTGCTAGCCAGATGGAAGTTACAGTCTCATGTAGTCTGATCACAGAAGTGACATTTCATCACCTTTGCCGTAATCTTTTGGTTGGAAGCAAGTCACTAGGCTAGCCCATATTCAAGGGAGGGAGTTATACAAAGGCATGTATACCAGAAGGCAGACATCATTGAATCATTGAACAGATCCTAGAATCTATCTGCCACAGTGCTCAGTTGAGAAGAAGAAAGGAAAATTCTAGGTAAAAAAGGCAATATTACTAAGTGGTTAAGTGTGATGATGTCAAAGTCACAGATCTGCACTTGACTGTCAACTCTGACAAGACAGCCTCCCAGCTGGCATCCCTGCTTCCCCCTCTGTCCCCTCTCCAATCCATTCTGCATGCAGTCATCAGCTTGATCATTTGAAAATGCCAAATCTCCCTCACTCTTGACATTTCCTAACCTAAAGAGTGGGAGAGTAGTGATTGAAAAGAGAGAAACTGCCTTCTGTTCAGTAAGATGTACTCCCTGCACTGACCACCAAGGGGTGTCATTGCTCTTTCCTGGTTAAGCCAGTTACCACACTTGGGAAGGGCTAGTGGCAATGTGAGGTGATTTGGGGCACCTCAGAATGGGAAACTAGGACCCAGTGATTATATACAGTAATCACTTTTCATTTACCCATCCATCTGTTCACCTGATAATTTCATTAGTGTTAAGTGCCTTCTAGGTTCCAGGTTCTGGTGAATAATGGAGCTGAATAAGAAATCACAATTTCCAGGGAGCTCACAGTATAGTAGGGAAGGAAACAAGTTAACAATTACAAGATGCTCTAAGAAGGGGTGTGATAGAGGTACGCATGGAATACTATGGAGCTCCGGGGAGGGGTTCCTTACTGAGCTTGGAGAATTTGGGAAGACACTTGGAGGAGCTGATGCCTGCTTGGTGTTGAAAACCATACAAGTTAGAACTTTCTGGAGGCTCCAATTGCCCTTTCATAGGAAGTTTGTCTTTTGGGGGTTGGGGTAGGGTTCATTTTTGGATGGAGTTTATTTGTGAATGAAGAAAGTGACAACCATTTAAGCCATATCAACCAAAGCAGTCCTGGCAATGAGGAGGGGTGGAGTGAGATATGTCCTGGCTAGAAAATCCTTGTGTTTAAAAGCTAGGAGATAGTTGAAGACAGGGAGGAAAAAACATTCCAGACAAAAAATAACATGGAAGGGACATTGACCAGAATTGACACGACATTTGGGGAATCGCAGCCAGTTAAACAGGAGAATATGGACTGGGGAATATGAGAGAAGAACTAATGGAAGGATTTGGGGAGGCTGGTAATATTGGCAGCAGAGTTTGGGTAGAGGGAAGACAGGAGATTCCATCCCTAATCAAGGCAAGGGATGATGGGAGTCTGAATTAAGCAGTAGTAGAATGAGAGGGCCTGTATTTCACCAATTACAAGGTGTACTTCCCCCCCCCCCCCCCCCACATTTTGGTGTCTGTCAAACTTGGACACTTCTAAAAGTCAATGGCATGTCACAGTTTAAGTGGCATTTTTTCTTTCTTAGAGCTACATAAAAGAATCATAACAAGCTGGGCGCAGTGGCTCACGCCTGTAATCCCAGCACTTTGGGCGGCTGAGGCGGGCGGATCACGAGGTCAGGAGATTGAGACCATTCTGGCTAACATAGTGAAATCCTGTCTCTACTAAAAATACAAAAAATTAGCCGGGCGTGGTGGCGGGCGCCTGTAATCCCAGCTACTCGGGAGGCTGAGGCAGGAGAATGTCGTGAACCTGGGAGGCGAAGCTTGCAGTGAGCCGAGATTGCACCACTGCACTCCAACTTGGGCAACAGAGCAAGACTCCATCTCAAAAAAAAAAAAAAAAGAATCATAACATAGCATCTTACATTTGATGAAGCATGGCACATTGAAAGTACAATCGATTGCCATCTTGTTAATAAAATGTCAGAGGGATTAGAGGAAAGACTCTTAGATGATGCTTGAATTTCTGGCTTGAGTGTCTGCATTGAATAGTGGGGATCCCCTCAACAAAATTTTCAGGAGGAGGAGGATATCCCTGTTATTTTCCAGAATAATCAGTGATACTCTGTGATATTGATAATCTACCTTGTTGGCCCTTACCAAATTACTGGGTGTGAGTAACAGCTGACTGTAGCTCCCTTTCTCTACCCTAGTGCTCTGGAAGGAGGAAAGGAGAGCTGGCTTGTATCTTACTTTCTCAAGTTATCAGTCCACAAACATGAAGAGTATTAGTGTTACAGATACAAAGATGATAACTACTGTCTTATGAGCCTTTATTCTGCTAAGTGTATCCATTATCTCTTTTAATCTTCACACAACCCACCATCAATGAGGTATATAGTATTCTTATGTTACACAGCAGGAACATCTCAGAGATTCTGAAACTGGCCCGTGGTTATACAGATGGGAAGTGGTAGAGGTCAGATTCAGACACAGTCCTGTTTGAGTCTGACCATAACCTTAATCCTGTTTGGGCCAATTAAGACAGTCGTAAAAGATCTCAGTATAGAGCTATAAAGAAGTTAAATCACAAAAGTGATAAAGTAAGTTTTTTTTTGTTTGTTTGTTTTTTTGAGACAGTCTCACTGTGTTACTCAGGCTGGAGAGCAGTAGCTCAGTCATAGCCCACTGCAGCCTTGAACTCCTGGGCTCAAGCGATCCTCCTGCCTTAGCCTCCCAAGTAGCCAGGACTACAGATATACACCAACATGTCCAGCTAATTAAACATTTTTTTTTTTGTAGAGATGAAGACTCACCATGTTGCCCAGGCTAGTCCCAAATTCCTGGCCTCAAGCAGAATAAGATGTTTATATGAGATACTATTGGAGTAGTTCACTTGAGCATTTAGTGATAGGTATGTAGAGGATGTATATCAAGGTATAGAGAAGTAACTTATTTAAGGTCATACAACCTATAAACAATTGAGCTCATATCTCTGGCATTAAAGCCTGGATATAGAACCCCCATCAGAAGATAGGGTTCATTTGTTCCTTTAAGGAGCTGGAGCTTGGGAGGAAGGAGCTACAATGTGCCTGGAAAAATTTCATTTCTGTAGTCTTAAACAGCATTTGATTCAGTGGAGCAGTCTGTACTTGAAAGCTTTTTTCTTCATTTTGATTTGTAATATTATCATCTACTGCTTTTCTCTACTTCACTGACTGTACCTTTTCTGTGTCCTGCTCCTCCTCTTCCTGACATCTACATTCTGAGGCCAAGTCTATGGCCCCCTCCTCTTTATCTCTGCTAAGTGGTCTAATCCATTCCCCAGGCTTTAAATGCTGTCCACGCGCTGCTGACTCGCATACATATCTCCAGCCCTCATCAGTCCCCAAGTTTCATGCACACTTGTTTGTCCAACAGCCTTATTTGATATCTCTACTTGACTTGTAGTCATTACAAATTTAACGTGTCCAAATCTAAACTCTTGAGTTCATCCCCAAAACCTGTTTCACCACCAGGCCTCTCTCTTTCCATCAGCACCTGTCTCACACTGTTGTGGCAGCCACAACAAGAATGACCTAAGTCATTCTTGATTTCTCTTGTTCTCCCCATACCAGTCAGCAAGTCCCAGCTCTGCCTTCAAAATGTATCCCAAATGTGACTGCTTCTCTTCACCTCACCCCTTTCCCCCTTAGTCCAAGCCACCAACATGTTCAGCCTGGACAATGCAGTGATCTCCTAACTTGCCTCCCTGCTTCCACAGAGGCTGTCAGCAGCATCTTTTAAAACTACAAGGCCAGGCACGGTGGCTCATGCCTGTAATCCCAGCACTTTGGGAGGGTGAAGCGGGCGGATCACGAGGTCAGGAGATCGAGACCATCCTGGCTAACACGGTGAAACCCCGTCTCTACTAAAAATACAGAAAATTAGCTGGGCGTGGTGGCGGGTGCCTGTAGTCCCAGCTACTCGGGAGGCTGAGGGAGGAGAATGGCGTGAACCCGGGAGGCGGAGCTTACAGTGAGCAGAGATCGTGCCACTGCACTCCAGCCTGGGCCACAGAGCGAGACTCCGTCTCAAAACAAACAAACAAACTACAAGCCAGATCACAACACTTCTGTTAAAAAAAAAAATCCCAGAATTTCTCATTTCTTCCCTAGATTCTATGTGATCTGCCACTCTCAGGACTCAGCATGTTCCTGCTTTGCTGACCTTGCTGTTCTTCCCACACACCAAGCTCATTGCCGCTCATTTACATTTGCTGTCTCATCTGCTTGGAGCATTGCCTCCAGGGTCTTTGCAGGTTTGTGTCTTCTCATCCTTTAGGTCCCTGCTGAAATACCACTTCCCTGATTACCCTATCAGAAATACCAACCCTTCTCACATTAAAGTGGTTCTGATTCTGCTTTGTTTTCCACAGCATTTAGCACAACCAGAAATGATTTATGTTTTGCTTCTGTTTATAAGTTCTCTGATTATAAGTTCTGTGAGGACAGAGACTGTCTTTGTCTTGTTTACTGCTGTCTCGAGCATCTAAAATAGTGCCTGGCGCATGATAAACACTCTTAATAATGAATAAGTGGGCCAGGCATGGTAGCTTATGCCTGTAATCCCAGCACTTTGGGAGGCCAAGGCAGGCAGATCACTTGAGGTCAGGAGTTCAAGACCAGCCTGGCCACCAGGGTGAAACCCCCATCTCTACTAAAAATATAAAAATCAGTTGAGTGTGGTGGCGGGCACCTGTAATCCCAGCTACTCAGGGGGCTGAGGCCTGAGAATTGCTTGAACCTGGGAGGCGGAGGTTGCAGTGAGCCGAGATTGTGCCACTGCACTGCAGCCTGGGCGACAGAGTGAGACTCCACTTCAAAAAAAAAAAAAAAAAAAAGAAAGAAAAAAAGAATAAATCAATGGATGGACATCTGCAGCTCTGCACCTATATCCTGTGAAGGATCCAAGTCAATGCAGTTAATAGAAATATAATGTGAGCCACATGTGTGATCTAAATTTTTCCAGTAGCTACATCAAAAAGTAAAAAGTGAAATTAACTTTAAGAATACATTTTATCACCAGGTGCAGTGGCTCATGCCTATAATCTCAGCACTTTGGGACTCTGAGGCAGGAGGATCGCTTGAGCCTAAGAGTTCAAGACCAACCTGGCCAACATAGGGAGATCTCATCTCTACAAAAAATACAAACATTAGCCAGGCATGGTGGCATGTGCCTGTGGTCCCAGCTACTTGGGAGGCTGAGGTAGGAGGATTGCTTGAGCCCGGGAGGTCCAGGCTGCTTTGAGCCATGATCATGTCACTGCATTCCAGCATGGGTGACAGAGTGAGACCCTGTCTCAAAAAAATAAATACATACATACATTTTATCTAACCCAACATATCCAAACTATTAGCATTTCAACAAATTACTAAAAGAAATTATTTTACATTCTTTTTTAAACTAAGCATTCAAACTTTGGTATGTACTTTATACTTACAGCACGTCTCAATTCAGACTAGCCACCTTTCAAGTGCTCAGTAGCCACATGTGGCTGCTGGCTACCATATTAGCACAAGTGTAAGTAGCCTAACTTACTGTTCCTGTTCTGTACTTCCTGTGAGATCCAGAATGAGGGAAGCTAGAAACTTCTGTTAGGGGGGTATCTTTCTCAGCTACCCTGCTTCCTTCCCCTCTCCTGAAGGAAACTTTGGGGATGTCCAGGTTAATAGATGTATGATCATATCCTTAGATTAATAATGCTAATAATTGAGCTTCTACTCTCTGTCAAGCATATAATCTCATTTAATTCTGACAACAATCCCATTTTACAGATTAGGAAACAGGTTCAGAAAAAGTAACTTGTTCATGTTTATACATCTGGTAAGTGTTAACGCTGGAATGTAAACTTGGTTTAAAGGTAAGCTGGTATAATCATTACGCTACAATTTTTAACTTGCCACTCTTTTTTTTTTTTTTTTCTGAGATGGAGTCTAGCTTTGTCACCCAGGCTGGAGTGCAGTGGTGCAATCTCGGCTCACTGCAGCCTCCGCCTCCCAGGTTCAAGCATTCTCCTGCCTCAGCCTCCCGAGTAGCTGGATCTACAGGCACGCACTGCCACACCCGGCCAATTTTTTTTTTGTATTTTTAGTAGAGACAGGGTTTCACCATGTTGGCTAGGATGGTCTTGATCTCCTGACCTCGTGATCTGCCTGCCTTGGCCTCCCAAAGTGCTGGGATTACAGGTGTGAGCTACCATGCCTGGCTAATTTGCCACTTTAATGGGCCACATGGCAGGGAGCAATGAAGAGAAACACGTGGATGGTCAAAGGAAGCTGGCCTGACTCAGGCTGGGGCGTGTAGCAAACCTTTTGTTGCCTCCGCCCGGTTTCTCACACACCCTAGGTCTGACTTTGGTATCACTGTTTTCAGGTCTCAGCTCCACTAATTATTAATGGTGTGTTCTTCAGTAGAATCAGCTGTCTGATCCCCTACTTCCTCTTCTGTAGGATGGGAATGCTAACACTAACCTCAGGTTAGCTGAGAAGTTCCAGTGACATGATGAGAATGTCTGTACAACATGTAGCCCAGTACTTGCTGTGTGGTGTTCTCAGAACATGCTTGGTCTTAAACTCCTCTTTCCCGGGCTGGCTGCAAGGAGAGGCAAAGTGTCACTTGACCTTCTAGCTCCCTTGCCCTTTTATATTCTCCTGTGGGGTCCTCACAGTGATCCCTGCTCCAGTGTCGCTTCCGGTGGACTGGTGAGGATGGGGCACTATCTGAGAACCCATGCCTGAAATCCTTACCCAATACCAAAAAGTTTCTTTCTGTAGCACTTTGTCAGCCCAGCTGCCAAAGATAGTCACCTCTGAGATGCTCTTATCCCCTCCCTCTCGCTGCTCTCACCCGTGGGAGTCCATCTCACATGGGCTCCTGAGGGGGCTCCTTCTTCCCATCCCATCTGTTGCTCACCTGCCTCCTGCCCTGCGGGATTGCAGATCCTTCCTCCACAATGCCTGCCAGGTTAGTCTTCCTGAAACAACCTGACCATGTCACCTTCCTACTGAAAAACTTTTCTTCAGGAATTGAATCCAAATTCCTTAGCTTGTCATTCATCCAAATAGTATTCCTATGTGCCTATGCCCTTCCTATAGGCACAGCGAACAGTAGCGAAGCAAACGTACAAGCAGCCCTGCCCGCGTGGAGCTTACCTCTAGGGGCCCAGGAGAGGCTGGGCCCAGCATCCCGGCACAGCCTCGCCTCCCCAGCGCATTTCCCGCCCCACTCCGGGCCCACGCGCCTGGGCCCGCCGTCTCCACCATGAAGCCTTCCCAGCCTGGCCCAGGTAGAGGAGACGTCCCCTTCCCTGGGACTCCTCCATTCCCCACCGCCCCCACTACAAGACCTGGGCTCCCCTGGAAACTGAGGCCCTTCTCCCCGACTACAGACCCGCAACCCCTCCCCTGCTCTGAGGATTGTGAGCTAAGAGCTAGGGTGGGAGTGAGAGGCGCTCCTCGCTAGGGCTGGCCCCCTCCACCGCACAGGAAACGGGGCAGGAGGGCGGACCCCCATCTCATGTAGGAATGCCGTGTCCCCAGGGTGAGCCCTCAGGTGAGCCTCCGCGGCCGCGTGGAAGGGGCGAGAAGGGCGCTGCCCGGGTGCTGTCGGCGACCAGCCCGGCTCCATCTTCCCGATGTGGTCGCGGCTGAAGCCGGGCCTGGGCATTCTCGGGACAGCCAGAGTGGGCCAGGGGACCACGTCCCATCCCCAGAGGCCGGCCCTCCGTCGGAGGGTTTCCAGCCTCCAGGAAAGGAGCGGGGGCTGGGAGGGGAGGGGGTCTGTAACTGGCATGAGCGGCGTCGTCGCCGTGCCTGTGCCACGCGTGTCGCCGGCTGGAGAGCTCCGCCTGGATGGTTTCACTCCGCGGAGGCGCCGCCCCGCCACTCAGTTAGAAACCTCAGAGCCATATTCAACTCTCGTCTCCTCTGCAGCACCACTGCCACAGCCCTGCTTTTCTCCTCACGTCCACCCTCCTCGCCCCCACCCCCGTCTCCTGGCCGGTTTCCTTTTCTGCAGTTTGCCGCCTCCAAGCCGCCCTGCGCTTCCTGCCCGTGTCTGACAAAGACTCTGCTCCCTTACTGAACACCACAGTGCCCGCCACGGGCTGCCACTCAAGGTCACATCCGCACGACCACCCCCTGCAGCCTACCTGCCAGTGTCATCTCTGGTCACCCCTCCCTCCCAGGATCCATCTCCTCATCGTGCTTCCGCACCTGCGGTTCATTCCCTGGGCCAAGAATGTCCCTCCTAATTCTTTGTTCATCCTTAGAGACCCTGATAAATGTCACCACAGGAGTGGAACCTTCCCCTGCCCCACCCCAGACTTAGTCTCTCCACAACAGCTTGCACATCCCCTTGTCCAACATTACACTTGTCCCTACACACAGCTGCCTCCTCTACCAGACTCTGAGCTGCTGGAGTGTGCGGCCTGGCTCTTGTTCTCCTCATCCCCCACCCCACACACAAGGCCCGGCACAGAGCAGCCATTGGCAATAAATAAACCGCATTTTAAAAAATGAGTAAGTGGAAGACCATAAGAACTGGGTAGTTGCTGGGTATGCGGAAGGGGCTGGACTGTTGAGCGTTCATCTGAGGCTTCTTGGAGGCCACACTGGGCAGGGTTAGATGGAAGGTCAATAGATTTGGTGCAGCGAGAGGACCTCAGGGAAGCACCAGAGTGACCTGTGATGTTAATTTAACAAACACAGAACAACTTCTATTGTCAGGCCTCATACTGGGTACAGGGACCTCGGCCAGCACTCAAATTGCATTCCCTGTAGGAAAGCCAGTGTAGGCGGTGCCCAAACAGAGTGCCAAGTGTCACATGGTAAGCACAAGAAGACAAGACCATACAGATGAGGGGCACCTAACGTGCTCAGGGGTGATGTCAGAGGGGCTTCCCAAAGAGGAGCACCACCCAACCCAAGTCCAAAGGGAGGTTCTGAGAAGGGTGGGGAGGACTGAGAGGAAGCTGGGAGAGCTGAGCAGAGCTGGCATACCAAACGCAGGAGTTGGACTCCATCCTGAGGGCATTCAAGAAGCTGGGGAGTGACCAGATCACCTGCAGTCTCGTGCTGTGCCAAGCCTCAGCCCTCGCCCCTCCTGGGAGCCTTCTCACCCCGTGGCAGGCTGAGCCCCTTTTCGGTGCTCCATTAGTAGCCCGGTCGCCTCTTTTCTGTGCAGGGTTAGGTACTGTGGCTAAACTGTGTCCTTTGGTCTTAATCTTCTCTGTGTCCCAAGCACCAGGCACCACATCTTGCCCCTGGCCAAACATTTGCTGAATGAGTGGGTGGTTCCTTATTTCTGTTGTCCTCTACAGCCCTTACTCTCAATTCCACATCCTTTCACACCTGGGACCTGTGCATTCTGCTGCAAACAGCATTTAACTGGGAAAGAGGAGACTCAAATCAAATCCTGGCTCCACCATTTACTGGACAAGTCACATAACTCTCCTGAAACCTCAGTTTCCCCATCTGTAAGATAAGGTACCACTATGAATAGGGTCTAAGTCTCTACATGTATGCAAGAGACTCATTTCCTTGGATAGGTTGTAAACTCTGTGATGGTAGGGACCAAGGTTTCTACCAGCACCCAGCTCAGGCACAGCATATAACCAATACAATGTTCAGTCCTCTTGGTTGGTAGACAGCAGAGCACAGGGGAAAGAACACTTAAGGCAAAATTGTAACTTTTGTTCTGCCACTTCTGGTGTGACCTTGAGCTAGGTTCTTCCCATCTCTGAGTCTTCCTTGCTTTACCTGGAAAGTAGGGACAAGAACCCTTGCCTGGCCGGGCGCGGTGGCTCACGCCTGTAATCCCAGCACTTTGGGAGGCCGAGGCGGGTGGATCATGAGGTCAGGAGATCGAGACCATCCTGGCTAACAAGGTGAAACCCCGTCTCTACTAAAAATACAAAAAATTAGCCGGGCGCGGTGGCGGGCGCCTGTAGTCCCAGCTACTGGGGAGGCTGAGGCAGGAGAATGGCGTGAACCCGGGAAGCGGAGCTTGCAGTGAGCCGAGATTGTGCCACTGCAGTCCGCAGTCCGGCCTGGGCGACAGAGCGAGACTCCGTCTCAAAAAAAAAAAAAAAAAAAAAAAAAAAAAGAACCCTTGCCTGACAGAGCTCACAGGGCCAATGGAAATCCTAAATGTGAAAGTGGTTTGTGAATGGAGGAGATAATGAAAGAGATAATATAGTAGACAATTGACCATTAATTAAAAATTAACCAGTGTGAAGTAGCACAGAGGCAGCAGCAATGCTTGACAGGTGGTAGACAGACCCTGGGCACCTGCTAACTGGCTCTGAGCAGCAGACAGTGGGATGTTTGATCTTGCTGGGGTCAGCCCAGAGACCCAGGAGAGACCACTACAGCGGGTTCATGGGGAGGGAGTATGCAGCAAGTCCTTTGTCCCCTTCCCTTCCCAGATTTCCCTGGCTTGCATTGCTTCTTGTCTTAGGTTTGGAGGGGCTCTGGCATACGAACGTCTTAGGAATCCCAATGGCTCTGGCCATGTAGCTACTGATCACCTTTGGTGAGTGAGGCTGGCCCATGGAGGCAGTGAGCCCAGCAGTGCTGCCCTGATAAACTCTAGTCCCAAACTCCAAGTCAGCCCTCCCAGCTGCTGGCATGTTGGTGGCAGGTTTATGAGAAAAGACCATGGTTTGTCTCAGCTCTTGTCCAGACCAGATGGGCCTGGGGCTGAACAGAGGGGCTGGATGGAGGCAGAGCTGGAGGTGAGATTAATCCTCACATCTGAAATGGGTGAGGATTAAATGAGAAAACAGATCTGGGAACACCTTGAAACTTGTTTATTTCACTCAAGTGCAGGATCTATTTGTGGCTGGTACATTTGCCCCAACCAGCGGGGCTTCTCAGTTTTGGGGAGGAATGGGGCTCTTTCTCCAAGAGACTCAGTTTCTCAAGCAGATTGAGTGTAAGGTGTACAAATGTGGTCTTAGAGTAAAAACAGAGACAAGACAGACTGTGAAGATGGGCAGGGCCAGCCAATTCCCTGTTGTGGGAGAGACTGGGAGAGACTGGGAGCACTGGGGGGCCTGGGCTGGACGGTCCCACACACACAGGGAGGCTGCTGCTGCCTCGCAGGCCTGGCCATTGAGCTCGTTCACTGCCATATCCCACACACCTCCTCCTGCTGAAATCTATGCCTGCAGCGAAGAAACAGCAGATTTAGAATCAAACAGATGGGATTTGGTTCTACTTACCATGTGACTTTGAGCAAGTATCTTCCTCTCTTTTAACTGTAGTTTCCTCATTCATAAAATAGGGGAGAATTCTAGCACCATCTCCTGAGGTTGTCAGGATCTGAGAAACAGACATGGGGATGGGAACATGGCGAAAAGATCTTTGTGAACTATTCAGTGTTGTACACTTTTTTTTTTTTTTTTTTAGACAGAGTCTCACTCGGTCACCCAGGCTGGAGTGCAGTGGTGTGATCTCGGCTCACTGCAACCTCTGCCTCCTAAGGTTCAAGCGATTCTCCTGCCTCAGCCTCCTGAGTAGCTGGGATTACAGGCATGCACCGCCACACCCGGCTAATTTTTGTATTTTTAGTAGAGACAGGGTTTCAACATGTTGGCTAGGCTGGTCTCGAACTCCTGGCCTCAGATGATCCACTTGCCTCAGCCTCCCAAAGTGCTGGGATTACAGGCATGAGCCACCGTGTCCGGCTACACATTCAGTTTTAATCTGCCGTCTCTTTCCTTGTGGGAAGTAGGCCTGCTGTTCTGACTGGGGCCTGTCAGAACCAGGACCTTGAGGCACCTCAGCTGCAGCCCTGTGCTTCAGAAGGAGTGAACTTGGACTGTGGGACAACAGGGCTTCCTGGCACTACTTCTCTCTCAAGCCAACCCTTCGTCAGTGACAAGGGCCCACCTCTCAGATGGGAGAAGGGCCCCATACCCCCTGCATTCTGGGCCATGGGGCTTCAGGAGAGTCAGCATATGGACTGGAGGGATGTCTGTGCTGTGGGGCAAAGGTGCAGTCAGAGAGGGAGTGGAAACTATGCTTGTGTTGGTTCACCCACTCTGCTGTTGAGCTTTCCCAAGACGCTGGATCCTCAGCACCTTTGTCTTCACCTCCTGAGTCTCCTTCATCTACCTCCTGTCTCCCTTAGTCCAGCCAGTGAAACAGAATGTAGGGAGGGTGCCATTCTGGGATGAGATCTAGTGGAACAGGTCCCTGGGAGCCTCTTCTGGGACTCCTTAACCTTGGGAACCCTTCGCCCCTCTCTCTTGGGCCCCAGGTAAGGGTACCAGTTTCTTCCTGAGCCATGACCAGAGCCATTCCCAGATAAATGAGGTTTCCTGGAAGGATGTTACCAGTGCCTTATCTCTGGCCAACATGGTGCTGGGGCTCTTCTCCATCATCTTCAGCTTCAGCAGGTAGGTCTGGGGCCCAGCAAGCTCTTAGCCAAGAGCTGGAGCCAATGGCATGCGGGAAGGAGAGGGAGAGTTTGGAGAGCAGGCACTGAGGCATAGGAATCCACAGTGTACCCAGGGTAAGTGCAGTGGCTTAGGAGTCAAGAGGCCAAGATCCCATGCTCAACGGTACCAGTTCATTCCAGCTATGGCAGTCTAGAATGGTTTCTGTGAGAAAGTCAATAGATTCTGTTCTGGTGGCCCTTATGCAATCTTTGGGTAGGCCACAGTTCATATTTTCTAATTCTTAGATCATATGACCTGGCAGAATATTTGAAATTAGCACTGTTCTGGGAGGTCCGAGACATTATATGTTCCCCCAAAATGTTGTAAGCAAATTCTATTTCTGTAAGTTGAATCCCATTTCAATGTTTTTGGGATGTCAGTCCTTTAAAGATAAATCCTTTATGATGCGGGTAACATCTCCTAATCTACTTGATTGTCTATAACCATCAGTAAGTGACTTCTCTTTGGATTTGTTTCTCATCCACAAAATAAGATGACTTTACCTGATGATGTTTAAGCCCCCTTCCAGCTGGAAATTTTTGTGATTCTCTAAGTCTTGGTTTTTGGAGTATAATAAAGTAGGGCACACCTACAGCAGAAAATTTCTTTTTTTAAGAAACTTTTTTTTTTTTTTTTTTAAGAGATGAGGTCTCATTATATTGCCCAGGCTGGTCTCAAACACCTGGGCTCAAGTGATCCACCTGCCTAGGCCTCCCAAAGTGCTGGGATTACAAACGTGAGCCACTGTGCCCAGCCCAGAAAATTTCTATCCTCTTAGTACAGCCTAATTTTCTAGGAGTGTTGCCATGATGGTGCCCTGAGTATTTTTATTTAACTTCAGTCCCCTTTAGATACATAGGACTAGGTCTAAACAAAGGAAATGCTGTGGTAGTTTGGAGACAGCTGAGGTCTAGGTCAGGCCCTTTGCTTCTTCTGGGTTGCCTAAGCATTGCAATCAGGGTGCAGACTTGAGAATGGGCCTCTCAGGGCAGGTTTGCTTGGAGCTGTGGTGGCAGCTTTTAGAGGGACCTGAGAGCAGGTGCTGGATGGAGGCACAGAATCAAGAATGTGGGGTATGAAAGAGCTCATGGAAATCATTTAAAGCATCAAAATACATGAGGCAAAAACTAATAGAACTGCAAGGACAAATTGATGAGTCTACTATCAAGGTTGGAGATTTCCACCCCCTCTATCAGAAACTGACAGATCCAACAGGCAGAAAATCAGCAAACACATAGTTGAAGTCAGCAACACTATTGGTCACCTGGATAAAATGGACATCTATAGAGTACTTCATCCAACCATGCAGAGTACACATTCTTCTCAAACTCACTTGGACAGATCACATTCTGGGCCATAAAACATACCTTAACAAATTTTAAAAAAGTATACTCTCAGACAACATGGAAATGAACTAGAAGTCAATAACAGAAAGATAGCTGAAAAATCCTGAAATATATGGAGATTAAACAACACACTTCTAAATGACACGTGGATAAAAGAAGAAGTCTCACGAAACATTGAAAATGTTTTGAACTAAAAAAAATGAAAACATGATTTATCAAAACTTATAGGATGCAGGGAAAGCAGTGCTTTGCTTTGAGGGAAATTTATTGCATTGAATGCATATAGTCAAGAAAAGAAAGATTTAAAATCCATAATTTAAGCTTTAACCTTAGGAAACTAGAATAAGAAAAGCAAACTAAATCCAAAGGAAGCATAAAAAGTAAAAAGTAAAAATCAGGCCGGGCGCAGTGGCACATGCCTGTAGTTCCAGCACTTTGGGAAGCTGAGGCCGGCGGATCACTTGAGGTCAGGAGCTCGAGACCAGCCTGGCCAACATGGTGAAACACCATCTCTACTAAAAATACAAAAATTAGCTGGATGTGGTGGCAAATGCCTGTAATCCCAGCTACTTAGGAGGCTGAGGCAAGAGAATCACTTGAACCTGGGAGGCGGAGGTTGCAGTGAGTGGAGATCGTGCCACTGCACTCCAGCCTGGGCAACAGAGGGACTCCATCTCAAAAAAATAAAATAAAAATTAGAGTGGCAATCAGAGAAATTGAAAACAAGAAATTAATAGAGAAAAATGGATGAAACCAAAAGCTGATTCTTTGAGAAGATCAATAAAATCAGTAAACCTCTAGCCAGGCTAACCAAGTTAAAAAAAAGACAAGACAGAAATTACCAATATCAGAAATGAAACAAGGGCCATTACTACTGATTCCACAGATATTAAAAGGATAATAAAGGAATGCTATGAACAACTCTACGCCCACAAATTTGATATCGTAGCTGAAAATAATCAATCCCTTAAAAGACATAAGTTACCAAAACTCACACAAGGAGAAACAGGTCATCTGAATAGGTTTGTATCTATTAAACAAATCATTTAGCACACACTCCTCATTTTACAGATGGGGGAACAGGCCTAGAGATGGGGTAGTGATTTACCTAAGAATTCATAGGGAGATGGTGGCAGAGGCTGGACTAGAACCTAGGTCCCCTGTGCCATCAAAAATGCCTGGAAGTTAGAGTTGGAAGGGATCTTAGTGATGTTCTAGGGGGTTTGGGGCACCCCTTTAAGACTGTAGATTGAGTTTGTGAGGGATGTAGGCATGTGTATGTGCATGTGTGGTGCAAAAAGCAGCATATATCAGAAGGGATGTGAGTGTGGGGGACATGAAGAGGTGTGTATGTGTGCAAGTGTGGGAGGTGTGTGGGAAGTATATTAGTGTATACTAATATACTAATGGGGGGCAGGGGAGAGTCTCCAGTGGAAACTGCGAAAGTGCTTCCCTGTTTGGGCTTGCTGGCCTGCACTTTAGGAAATGCCACTATGCCTCCCGGATGCTCCTGGTCAGCTTCCTGTTAGACATGGCAGTCAGGGCAATGACCAGCCACATCAACATATGCTCCAAATTGGGTGAGTTCAGGCCCCAGGCCCCTAATCCTTGCCCCCAGTAGCATCCATCTGGGGTCACCCCTTCGTCCATCCTCTAACATCCCGCAGGCCTTCATCAGGCATCCACCCCTGTTCACACCCCGCTGAGAGCAGCAGCAGCAGCAGCCCTGGAGCAGGAGTTCAGGAGCCCCGCGGTCCAGCTCCAGCTCCTCTGCTGGCTCACTTGCTGACCTTTGGGCAGTCCTTGTCCTGGCTTTCAGTTTTCTCATCTGCCCTGCTTCCCTGTTCTGGGCCCATCCAGGTATTGGAGTGGAAGTGGGTAGGGGTGGGGTGAGAGGAAGTTGGCAGAGAGGAGATGAAAATTACACCAGCAGAGCAGCTGGTTTAAAATACAGTAAAATGCTTCCATGTAAGATTTAGCGTGAAAAAAGTCCCACAGCTTATCAGTTTGTATCTGATTGTAGTCCAAGCCTTGCATGTTAAGGGATGGGAAGACTAAGATCTGAGGGGGAGATACTTGCCCAAGGCCACCGGCCAGCGCAAGGCAGAGCCAGGAGGAGATCCCGAGCTTTGATCTGAAGACTGCCCCAGGGGAGCAGCTGTTGCTTTCTGTGACCTCAGGACCCCTCTTATCACTACCCCAGCTCCCCTACTAGATGGGGGCTAAGGTGCAAGACGTGGGAGTATAAGTTCTTCTAACCTTGGGCCGTCTGGGGCAGGAGCCGAGCTGAATGACTTTGCCGTCTTCACCACCTTCGGCTTGGCCTCCGCTCTGCTCCTAGGCGTGGATGGACTTCTGAGTGGGATCCTGGCCATCATCTATGTGTCAGCTGCTTCTTTCCACTTGTGCTTTTATTCACCTGGTGAGTGGAACCAAGGTTGCCTTAGAACAGAGGGCAGGGGAGCACAGAACGGGGGGCTGTCGGGTGCCAGAAGCCTGGGGTGCAGTTACTGACTCCTTTTTTGGAGCTCCTCTTCCTTCCTCCTTGCGTGCCCCATGCCCCATGCCCACTGAAGGCTGCAGGCTGCATTGGCAGAGCCCTGGGCTGGGAGGCAAGGGCCTTCATTTCTTGGAGCAGCTGTGCCTCTTTCTCAATGCGTGACCTGTGACCTTTGGATGGAGCACATTGATTCTTGGACTAGAACTGGAGGTTGTATTCCAGTTCCTTAAAACAGATGGAGAAACCATGCTCCAGTGAGGGAAATTGTCTTGCCTAAGGTCACAAAGTGAGGGAGAGCAGATACAGCACAGGGCTTAGACTAGCAGGTCTCAAAGGACCCTTTCAGCAGAGACTTCCTAGGAGCCAGGGCACACCCTGGTCCTAGCTGGCTGCCTGCTTTCCCTTGGAAAACCAATGTAAAACCCATGCATCATCTTTGTGAATAAATGATTTTCAGCCTGCCACTGCCTTTGGGTTTAAGGGAATATTGTATCCTGGGTAGGGGAATACCCAAAGAGAGAGGGGCTTGCTTCATTTTGGTATCTTTAGAGCAGAGGGAAGCAGCTAATCTCCAGCGTTCTTCCTGGCAGGAGTCCCCTCCACATACAAGGGTCTACCCTGCCCCTATGCTTCCTGCATCTTGGCTTCCACCTCCCTTCTGACCAAAGGCAACAGGTTCATCCTCTGCTGCATGGCCTCACTCATGATTCTCTTCATGATGGACCAGAGCTACTATCCATATGACAAAATCCTGGAGTCTGAGAACTGGAAAAAATTGGTTTATATAGGAGGTGAGTGAAAATGTCACTATGGCCAGTTTGTTATCACAGTTGCTTATTGCCACTGTACCTCACCCCAGCATTTTTCTATCTCTCTTATTCTGCTTTATTTTTCCCCATAGAACTGATAATCATCTGACATATTTACTAGTTTTCTTATTGTCTATAAACACTAAACCTACCCCCAATAGAGGACTCTCTTTTATTCATGCTATTAATATAATCCCCAGTGCCTAGAAGTGTGTCAGTCACATCGTAGGTGCTCAGTATATACTTGCTAAATGTTAATAAGTTCAATAGAGATTTAGGAAGCACCCACCGTGTGCCAGGTACTGGAAATCAAATTGGTAAACTAGGCAAACAGTCCCTGCCTCTGAATCTAGAGGCTGATCACAGGGGAGACAGAGATCAAACAAATAATGGCAGAAATATCTAGAAACATGTAGGTTTACTGTATGTATTATGTAAGTGCAGGGTGCTCTGAGTGTCAGAGGGTGACCTACTTCAGGCTGGCATGATCTGAAGGGAAGGAAAGGATCCTTAAGCAGGTGTCATTTAAGTGAGACCTACAAGAGGAGTGGCCAGGTGGGGATGGGGAGGTTCAGGAGGTTCAGGCAGAGGAACAGTATGTTGTGATGGCTTTGAGGCCACAGGGGCTGGACACATTAGTGGAGCAATGTGGCTGAAACTTGCTGAGACAGCCAGTGACACAGACTGAGGCCATGAGGTGAGCAGACCTGGCAGGATTTGGGATTTGATACCAAAGGCAAATGAGGAGCCTCTAAAGGGATTTATGCAGGGAAGTGGTATGGCTGGAGCAGCAGTTTTCAATAATCACTTTGACTGCAATGTGGAGAACAGATTGTAGGTCTGAGAATGCAAGGAGGAAAACAAACTTTTTGTTCAGATGAGAGGTGATGGTGGCAGTGGAGATAAAGAGAAGTGAATGGATTTGAGATAAATGTTGGAAATAGAATTGACATTGAGGAAGGAGGAGGAGACATGGATGACTCTTAGGGTTGGGTTTGAAGTAACTGAGCACTGGGCTCCAGGCCCTGAGTTCCTGGTCACACTGGGGCCTTGCAGACGTCTCCCTAGAGCTTCCCCTGATTTAGGGCTTCCTTCAAGGAATATCAGTTTTTCTTCTCTTAAAATGTGCTCCTGTAAACAAGACAAACATCTATGGGGATCCAGAGTTCCTTCCATTATTCCCATGTGAGTCCCATCTAGTTTATAGGGTCTTCGGTTTCATCCTGACCTTTCCCTTAAGGTTTATACCTTTTGTAACATTAGCACCAACAGCCCTTTCAAAGCTCCAGGAGCTGGCTCCTCCTATGCCTTAGGTGGCAGAGGCAGAATGGTGGTGAGAAGCTTCTGGGTTTGGAAGCTTCTCAGGAAGACCTGAGCCCAAGCTCTAACTCTAGCACATATTAGTTGAACTTGGGCTAATACCTCACTGTTTTGAGCTCAATTTTATCCATCTGTAAAACGAAGCCACTAATCCCTACTTTGCAGGATTTCTGAGATTAAATGAGATAATAAATATAAATCCTCTGGCACAGATGTGTCCATTTCTAGCCTCGCCCTTCTCCTCCACCTCCCCTTCTCCTATCTCATAACAGTAGTATTGCTTAGTGTTCTTCGCTCCTGTAGATACTACTGATCCCCCTCTTCTCAAAATAAACCACATACTTGGCCTCAGCCTTCCTCAGATTGTCCTGCTGTGTGAGTAAGGGAGGAAACTGCACCTTACAGATTTTGACAACAGTTAATACCAGAGCCCTACTGGGTAGATTTCAAAATGGCTTCTGTGGACATTCCTCTTATTTGGAGTGCAGCCAGTCACCTTCTTAGACTGAGGTCCCTTCTACCCCACAGAGCTTCGTACGTCTGAGAACTGGCCTGTGACCAGCACTCTGAAACCTTATATGAAATACTTTTTTTTTTTTTTTTTACAGGGAGTAGCCGAAAATCATACATACATGGTAGAGAGGGGTCTCACTCTTTTGTCCAGGCTGATCTCAAATTCATGGATTCAAGCAATCCTCCTGCCTTGGCCTCCCAAAGTACTGTGATTACAGGCATGAGCCAACGCGCCAGCCATGTACTTTCCAAGACAACTCTGGTTTTCAGTATTGTCTTTTTGCCTCAACAGATCAATGACTATTCTTGAAATACAGTATTCCAAAATGCCCATGCATATCCTTAACTGCTTATTACTCCTAGAAGTGGTCTTCTATCAGATCATATGTTCTGATTTCTCTTACAGGATACATGGTGATCATTCCCATGGAAATACCATTGGCTCATACTCTCTTTGTCCTCTTTTTGAGCTCCCTGAGGCAGTGTGTCTAGTTTTTAAGAGTCAAGCAGAAGTGGGTTTGAATCAGGACCTCGTACAGGTTACTTCTGTTTCTTCTTATGAAAAACAGACTTAGTTCTAAACCACGGGATTATTGTGAAGTGTAAATGAAAAAAATGTACACATCTAGCAGAATGTCTAGTGCAAAATAGATATTCCACAAACGTGAGTGCTCTTTTGCCTTTTGGTGGCGAATCTGAGATGCAAATTGTGTTGGGAGTCCCCAAGACCACCCCTGAGAAGACTCACAGGACTCAGCTTGTTGTACTCATGGCTAAGATTGATTTCAGCAAAAGGATGTAAAGCAAAATCAGCAAAGGGAAAAGGTGCATGGGAAAAAGTTCAGGGGAAACCAGGTGCAAGCTTCAGAGAGTCCTCTCCCAGTAGAGTCACACGAGATGCACTTAATTCCTCAGCACTGAATTGTGATAATACAATAAAGTGTTGGCTACCAGGGAAACTGATGAGAGACTCAGTGCCCAAGTTTTACTGGGGGATGGTCATGTCAGCACCCTGTGCCTACCATGTACCAAAATTCCAGATTCCCAGAAGGAAACCAGGTGTTACCACCGTGCTTATATGGACAGTCTAGGAACAGTGAGACACTCTTATCAGTTGGGGAAAGTTTTATGTTGGTCTAGGGAACTGTTTACTATTCAAGTTTCCAGCCATCAGCCAAGGGCCAGCCTTGCAAGAAGGCCTTTCTGAGGATAGCAGTCTCAGGCCTGCACGTAAACTCTTTTCTGCATACATATCATACTGCATTGGTCGTTATCACATGTTAAATTTAAAACAATGAGGAAGATTTTTTTTTCCTAACAAGGGTTTTTGGTTTTTGTCTTGGTTTGTTTTGTTTTCCCTAACAAAGGCAATTCAGATTTATTATTGGCTGGAACTTCTGATGTGAATTTGACACAGTGGAACCTGAGACTGCATTGGGCTATACTTCTCTAGTTACTTACCTATCTCTATTAAACTGAACTTGAAGACAGGGCTCCTGTCTCTTTCTGTTTGTTTCTTAGGCACTGTGGGTGAAAAGTAAAGAATGGGAGGGTGGGGACGGGAGAGTAGAGGGTAGAAAGCATAGAAGACAGCTTCCTAGAAATTGAGTGTCTGCACTTTTTGTTCTTCCAGGTGTCATCATGCTGTTTTTCTCCCCATTGTCTCTGTCTGCTTTTTACTGCCTGATGTGGTCGCTCTCGTACATCTTCTTTCCAGATGCTCTGTGGGGCAAGGCAGCCTGTCTTTCGCCACAGCACTGAGGAAGCTAAGCAGCTCTACCAGCTCCTGCCGGCCTCTGTGGGGTTTGTGTCAGCATATTGGGTCAAGCCTGCACTAAAGCTTTGTATGTACCTGTGTTGCCATATACTAGATATATGGTATGTCTGTTGCCATGAAGTTAGAAACCCAAAGCAGGGTCAGTGAACTTCACTTCTTTGTCTTTATTCAGGGTTCTGACTCCCTTGCGGACAATACTTGTTTATGTCATGTAGAGCAGAATATCCCCCCGCCTCAAGCTCAATGTGGGCTGGGTTTGGGTTCCAGCTCCATTACCAGCCGGGTGACTGTGTGCTACTAAGGTCCATCCCTTGGAAAGGAGTGAGAGCCTTCAGAACTGGTATTGGCCTCAGCCTCAGCCCTGCCTGGTGGGGCTTCCTGAAGCATTTCTTACTCTTGCAGACTCTGGCTCTGAGAGTAGAGCCAATCACAGGACTCTCTTGTTGCCTAGTTTGAATGTGTGTAGGATTTTGTAACTTCAACATTCTGGGTTTTTTTTTTTTTTTTTTTTTTTTTTTTGAGAAGGAGTCTCGCTCTTTCACCCAGGCTGGAGTGCAGTGGAGCGATCTCGGCTCACTGCAGGCTCCGCCCCCCGGGATTCACGCCATTCTCCTGCCTCAGCCTCCCGCGTAGCTGGGACTACAGGCTCCCGCCACCTCGCCCGGCTAATTTTTTGTATTTTTAGTAGAGACGGGGGTTTCACCGTGTTAGCCAGGATGGTCTCGATCTCCTGACCTCGTGATCCGCCCGCCTCGGCCTCCCAAAGTGCTGGGATTACAAGCGTGAGCCACCGCGCCCGGCCTACATTCTGTATTTTAATAGTTCAAAGCTGCCGCCTTTTGCTTTGTTTAGCAGTTAGATACATTGGTGACACAGGGCATCATCTGGCTTGCAGGATCTCGTGTGGATTTTCTTTCCTACGCTGGAAACTACTAAACTCTAGCTATTCAGATGCCACTTCATATTCTAAAATCCAAATCAAATAGAAATAAACAGTACTGTATGGCAAAGGTGTACCTCACCGAGAACTCAGGTCCACTGAGCCCCCAGCGTAGATAGACATTCCACCTCCCAGATGGTGGAAAAAAGGATTGATGGCTGGTTCTGCTCCACCCTCAGAGACTGTGCCAGAACACCTTCTACCCTGGATATAACTTTTTTAAGTTTCCAGAACAATGTATGTGGTAAATATACATCTATTCTCAAATTAGATGTTTAAAAATAAAAACCCAAAGTAAGATTTGACTGTAACAGAATAGACGGTGCCTTCCTGTTAAATCATTCATATGTTCCTAGTTAGATGGATTTGCCTGTGTCCCAGGACTTTATATCTCCTTCAGTTTAAGTTTTGTATTTTTGCTATCTGCCATAGTGCCTGACACTCAGAAATGTTCCCTTTGTATATGAATTGATTTAGTTGTGGATTCTAGTAAGTTACATACAAGGTTTCTATAATGTGGTAAGAATTTTACAAATATACACGAGCTTAGACATTTCAATACAATGTCCTTCAATGCTGTACATCCATTTCAATGTGATGCTCCCCTTAATCAAAGCATTTTAGGAACTCCAATCTGAAAATGGTCTTCACATAAATTCTTAAGGACCAAGCAGCTGGAACAACACCACCACCACCAAAAGCGAAAAACAGGTTTTATTCTGAACTAAATTTTTTCCAAAAACCTAACATTTGAGATTAGCCAATTATGTCGTATTCTTAAATCAAATTAGGTATCATATTTGGACTCAAATGCCTTGTGGCTGTTTCTAAAATTTGAAACTATGTTGAAAGGAAAAAGATGCAATTCTGAAAGAGAATTTCCATGTCCATTTTAAGTGACAGCAGCAGAGAGAAATATACAGACCCCCAGGAGGACAGCTTTGAAAAGTAAAATGCCCATTTGGATGTGTAAATTATCGCTTGATTGTAATGGCAATAATTCATACTTAATTGCCTCCAGTTTTTTTTGTAGGTTAATGACACTAGGATAGTTATAGGTCAGCTGACAGCCGGTTAACAGAGGGATCTATGCTTCCTTGCACCTCTCTGAGAGTATGGTTATACTTCTATACGGGCTTGAGGGTCTCAGATACTAAGGCTACTCATTCAATGCCTTCACTTCCTCAGACAGTGGTTTTCTAAAATAGAATGTCTCTTCTTGGGCTTCCTCTTAGGAACAAGGGAGAAGGCCAAGACTTTAAAATCTGCACTTCTCAAATGCATACATGAAGCCAGTGGGGTTTAGGCAGTTCTCTTTGTCCTAAGCTTGAGAGAGAGTGTAGATTTCCCTCCTGGTCAACTTCTAGTCCCTTCTTCCTAACCTGAAGTCCTACTTCTGTGTCTGATAAGCGGAATCAAGTGACTGAGAATTCTGCTACTCTTTTAGCCCTGTGACCTTGAATAAAACGTTTAATCTCTCTAAGCCTATTTTCCTATCTGTAAAATGGAGGATTTACTTCCTTTCAGGGTTGTTTTGTGGATTGAACAACCGTGATGTTTTATGTGGATGAATGTAAAACACCTAGAATAATGAATGGCACGTAAAATATGTTAAATAAATGTTAGATGGCTTTCTGTCCCCTCTAGCCTTCTTCTCTTCCCATATGTACATATTTCAATTTAGAATGGTAATAATAGTTAACATTTACTATGTACAGTAAATGTATAATTAACATTTACTATATTATACCATATAACTTACTATGTGTCAGGAACCGTTCCCTGAATTTTACTATTTTACATAATCCCCTAAACAATCCAATGAGGTAGGTGACCACAGGTTTTAGGTCAGCAGTTCTCAAAGTGTGGTCTGTGGACCCCTGGGGTTCCTGAGACCCCTTCAGGGTCAAAACTGTTTTTTTGTTTTGTTTTTTTTTGAGACGGAGTCTCACGCTCACTACAAGCTCTGCTTCCCAGGTTCAAGCAATTCTCCTGTCTCAGCCTCCCGAGTACCTGGGACTATAGGTGCCCGCCACCACGCCTGGCTAATTTTTTTGTTGTTGTTGTATTTTTAGTAGAGACGGGTTTCACCGTGTTAGCCAAGATGGTCTCGATCTCCTGACCTCATGATCCATCTGTCTCCGCCTCCCAAAGTGCTGGGATTACAGGCGTGAGCCACCGTGTTTTCTTAATCCTAAAACTGGGACTAAAATGTCACTCTGTTGACATTTTTGCTAATGGAGCAAAGCAATGGTGGGCAACATGCCTGACATTCTGGTTTGAATCTAGGCAGTGGCCCTAAACAGTATTGCTAGTTAATTGTACTTTTCACTGCTGCAGGCTCACAGTAAAAAACAAAAAACTGAAGAATGTTATGATGAAGTAGTAAAAATTATTAATTTTATTAAAACTTTACCCTTGAGTACACTTCTTTTTTTTTTTTTTTAGACGGAGTTTTGTTCTTGTCACGCAGGCTGGAGTGCAATGGAGTGATCTTGGCTCACTGCAACCTCCGCCTCCTGGGTTCAAGTGATTCTCCTGCCTCAGCCTCCTGAGTAGCTGGGATTACAGGCGCCCGCCACTACACCCAGCTAATTTTTTGTATTTTTAGTAGAGACAGGGTTTCACCATGTTGGTCAGGCTGGTCTGGAACTCCTGACCTCAGGTGATCCACCTGCCTTGGCCTCCCAAAATGCTAGGATTACAGGCGTGAGCCACCGTGCCTGTCCGAGTACACATCTTTTTAATATTCTGTGGAATGAAATGGAAAGCACACATAGAACATTCCTGCTGCATACTGCAGTGATGATGGTTTTCTGGAGGAAAAGCACTGGTTTGAGTTTGAGCTGAACTCGCTTCTTTTCTTATGAAACACCAAAGGACGATTGACAGACTAGGGTTGCTCAGACTTGTCTTTCTGAAAATATAAACAGAGAGAGCCTGTTGCTTCAAGAAATAGTTCTTGTTGCCAAGGATAAAATTTGAGCTTCCAAGTGAAAAGTTAGAATTTTGGAAAACTTGTATCCAAACTCACTGTCACTGTGCGTTTGACACTTTTCCAATACTCAGACTTTTCTGGTGAGATCAGTGGGGATATTAATGAATAAATATTTCTGATGTTGTGTAATGCAATGTGGTAACATTTGGAAAATCCGCATAACTCGGTGAACCAACATTTTCTAAATGATCAGTGCATGATGTTACAAAATCATGCATGGGTGAAAGATCTGTTCATAGGGAAAGATGCAAAGACCAAAGGATTTTAATGTAATAAAGTACAAAAAGATCACTGACATGTTATCAGATTCTATATTGCAACTAACCTTTAAGAAACCACCACTCGCTGAGTTTTGGTATAGTATTAAAGATTATCTACAATGATCATAAAAGGCTATTAAAATACTCCTCCCTTTTCTAACTACATATCAATGTGAGGCCGCATTTTCTTCATATATTTCAACCGAAACAAGATGAGAATACAGTATACAGAAGCAGATATGAGAATTCAGCTTTTTTCCATTATGCTGGATATTAAAGAGATTTGCAAAAATGTAAAATGATGCCACTCCTCACTAAATGATTATTTTTGAAATTTTTTCACAAAAATATTATTTATGTTATCCTATAATGGGTTATCACTTTTAAATGAATTAGTAAATATTTTTTAAGCTTTTAACTTCTAATAAAGCAAATATGATATATACAACAATTTTTAGAGTATGTAAAACCCCTGAGACCAAAACACTTAAGAATTATTGACTTAGGGGCCGGGCACGGTGGCTCGTGCCTGTTAATTCCAGCACTTTGGGAGGCTGAGGTGGGTGGATCACTTGAGATCAGGAGTTTGAGACCAGCCTGACCAACATAGTGAAACCCTATATCTATTAAAAATACAAAAATTAGTCAGGTGTAGTGGCGGGCGCCTGTAATCCCAGCTGCTCGCGAGGCTGAGGCAGGAGAATTTCTTGAACCCAGGAGGCAGTGCTGAGATAGCACCACTGCACTCTAGCCTGAGTGACAGAGCAAGACTCCATCTCAAAAAAAAAAAAAAAGTATTGACTTAGGGAGATTAACACTTGCCCACACAATCACCAAGTAGTGGATCTTAGAGCTTGACTTCCAAAGTCAGTGTTATCATTATTGGTTTTAGATGTAAAGCTTCAAAAATATCTCTGTACCTTTGAGAAACTGGGGATGGACCACATCAGGATGAGGGAATTCTGGGCAGGTAAGCAGAGATGATGTGTTCCTAGTTTTCTTTGACTATGCTTATAAGACCCTTAGCATTCAATGTTATTCCAATTATGGACACAATGGCCTCTGGACCCCTTACGCTGGTATTTCTTAGAGGTAGAAGATAAATCTTTTTCTTTCTAAAATGTGAATAAAAGGCCAGGTATGGTGGCTCATGCCTGTAATCCCAGCATTTGGGAGGCCAGGAGTTTGAGACCAGCCTAGGCAATGTGGCGATTCCCCATCTTTACAAAAAAATTTTAAAAAACTAGCTGGGTGTGGTGGAACACATCTGTAGTCCTAGCTACTCGGGAGGCTGAGGTAGGAGGATTGCTTGAGCCCAGGAGTTCAAGGCTGCAGTGAGCCATGACTGTACCACTTGCACTCCAGCCTGGGTGACAGAGCAAGACCCTGACTCAAAGGGGAAAAAAAAAAAAAAAACAGGAAGGGGGAATACAAAGATGACCCATTGCTCTCTTGGTTCAGGCATCCTCTTGTATCTCGATTTTTTTTTTTTTTTTTTTTTTACCACAACCCACAGTAAGGAATAATTTTTACATCCAATGCAGTATACACATTCATGTGTATGTAAGCCTAAAACAAAAGTTTCACCAAACAATATCCTTACCACATGTGGCAGTTTTTTTTGTTTGTTGTTTTGTTTTGTTTTGTTTTGAGTCTCGCTCTGTCGCCCAGGCTGGAGTGCAGTGGCGCGATCTCCACTCACTGCAAACTCCACCTCGTGGGTTCACGCCATTCTCCTGCCTCAGCCTCCTGTGCTGAGACCAGCTCAGTAGGGTAGACCCTAATCCAGTGGCACTAGAGGAATTAAAGACACACACACACAGAAATATACAGGTGTTAAGTGGGAAATCAGGGGTCTCACAGCCTTCAGAGCTGACAGCCTCAAACAGAGATTTACCCACGTATTTATTAACAGCAAGCCAGTCATTAGCATTGTTTCTATAGATATTAAATTAACTAAAAGTATCCCTTATGGGAAATGAAGGGATGGGCCAAATTAAAGGGATAGGTTGGGCTAGTTAACTGCAGCAGGAGCATGTCCTTAAGGCACAGATCGCTCATGCTATTGTTTGTGGGTTAAGAATGCCTTTAAGTGGTTTTCCACCCTGGGTGGGCCAGGTGTTCCTTGCCCTCATTCCAGTAAATCCACAACCTTCCAGCGTGGGTGTTGTGACCATCATAACATGTCACAGTGCTGCAGAGATTTTGTTTGTGGCCAGTTTTGGGGCCAGTTTATGGCCAGATTTTGGGGGGCTTGTTCCCAACACTCCTGAGTAGCTAGGACTACAGGCGCCCGCTACCACGCCTAATTTTTTTTTTTTGTATTTTTAGTAGAGACCGGGTTTCACCCTGTTAGCCAGAATGGTCTTGATTTCCTGACCTCGTGATCCACCCGCCTCGGCCTCCCAACATGCTGGGATTACAGGCGTGAGCCACTGCGCCCGGCCCCACATGTGGTATTTTCTAATTTGTTATTTCATTAAAAAGAAAAGCTGGTCATAATTTACTAAACTGATTTTACAACCACTTGTGCCCTACTAGAGTGTTTCTCCACGACAAGAATATACCCAAGGCTGAGAGATGTTAATACAAGCAGTTCCCAACTAAGAATCTTTCCAGACAATGATCATGTCTTTCCTGGTTATGTGAAATCTGAAAACATTTCCCATGAAACAATCTGAAAGGTGGCTGGGAAGGGAAGTAACATTTTCTGAGTGCTATGGTTTGAATATGTCCCCCAAAGTTCGTGTGTTAGAAATAATCCCCAATGCAACAGTGTTAAGAGGTGGAAACTTTAAGAGATGATTAGGTTATGAGGGCTCTGCCATCATGAATGATTAATGCTGTCTGTTATTGCTGGAGTAGGCTAGTTATCTTGGGAGTGGGTTCCTAATAAAAGGCTGAAGTTTGGCCTCCTTCTTCTTCCGTTGCCCTTTCACCTTCAGCCACAGGATAATGTAGCAAGATGGCCCTCAGCAGATGTGGGCCCCTCCACCTTGGACATCCCAGCTTCCAGAACTGTAAGAAACCAATCTCTGTTCTTCATAAATTACCCAATCTAGGCCAGGTATGTTGGCTCATCCCTGTAATCCCAGTACTTTGCGAGGCTGAGGCGGGTGGATCACTTGAGCTAGGAGTTTGAGACCAGCCTGGGCAACAAAGTCAGACCCTGTCTCTACAAAAAAATACAAAATTAGCAGGTGTGGTGGTGCAAGCCTGTGGTCCCAGCTACCCAGGAGGCTGAGGTTGGAGGATGGCTTGAGCCAGAAAGCAAAGGTGCAAAGGTTGCAATGAGTCGAGATCGTGCCACTGCACTCTAGCCTGGGCAACAGAGCCAGACCCTGTCTCAAAAAACCAACCAACCAACCAACCCACAAAAACCATACCCAATCTGAGGTTTTGTTATAACAGCACAAAGTGAACTAAGGCACTGAGTATCTATTACATACATTATTTCTCAACAACACTCCTGAGAGGAAGAAAATACCATTCCATTATGTAGATAGGAAAAGTGCAGTTCAGAGAGGATAACTGGTAGTTGGGTACCCTAGGTCATTTGGCTCCAAAACTGCTCTTTTTAGTATATGACAGTATTTCTGTATGTTTATAGGGACAGCTCCCTCCAACCCCCTACTTCTCTGAAAACACAAAATTCCATTCAACCAAATTTAGCAGGATGCTACAGAACCTAATTACCATTTATGGAGATAATCTATGTAGAGATTATCCTTAATTATAACTTGGGCTCTAAAAACACATTCTCCACAATGGTATAATGTTTAACATCCCATTAACTCCCCAGTTTACTCCTAAAATATGCCAGAGCAATGGAAAAGTATTCTCAGTGACTTCAGAGGCAGCAGGGAGACAGAGGAGACAGGGACAACTTGAGGTGTTTCCAGCATTTCCAGCTTAGAGGAAAGCAGGTGGCAGTGTCTGGCTCTTTGCCCCATCTGAGTGGTATTTTTTCAGCTCTCTTAAGTCCTCCTCCCCCTACTCCCAAGGAATTTCTGGAAATGAAATATCCTGGAAGAACAATCTCTTCTTTTGCTCAGCATTAAAATAACTCTACAGCTAAGCATTCAGGTATGAACTACCATTCTTGATACAAATGTCAGCAGCAGAAACAACCTTACATTTCTACACCTAAAAATGGCTGTTGAATGGCGGAGGGCGGGTGGCTGGTTTCTGAGGGACGTCTGAATATTTCCACCATAAATCCATTTCTAGGTCTGATAAGGCAGCCACCAAAACAAAAAACAAAAAGCACCTGCACTCCCCTCTTGCTGTTGATGCAAGCCTGCTGCTAGCTCTCCACATCACCGGTGAGGGAATCCTAGCTTCAGGCCTCTAACCCTGACTAGTGACTCATCTGGGAGTAAAGGGGTCACATATTTCTATCTGTGTGCCTACAAACTAGAGATCAGCAAGGTCTGCAAAGTTTTAGCCCCAGGAAGAATGAAAACCGGAAGCAGTCATGTTCTTTCTCTCCTCTCTGCCAAGCTCCTGAAGGAGAGAGGGTGCCTTCTGCTCACCTCAACTTTTCTTACCTATCACATTACTTTGTGCTCCATTTTCTACGGCTAGGCATTTGCTAAAGTATGAGCAAATGAACATTTTATTAGTATTTTATTTGTATTTTTGGAGAAGATATAGAGTTTCATGAGAAACACTGATTTTTCTCAAACAATAGAAAAAGTGTTTTTTGTGTGTGTTTTTTTTTTTTTTTTAAAAAAACCCAAAAAACAAAACCACTGTCTTAGAAGAAGAAAACAAGTCTCTTCAGCAAGCATGTGGCCAATTCAGATGGGAGGAACCAGTGAAGTTAGAAGTTACACACAGGAAGTGAGTTCAGATTTATCCACAAATGTCTTCTGGTCTAGTTCTGTAAGGCTCCAAATGGGCCATCTCAGCTTAAAACTGGCAACACCCTCTCAAAGCTCTCAGGATCCCATCTGGTTTGAACCTGGGGCCTCATTCTCCAGGAGGCTGCATCTGTTTACAGAACTCATCAAACTGCTGCTGCTCCAGTTCTGTCATGACTCTGTTGAGGGCATAGATCTGAATGAGAGAAAGAGATACATCTGTTAGCAATGGAAGCAGCTGCACAAAGCATCTTCTGACATAACAGGTGGTGCCTTCTGAAAATACCAGAATTTCACCAGTAGTGGTAATGCAGGGACAGTGCTCTGGGAATAGGAAAGTTAGATATTAGTTCCATCTGGAGAATCAAGACAGCAGCAGTGATGCAGGTGGCTTGATTTGGTCTTTAAGGGATTAGTAGGATCCCTTAAGAAGAAAACAAGTCTCTTCAGCAAGCATGTGGCCAATTGAGATTGAGGAACCAGTGAAGTAGAAGTTACATACAGGAAGATCAGATTTATCCACAAATAATCTTCTGGTCTAGTTCTGTAAGGCTGCAAATTGGCCATCTCAGCTTAAAATCTATCATGGGACATGACAGGTGGTGGGGGAGGCTTTATGTGTAAATAAATGTAATGGAAAAGTATAGAGTCTGTTCTGGAAACTTCAAGCATGCCAATATAAAGGATATTATAGAGTAGGGGTTGGGGAGCTGGAGAAAGCAAGAAAATTATGTTGGGGTCTTAAATGTCATGCCAAGGAATCTGGATTTTATCTGGCAGATTCTGGAGAGCCAGCAAAGATAAGTGTGCAGGGGAGCAATGTGAATATAGTGTGTGTGTGTGTGTATATATATATATATATATATATATATATACATACTATGTATAGTATATATAGCTTATATAAGTTATAAGTAGAGTGCATATATGTTATAATATATAAGCTATATATACTATAGCTTATATATACTAATATATATACACTATACTTGCAAACCTCTGACATGACAGATCCTCCGCCTCAGCCTCCCAAAGTGTATACATATATATAATAATGGTATATATACTATATAGTATATATAGGCTATATATAGTATATAAGCTATATATACTGTATACAGTATATATATAAGCTATATACACTATATAGCTTATATATACTAATAGTGTATATATACTATATATAGTATATGGTATACTTGCAACCTCTGACATGACAGATCTTCCCACCTTGGCCTCCCAAAGTATATACTATTAATAGTATATATACTATATAGTATATATGTAGTATATATAGCCTATATATATAACCTATAATATAAGCCTATATATGTATGTATATATAGCTCATATATATAAGCTATATATGTATGTATATATCGCATATATATATGAGCTATATATATATTTCAGACAGAGTCTTGCTGTGTTGTCCAGGCTGGATTGCAGTGGCATGATCTCAGCTCACTGCAACCTCTGCCTCCCAAGTTCAAGCATTTCTCCTGCATCAGCCTCCCAAGTAGCTGAGATTACAGGTGCCCGCCACCAAACCCGGCTAAGTTTTGTATTTTTAGTAGAGACAAGGTTTCACCATGTTGGCCAGACTGGTCTCCAACTCCTGGCCTCATGTGATCCTCCCGCCTCGGCCTCCCAAAGTGCTGGGATTACAGGCGTGAGCCACTGTGCCCAGCCATAAGCAACGTTGATTCTTTCTGTGCTTTAGGAGGCATCTGTTACAACAGTCCAGACAGGAGGTCGTGGGAATATCGTCTACAGCAGGCAGTGGTGATGGAAAGAAGATGGCAAGAGACATCCTCAGGTGAAAGGCAGGGTAACTACACCTTATTCCTCATCATCTTTCTTTATTCTTAATTAATCCACCCACTAAGAACAGAAACAGATCACAAAACTTCCTAATTTGTAGAAGAAAAAAATGAAAGACAGAGTGTGTGTGTGTGTAGAGGAGCTATAACTTGATTAATTGAAAAGACAAGGAAGGGGGAAAAAATGAAACTTAGAAGTGGGACAAATAGAAAATACAAAATAAAGAGCAGAAACGAATGAAAAAGCAACCAAACCTACAATAGAGAGGATCACCAAGACTGCCAGATGGTTCCTTGAAAATACTAAAAAAAACCTTGCAAACCTCTGACATGACAGATCAACATAAAAGGGAGTGGGCACAAATAAACATTATTAGGAACTAGAAAGAAGACTTAACTACTGACATAACAGAAATGAAAATGAAACATTATGAACTCCGTGCCAACACATTTGACAACCTAAATGAAACAAGTTCCTAGGAAAAGTAAAATGATCCAAACTGACTAGAAAGCTTGAATATTCCTGTCATCTTTAAGAAAAATGGAATTCTACACAGTGATGAAAATAGTTACTAACACTACCGCAAATGATTCTTGAAACACAGAATGCGGCTGATGAAACTAGTAAATTTTATGTATATTTTACCATAATAAAAATAAATAAACTTGAATGGTTAAAAAAAGGCTGAGTGAAGACAGCCAGTCACGGTAACATATATAAAAGGTCAGAAACATTCAAAACAATATATTGTTACACAACAAAATATTTAGAGGTACACAGACAGTAAATTAACGTAGAACAGCAAGAATGATTAGCATAAAATACAGCAAAGAGGGTACTGCTGGTGGGAAGGGTGAGGTACATGACCAGGAAAGGAGTACACAAAGCTTCCCAGTTACTGGTCACGTTCTATAGTTGGGTGTTTTATTCTTAAGCCACATACACACATTATATAAATATACTTTTAACACACACACACACACACACATACATACATACACACACACACACACACACACACACACATATATTTTTTTTGTGAGCAGAGTCTTGCTCTGTCACCAGGCTGGAGTGCAGTGACCCGATCTCAGCTCACTGCAACCTCCGCCTCCTGGTTCAAGCAATTCCCTTGCCTCAGCCTCCTGAGTAGCTGGGACTACAGGCGTGCACCACCGTGCCTGGCTAATTTTTTGTATTTTAGTAGAGACGGGATTTCACCATGTTGGCCAGGATGGTCTTGATCTCCTGACCTCGTGATCTGCCCACCTTGGCCTCCCAAAGTGCTGGGATTACAGGTGTGAGCCACTGTGCCCGGGCCCACATATATACATATATATTTGAAAACCTCTGCTTGCTTCATTCACTAAGTATTTACTGAGCATTTTTAATCTGCACATTACTGTACTAGGGACTGAGATGCAAATTAAATAGCTTCTCAGAGACCTCCAGATCAAGGAGGCAAGATGGTAGGAGAAAGAGGAGACTCACAATGGGTCAGGGTGTCCAGGCCAAAGAATGACTCTCAGTCAAGAAGGAAACGGACCCTAGCAGTGTCAAACGGTGCTTCCACTGCCAATGTGCCTTCCGTTCCCATTCACCTCCCACATCTCTCCTTCACATCTAACTTTCTGGAATCTGGCGTCTGCAGAATTGAATAGAAACTGTCTCTTCCTCCCCACAAAGGGTCTTGTTGCATTACATTCCAGGCAATAAAGATTAAAAACAAACAGGATAGGCGCGGCGGCTCACATATGTAATCCCAGCACTTTGGGAGGCCGAGGTGTGCGGATCACTTGAGGTCAGGAGTTCGAGACCAGCCTGACCAACATGGTGAAAGTCCATCTCTACTAAAAATACAAAATTAGCCAGGCATGGTGGCGGGTGCCTGTAATCCCAGCTACTCAGGAGGCTGATACAGGAGAATTGCTTGAACCTGGGAGGTGGAGGTTGCACTGAGTCGAGATCGTGCCACTGCACTCCAGCCTGGGTGACAGAGCGAGACTCCGTCTCAAAACAAAACAAAAACACCAACCAACCAAACAGAAAAAAAAACAGCAAGGCAGCTGTAGGGGGCAAGGCAAAAAACAACAGACAAAAGTCAGAAGATGTTTAGACCACAGGCCTGCCCCTCTTTAACTACAGGACTCTACTCACATCCCTTTGAAGTGAGGATAATACTGCCTACCTCACAAGGCCATATATTTTACATATCGGATTAACCAAGGTTAAATGGGAGTCACAATAACTCCTGCTTTGGAGCCCTGGTGTGAGGACTACATGTGGCTATGCATGTGTAGGCTTGGCTCGGTCCTGGCACATCTCAAGAGCTGCACGGGGCCAGCTGCTGCTTGAGTGCAGCAACGTTGCATTTCAGCAGGTCAACAGGAACTCAGCAGTTGTTCAATTTAGGGTCCACACAATAAGAGCAGGCTGCCTGCTTGGAAACACAAGATTATTCCTGATCATAATCACTGCTAGTTATCAAATGCTTCCTCTGCCAAGTACTGCGCTATGGGCTTTACACGTGGTATTTCTATTCCTTTTAATGGTCTTCTGAGGTAGATGTTATCCTCATTTTACCAAGGAGGAACTGATGAACTGGGGGTTCAGAGAGGTTAAGTATCTTGTCCAACGTCACATGGAAGAACTGGGATTTATGGAGGAGCTGAGATTTGAAGTCAGACAAATAAATTTAACCTATAGAACTTTACAGAAGGGTGTCAATAAGGGCATGAACAATGTCCTCAACATCTATCCTTACAATATGCACAGAGGACAGTTTCATAGGGCTGTTTTTTTTAAAAACGGATTTTAACATAATTACTATGTGTACATAGACAATTAAGAATAGGGAAAAACCCCAAATTAATGTTTTAACAAGTTACAAGCTGTTACTAAAGACAATATCCTTGGATTTAAAAAAAAAAAAAAGAGTACAATAGAGGAAGTCTCTCATTCAACCGAGCAGTTTAACCAATCTCTTTTAATAAATCCAGCACATTACAGTGGTATAAATTTATCTTTTTTAACACTCCACATAAAAACATGTGTCCTCTCTTACATTTAATCATTAGTAGTCTCTAAAATGGTAAAATAAATTGAATTTACATTAGCAAATGAAAGTGCAAATTTGTACAGCTAGGCTCAGCAGCAAAAGTGAAGAATAAGAATGAAAGGTGAAAAGCTGGTGGATGCCATGCAGAGCGAGGACTTCCATAAAGGTCTGTGCCCTGCGGCCAAACACAGTCAACACACCACCATTTTCTTGTTGCTCTTAAATGAGCAAAACCAAATTTCTTTTTTATTTAATGAAATATTAAATCTTTATTTCCCCCTAACATAATTTGTGATCAAGTAGGACAGAGGTAAGTCCCACCATCACTGGGGACAGTAGCAACACACAGACTTCAGAAACAGCCTTGAATCATCAGTAACATCCTCCCCTGGTAACGTTAGAAGGAATGCATCTAATGACAAATTTGCAATGTTGTCACATTGTTCTAATTTATTTGATTAGTTTATCTGGAAAAACTTTACACATTATTGAAGACAACAGTAAATTATTTTCTTGCTCTGAAAAAATAATGTTTTTTCACATTTTAAAACCTTTTAGTATGCTTTTGCAAAAGTAGTTGCAAGAATATGACAGCTGGGTTTGCAGAATGTCCATGTACAAGTTTGTATTTATAAGAAACTGGTAATCTGCCTATAATTTGCCTCTACAAATAGAGCTCTTTAAAATAATATTTTTAAAAAAACAGGCTTAAACTTTTCCCTATTCATTCTACTTGTAGCAAAGAGGTACTTACTTTTCAAGTATTACATGGTAAAAGGCACAAGTTTTTTTTGCCAATTTTAAGCTGTTAAGCTTTAAGACCAAACTATGTGAAAAAAAATCATGCCTAGTCAATCCTAGTCAATCATTTTATAGCCAAATCCTCTTGTCTTTTAAATAACGCAGAAAAATACTAATTTGCTAAGAAGGAGCACACTGGAAAAAGCCATTTGAAAGTACTGAAGAATGAGGAGTATTTTTTTTCTACTGATGAAAATTATTAGGAAAGCTATCCTGTCTGTTGTCTTTAGCTAGTTTAAATAAATCTTTTCAAAATGATGGTCAAGAAATCTTTAGAAAACTGGAAGAGGGGATGCTCTTTTATAGCATGAAAGGAATTCCATTAATTATAGAAATTCTCGTTAAATTTTGACGTTGGTTCTTCAGAAAAAATACGCATTTAACTTCTGCAGTCTGTTGTGTTTGAACACCATCTACCTGAGCCAGGGGCCCAAGCGTTCCTTCATCATCAAAGGCCAAAACTGGATTCAAAGGAACTTCTGGGCTCTTACTGTTAGTGACATCTAATCTGGATGGTTTCGATCCAATGGGTAAATTTATAATTTCTTCAAAATTTTCATTCTGAACAGAGATACTCCATTTTCATTTGGTTTTCCAAATTGGGGGTGCTCTCCACAGTCACTTTTGATTGGTGTGAGGTAACCACATATGGGCTGGCAACTGGTTCTCCATTTCCCAGAGCATTTGTTGTACACGGAAGTATAGATAGCTCTGTTCCTCCAGTGAGAGCTCCCTTGGCTATATCACCATTTCTCTGATCAATGGTTTTCTTATCTGTAGCTTCTGTTCTCCTGCTTCAGGGCTGTTTCTTATAGCAACCCTCATATTGTTCACCAAAGCACAATGCAGTCATATCATCTGAGGACCCGGATCCAGGTGGGAATGGGAAGGTAAAGGACCACAGCTCTCAGGGGGTCTGCCTTAACCCAAAGGTAGATTTCAGTTTACAGATTAACTTCAAATGCACTAGTAAGTTTACTTATTATGTTTACTGCCTCCCCTTGCTGGAATGCAAGATCCATGAAGGCAGGGATTCTTTTCTGCTTTGTCATCATGTGACTCAAATTCCTCGAACAGTGCCTGGCACATACTAGCAGTTCTTTTTCTTTTTTTTTTGTTTTTGAGACAGAGTCTAGCTCTGTCGCCCAGGCTAGAGTGCAGTGGCACAATCTCGGCAACCTCCGTCTCCTGGGTTCAAGCAATTCTCCTGCCTCAGCCTCCCGAGTAGCTGGGACTACAGGGAGCACCACCACGCCCAGCTAATTTTTTTTTTAGTAGAGACAGGGTTTCACCATGTTGGCCAGGATGGTCTCAATCTCTTGATCTCATGATCCGCCTGCCTCGGACTCCCAAAGTGCTGGGATTACAGGTGTGAGCCACTGTGCCTGGCCAATATTTAATGAATGAATCAGGTTAACAAAAATTAAAAGTTGACAATATCGGCCGGGTGCAGTGGCTCACACCTATAATCCCAGCACTTTGGGAGGCCAAGGCAGTGGTGCACGCCTGTAATCCCAGCTACTCTGGAGGCCGAGGCAGGAGAATTGCTTGCACCCGGGAGGCAGAGGTTGCAGTGAGCAGAGATCACGCCACTGCACTCCAGCCTGGGTGACAGAGCAAGACTCCGTCTCAAAAAAAAAAGAGACTCACCATCAGAGAAATGCAAATCAAAACCACAATGAGATACCATCTCACACCAGTTAGAATGGCGATCATTAAAAAGTCAGGAAACAACAGGTGCTGGAGAGGATGTGGAGAAATAGGAACACTTTTACACTGTTGGTGGGACTGTAAACTAGTTCAACCATTATGGAAGACAATGTGGTGATTCCTCAAGGATCTAGAACTAGAAATACCATTTGACCCAGCCATCCCATTACTGGGTATATACCCAAAGGATTATAAACCATGCTGCTATAAAGACACATGCACACGTATGTTTATTATGGCACTATTCACAATAGCAAAGACTTGGAACCAACCCAAGTGTCCATCAATGATAGACTGGATTAAGAAAATGTGGCACATATACACCATGGAATACTATGCAGCCATAAAAAGGGATGAGTTCATGTCCTTTGTAGGGACATGGATGAAGCTGGAAACCATCATTCTCAGCAAACTATCGTAAGAACAAAAAACCAAACACCGCATGTTCTCACTCATAGGTGGGAACTGAACAATGAGAACACTTGGACACAGGAAGGGGAACATCACACACCAGGGCCTGTTGTGGGGTGGGGGGAGGGGGGAGGGAAAGCATTAGGAGATATACCTAATGTAAATGACGAGTTAATGGGTGCAGCACAC
Source organism: Homo sapiens (assembly GCF_000001405.40). Classification (NCBI taxonomy): domain Eukaryota; kingdom Metazoa; phylum Chordata; class Mammalia; order Primates; family Hominidae; genus Homo; species Homo sapiens. Next base: position 42,815,295 of record NC_000001.11, read on the forward strand.
CAACATGGCACATGTATACATATGTAACAAACCTGCATGTTGTGCACAGGTACCCTAGAACTTAAAGTATAATAATAAAAAATAAAAAATAAAAAGAGACTCCATCTCAAAAAAAAAAAGCAATGTGGCAATGTCTAGTAAAATTGAGAATGTACCCAGTAATTTTTCTAGTTAAATAACCTACAGAAATTCTAAGGCAGGTGCCAAAGGAGACACCTAAAAGCTTTTCACTACAGCAATGTTTGTAATAGCAAAAAATACTATAAATAATTTAAATGTGCATCTCTGTAAGAATGAATAAATATACTAAGTAAAATGGATGCATAAAATAGACTATTATAAAAATTAATGAGAATAAACTAAATTCTTATATTGGCATGAATAGTTCTAAAAAACAATGTAAGCAAAATGCAAAATAAAATGCAGGAATTTTATTAATGTAAAAATTTAAAATACTACTGTATATTGTTCAAGGATATCTATTAATATATTTGAATGTAAAAGTATAAAAAAAAGTAGTTGTCCATGGAGAAGTAAAAGGATGTAAGACAGGAAATGAACAAAGCAGACAGATAAACAAAACAAAGAGGGAAAAAGAGACCAGCAAGATTTTCCCTGACATTAAATACTAAAATAAAATACTTATGTCTGTATGTGGCTCAATATTGGCAGGGTAAAGTTTAAAGCTTTTTATTCTCAAGTTGATTGTAATCGTTGAGAGAACAAAGGAACACACTGGTGAGTTTAAAGCTTGGGCCTCTACCTGGCATGAGTAGCTGCTTTCCGCACCAAATCCAGAACATCTGTACTGGGGGTGTCTGACACTTGCGTGCTCTCTCTCATTCTGACCCCTTCTTTCCCCTTACATATCATTTTTTTTCCTTTCTTCCTTCCCTTGGGTCTCTTACCACAAAAGCTCCGCACCAGACTGGGGTTCTGACACTAACTTGGCATGTGATTCTGGGCTGCCACCTCACCATTCTGAACCTCAGTGTTGTCCCCTCTAAACCTGGGAGAACACCCATCCTGCCTGGAGGCAAGTATGGCTCGCTGTCAGTTCTCCTTTCTGCTGTTTCTCTATTCCAGCATCATCTCCAGCAGACTACAGGCATACAGAGCCTCCGCCTTAATCTCACCTCTGCTCTTTGTCTCTGCTTCAGCTCCTGCTGGGCTGATTTCTGTTTGGCCTTCTCAACTCTGCTGACAGATTCTTTAACTTTGGTTTTTTCTTTACGTGCAGGTGGATCCATGGCTTGACTTCTGGATATTTCTTAGGAGGCTCTGATCTGGGTGGTACAGAAAGAGGCAGATCTTCAAAACAAAACAAAACAAAAAATACCCTGCCAGTTACTCCTCTAATCCTTTAGCTCCGCCCCATCCTTTGCCAGGTGAGGCAGAGTGGTCTGGTGGCAAGGGCGCTGGATGTGGGGGAGTAGGAACCGAGTCCCAAGGCCACAACCTCGCTGGGTGTCCCTGGGCAAGTCTCCTCCCCACTTTGAGCCTTAGTTTTCTGTCTGCAAAATGGGTTAAGTGTTTTCCTGGCCTCCCTCCAGGAGCTGCTGTGTGCGGGTGAAATGCAAAGACCCCTGTGAAAGCGTTGCCCACTGTGCGGCGTGCGGCACCCAGCGCGGAACCGTCCTAATGGGACGCTGAGACCCAGAGGGCGCCCAGGGTTTTCCCACTGCGGCCGGCCTAACTCCGCCGCAGCAGCCGCTCCTGGGGCCAGGGGGCCGGGCCCCATAGCCAGCCGGGCCCGCCCCCCACCGCCCGGCCCCCCGACCCCGCCCCGGCCCGCCCGGCCCCAGGGGACGGCCCCCGCCTCCTGCCCTCTTCCCTCTCCTGGAGGAAAATGGCGGTCGCTGGAGCCGCCGACCAAGAGGCTTGGGAGTCTGTACCTTTCCCGACCGGGCCACTGGAAGTTGGAGCCTCCGCCGAGTCGCAGACAACGCCTCCGGGAGGGTAATCCTCGCCTTCCCCCGACCACTGGACCCAGCGCTGCCTGCCCACCGCCCCTCGTCCTGGGCGGGGCCGCGCGCCGGGGGGAGGGGCGCAGGGCCGAGCGCCAGGAGGCTTCCGCCCGCAGGAGCGGCCGCGCGTGCGCAGAGAGGATGGCTGGAAACCCGCGTAGAGGGCGGGGCGGGGCAAGCCGGTGCCGGGGCGGGGCAGGGGCGGAGCCACACCGGGGTGGGTGGTGGTTACGGCTAACCAAAGCTTTTTCCCGTTATATTTTCTGCAACAGCTACTAGGTTTTAGAGGGTGAGATCCGAATCCTGGAATTGGAATTGCTCAGAATTCGAATTCCGAGGCTCAATTTCTTAATTCGAAAAGTGGGGATTGATGATTGCCACCTTCTTCATTCATGAGTTTATTGGGAGGATCAAGTGAGATCCCGTTTGCCACAGTGCTTTGAAAAAGGAAATCTTGACAGAAGTACCAATAGCCAGTATAAATACAGAGAACATTCACGTTCAACTGATTACCGAGGAGATGTAAATTAAAATAGCTGGCTGTAATTTTCCAGGTATTACATTAGCAAGGATTGACAAAAATGATAATAGCTACCTTACATTTGGGCTTACTATATTCCAGGCACTGTTCTTACAGCTTCACATTTATTAACTAATTCCTCATAATAAGTGTGTATAATGTATACGTGTATATTATTATCCCCATTTACACATAAGGGAACAGAAGCATTGAAAAGTTAAGTGAGTTGTCCCGGGTCACACAGCTTCTAAGTGCTGGAGCAAATATTTCAGCCAGGATTCATAGGACAATGGCCTTATCCAAAGTAAAACCCTGTTTGGGTCCACTATTTGTTCCTCTATCAAACTGGCAAGAATTGAAACAACTGATAGATGCTAAGCAAGCAATGAACTCAGCCCAGATGGACACACGCTTCCAGTCAAACTGTAAATCGTTAACAGCCTTTCTGGAGGTCAGTTTAGTACTAGGTATCAAAAGCCTTAAAAGTGAGCACAATGCCCCAAAAAGACAAATACTGCATGTTTCCATTCATATGAAGTATCTAAAGCAATCAAAGTCTAAGAAACAGAAAGTAGAATGGTGACTGCCAGTGGCTAGGAGAGAGGGAAAAGAGGAATTGTTTAAAGGGTATAGAATTTTAGGTTTGTAAGGTGAAAAAGTTCTAGAGATCTACTGCACAATGTTTATTTTTTATTTATTTAATTTTTAAAAAATAGATGGGGTCTTGCTCTGTCACCCAGGCTGGAGTGCAGTGGTGTGATCATAACTCACTGTAACCTGGGCTCAAGCAATCCTCCCACCTCAGCCTCCAAAGTATCTGGGACTACAGGCACACACCATCATGCCTGGCTAATTTTTTAAAATTTTTTTGTAGAGATGGAGTCTCACTGTGTTTCCCAGGGTGATCTGGAAATCCTGGGCTCAAGTGATCCTCCTGCCTCAGTCTCCCAGAGTGCTGGGATTACAGATGTGAGCAATTGCGCCCAGCTTTTCCAAAATTTCTACAGTAAACGTTTATACTTTAGCAATCAGAGGAAAGTACATTAAATGTCTTTTTAAAAACCCTATACAAATGCTGATTCGATTATTATTAATAAAAGTAACCAAGTCAGAGTCTATTTCAGAAATCTTGATGTAGTACTGGTATTTTACATTTGTGTCACATGGTATGGTTTATAACGTTCATATAAGCTATGAACTAGATTACAGCTGAAGACACGGCAGGACCTTTAGAAGCCAGCTAAAAACAAACCAGCTATAGGGAATGGAGGAGTGGAAAAGCCACATGGAAGACTGGAAAAGTAGTGGTGCCACTGAGCCACTGTTGAAAGTGGAGAAGGTGTGATGAGTTGGTTTGGGAAACGGTGAGGAAGAGGATAAGTTAGGAGCGTGTGTGTGTGTGTGTGTGTGTGTGTGTGTGTGTGTGCGCGCGCGCAAGAGAGGGACCGAGAGAGAGAAAGAGCTAGATTACGCTTCAAGTGGCAATAGGCAAGAAGAATTGTCCAGTGAGCAATTAGAAGATTTCAGAAAAGAACGGAACTGGAGATACCAGTTTGGGATTCTACATTCTTTATTGGGAAGGTGAAGGTTGGAGCCAGGAGGGAGTGAATGTTGAGGCTGAACACTGTCAAAGTCCCCTCTCTATTCTTTCCATGAGTTTATGCTTTGTCTGTCTCTTTTGTGTCTACCAGTGGACTCTTGGCCAGGCTGCAGAATTTCCTGGTTTGTTGAATGACTAGCAAGAGTTTATAGTAATATAACTAGAATATTTTTACAGTTGAGGTATATACTACACTAAGATTATATTCACTTTATTGAATAATATTTTTTCTAGAGTCAAAAAATTATCTATTTTTATTTGCTTAATGATCTATGCATCCCTTGTTTATTTTTTATTTTCAGAGGTGGGCTCAAGTGATCCTCCCGCTTCAGCCCCTCAGTGGCTGGTACTACAGATGTGAACCAGGTCATTTACCAGTGTCTTTTTTTTTTTTCTTGGCAGCATCCCTCCTTAGACTCATCCTCTCTTTGCTCCAAACTCCTCTGCTTAGCCTTGCTTCACAGCTCTTGTCCTAGGATTAGGGACCTAACCACATTCTGGGGATTCTCTTCTTGTTTCTCCTGTGCCAAATCCCCTGCTCTCTGGATCTTATGTTTTTCCATTCTTGGTTTATTCTCTCATTTTGGAGGAGTATGTTCTCCACTAACTCCCCAGAAGGGGTTCATGGAAGCTAAATTTTTGAGTCCTTGCTTGTCTAAAAATGGCTTTATTTTCTTTCATCCTTGAGTGACAGATTTCCACATTGGAAATTATTTTCCCTCAGAAGTTTAACGGCATTGATTCATTGTCATCTAGCTTCTCATGTGGCTACTCTTGAGGAGACTGATTTATTCTGACTTGTGTTACTTCCCATATATTTTGTTTGTTAATTTGTTAATTTGTTTAGGATATTTTTCTCCTTTATCCTTGATGTTCTGAACGTTCATAACAAACTGTCCTTTAAGTATTTTTCATTCATTATGCTAAGCACTCGGTGGCCCCTTTCAATTGGGAAACAAAGTCTTCAATTCTGGGAAACGTTCTCTGTGATCAGTTTCTCTTTTTTTTTTTTTTTTTTTAACAAATAGAGACAGGGTCTCCCTATGTTGGCCAGGCTAGTCTTGAACTCCTGGCTTCAAGTGATCCTCCTGCCTCAGCCTCCCAAAGTACTCAGATTACAGGCATGAGCTGCTGCACCCAGCCAGTTTCCCTGTTTTTAAATTTTTCTTCATGTTCCATTTCCTGGTTTTGTTTATTCTAATTTACAAGAGATTTTCCTGAGCTGTATCCCCTGGTTCTTCTATTGAATTTTTTCATTTCTGCTACAAAAATGTTAATTTCCAAGAGTTTTTGTTTGATCCCCGACTTTCCTTTTTGGTAGCCTCTTGCTCTTATGTTGTGGATTCAGGATCTTCTCTTATTTCATATTTCTGAGGATTCCAGTTGTAATTTTCTGCTGTTTTCTTCTGCTTCCTAGATTGTCTCTGTTGTTTATTTTGGTCTCTGGCTTTCAAGTTGGAGCTTATCCTCAGACAATAACAGCTACCATTGAGTATCAGCCCCTATTTTAAGTATTTTGCATGTTTTAGCTAATTTAATCCTTACAACAACCCCGGGAGGTAGAGCCAGGCCCTGGTCCCTCCCATCCCAAGCCTGGAAGGTTCTCAGTTGAGAATCAGCTTTCTTCTTGCTGATGTCAAGGGTTGATGTCAGGAACCCTTTATCTGATGTTTCCCCCAATCCTGCCTCCCTCTGCAGGCACCTGGGTTAGAGTTCAGTTTTTCCTAGCTCTATTACTAGTGAGCCCTCTGCTTTCCTTCATTAAAGAAATGTATTGACATCTCTATTGCACAGTTACTTACTGTCCTGTTCTCTTTGTCCTTATAGGCTTTTCCTTTTGCACTCCAAGATTGTCATTTTAGATCATTTTGGGAGGTAACAGAGATAAGCATTTGTGTTCAATGAGACATGTTTATTTAACTGGAAATCTAGAGCTCCCTCTTTTTAAGTCAGGAAGCATATAGACCAAAAAAATTACAGTGATTATTACTGGATTCTGAGATTACGATTATGAGTGATATCTTTATCTATGTCTGTATCTGTTTTTCTCACTCATAGAGTTAGAAGTCTAAAAAGAACATTTCAGATAAGAAACTCATTTTATGATGTGATTTAGACTATCTGATAAAATGCTTCTGGAGAAAGCAGTAAAAATATTAATTATGACAAGTTATAAATTGGTACAATTACTTTGGAAAACAATTTAGTATCATCTATAACCTGGCAATACTACTTCTAGGTATATATTCTGAGAAACGCTTTACATTTAAAAATTATTGAGGACCTCAGGGAGCTTCAGTTTATATGAGTTATATTTTTTGAAATTTTCCATATTAAAAATTAAAACTGACTGGGTGTGGTGGTTCATGCCTGTAATCCAGCATTTTGGGAGGCCAAGGTGCGAGGATCACTTTAGGCCAGGAGTTTGAGACCAGCCTGGGCAACGTAGTAAGACCCCATCTCTACAAAAAAATTTTTAAAAATAGCTGGGCTTGGTGGCATGCACCTGTAGTCCTAGCTACTAGGGAGACTGAGGCAAGAGGATCACTTGAGCCTAGGAGTTCAAGGCTGCAGTGAGCTATGATTGTGCCTTTGCACTCCAGCCTGGGCAACAGAGCTAGACCCTAGCTCTAAAAAAAAAAAAAAAGAAAACTAAGAAAAATTAAATATAATTACTACTTTTAAAAATAAAAATAATAAATTATATAACAACAAAACATATATTTATGAAAAGCAACTTTTTTGAAACAAAAATATTACTGAGTAGCACTGCTTTATATTTATATAAATCCTTTTTAAAAAATTAATTTTTTTTTTTTTAAGATGGAGTCTCACTCTCTCGCCCAGGCTGGAGTGTGGTGGTGTGATCTCAGCTCACTGCAACCTCCACCTCCCAGCTTCAAGCAATTCTTGTGCCTCAGCCTCCTGAGTAGCTGGGATTATAAGCGTGTGCCACCACGCCTGGGTAATTTTTGTATTTTTAGTAGAGACAGGATTTCGCAATGTTGGCCAGGATGGTCTTGAACTCCTGAACTCAGGTGACCCGCCTGGCTCAGCCTCCCAAAGTGCTGGGATTACAGGCGTGAGCCACTGCACCCAGCCCTAATTAATTTTTAATTGACACATATGGTACATATTTATGGGGTACAGAGTAATATTTTGATACATACAATGTGTAGTGATCAGATCAGGGTAATTGGCATATTCATCTCAAACATTTATCATTTCTGTGTTTTGGGGACATTCAGTATCCTTTCTTCTTTATTTGAAACTACATAATATATTATTGTTAACTATGGTCATCCTACAGTGCTATAAAACAGTAGAAGTTGTTCCTCCTACCTAGCTGTAATTTTGTGTTATTGAACAAATCTCTCCCTATCCTCCCCTTCCCTCTCCAGCCTCTAGTAACCTCTGTTCTGCTTTTCACTTCTATGAGATTAACTTTTTCTTTTTTTTTAACATCTAACTATGAGTGAGAACATGTGGTGTTTAACTTTCTGTGCCTGACTTATTTCATATAACGTAATGTTTTCTAGTTCCATCCATGTCACTTTGAATGATGGGATTTTATTCTTTTTAATGGCTATAAATATTTTAGATGTCTGGCTTAATAGAAGACAGCTGTATTCTCAAGCCAGCTATATCTTTCAATCTGCTGCAGTATGTTTTGTGGTTGAAGTGTATGCAATTGGAAAAGGAGCATTTCAGTAGCTTTTTCAGATAATCGTGGATATTCTTTGATAAGACACCAAAACTCAGCAAGTGGTAGTTTTTTAAAGCTTAGTTGTGACATGAAATCTGAAACCATAGCAATGACCTTTTTATACTCTATTACAGCAACACTCACAGTTTTTTCTTGCATTTTAAATGAATGTTTTACCCATGCAGGGTTTTGTCAACACACCCATTGGTCATTTGGAAATTGCTGAGTCACTGAGTTTTACAGATCTTCTAAATGTTGACACATTTCATTATACAACATCAAAAAATCACATTTATTAATATCAATGCCAATCTCATCAGAAAAGTCTTTTGCTATTGTGAGGGTATCAAGCAGCAGATAAAAATTTTCCAAAATTCTAATTTTTGCTCAAAAGATTGAATGTTCTCATTGACAACAAACACTGTCAGTTGCTTTTCCTGAAGTGACAGGTGCACTTTATTCATTTTGGAGAAAATGCCTGCCAAATACCCAAGTCTGAATAATTATACTTTGTCTTTCAGCTGTACTTTCAGGTAAGAATGGTGCTCCATGAGTCAAGCGATTACTTCAGCTCACAACTCAATCACTTAAGGTTTTTTCCTCGATAAAGTCATCATACTTTGATATGCAGCGTAACTGTTTATGCATCCTTCCCATTTTGTCACACAAACTATTAAAAAGATGTGTATCTAAGAGTTGAAATTTAATAAAATTTGTAACTTCTACTACAGTTTGGTGCCACTTCCTGATTTGTGCTAGCTGTTTTACCCACTATTGCTTTTGCAGTGTCCTTGAAAATGTCAATACCGTGAAAAAGGCAAATAACGTCTTTATTATGATGAATGTAGTTTTAACCTGGATGATAGGGCCTCAGGGACTTCAAGTGTTTGTGGACCACACATTAAGAACTGGTGCTCTAGAGAAATTCTTGCACATGTGAGCAGGAAATACCTATCAAGAATGTTCAGGGCACGAGGCCGGGCGCGGTGGCTCACGCCTGTAATCCCAGCACTTTGGGAGGCCGAGGCGGGCGGATCACAAGGTCAGGAGATCAAGACCATCCTGGCTAACACGGTGAAACCCCGTCTCTACTAAAAATACAAAAAAAAAAATAGCTGGGCGTGGTGGCGGGCGTCTGTAGTCCCAGCTACTCCGGAGGCTGAGGCAGGAGAATGGCATGAGCCCAGGAGGCGGAGCTTGCAGTGAGCCGAGATCGTACCACTGCACTCCAGCCTGGGCGACGGAGCGAGACTCTGTCTCAAAAAAAAAAAAAGAATGTTCAGGACAGTATTATTTATAAAAGCTAAAGCCCAGAAACAACCCACATTTCTATCATTAAGGGACGAGAGAAACTGTTGGTAGATTTATATAATGGTCTACTATATAGCAGTGAATGAATATCCTAGTGCTCTGTGAAACAACCTGGATTAATTTCAGTGTCTTAATTTGTACACCCCCAGAACAGAGTGTGAGGTGTGAGACAAGTACTTCAGTTCAAGAGTGTATTTAGGAGGTAATCCCAGGAAGCAGAAATGGGAATGAGCAAAAAAGGAAGAAAAGTCAATAAAAGGTGCAGTACGGAGCTACTTACCACTATGAACCACCGTGCTCACTCCCATTGGGAACACTCAGAGGAATCATGTCGAATACAGCTCAGAGCTGAAGGTGCAAGCCTGGAGCATTTTGTCTTGACTCCTCTCACTGTTGTTTATGTCTCCGAGGTGTTAGCTTTGGTGAACTTCTGGGCTGCACAGCCTTCCAAGGCTTTGTAGAAAGCCCCAAGACAGGCAAGCAGAAAAATGCCATGGCCTATGAGGTGACATGCTAGCAGCTTGCCTGCAAGTCTCAGCTACACCAAAATTGGGTGGGCTGAGGGGACATGGTGTGGGCCACCACAGATGTCTGCTAGACTCAGAAGCTAATGTTGAATAAAAAAAGGGAATAATTGGGAATTATGTACAATGGGCTCCATCTTTATAAAGTTCAAAGGACATAAAAATGTGTAATGTATTGTTAATGATATAATTATGGAGATTATGAACATACAGCTAAGGATATTATGAAAGCAAGACAGGCGGGAAGCGTTTATCACATGTTGGAAAACAGCAAGCTTGCTTATCAGAAGGCACATGTCAGGGTGTAGCTGGAGATAAAGATAGTGAGTTAAAGAAGGTGGTTAATTGGTGGATGTCTTTGAAACCAATCTTCCAATTTACTCTGATTTGAAAAGTAAAGGGGGAAGGTTTTCAGAAAGAATGTGATAGGATCAAAACGCATCAGAGGGAATTACTATTGGCAGCATTGGAGGAAAAGGGAGTGGAGGGGCAAACGTGCCTCCTACCCGGTCAGTCATACTCAGTGGTTCCCTCATTTTTGGGAGCCTCCTCTTTGCTCTGTTCTTTTATCAGGGGCATACAGACAGGGTGTGGCTTGCTGGTTTACAGGGACAGCGAGAAGGGAGTTCTGTGGGGGCAGAGAGAGCCCTGGCCTCTCATATTTCATAAAATATGAACTTTTCCCGGCCCACATCCCTAGGCCTTCCTGATGCGCTTGCCTGCTCCCTGGTCTCTCTGCATGGGGAAGGAGTGTTCCCAGCTTGCAAACTCCAGCTTTGCCTGTGAGAGGAACAAGCGTCCCTGATCCAGAAGGTGGTGAGTCCTCCTCTCTCTCTTCATGCTTTTTAGTCCTTTAACTTTCTCAGGATCCTCAGGTTTAGTAGAGAAATAATCCCCTTTCTCCTTACGCACAAGAACATTTTCAAGGGTGAAATGGGGCAGTTGTTAGCTATCACTAAAGAAACACAAAAGGAGACAAGTGACAAGATTGCTGGATGGGTTTTGTTGAAGTACTCTTATTTAAGTAGTATTGTCATCATTATTAAATTAAAGCCAACATTTATTTAGCTCTTACTATTTGCTGGACGCTGTGCTGTGTGCTTTTAGACTGATCAATTGCAGATTTGCAGGGTCATATTAAACTGCTTGGGACTGTCAAGAGAACATCTGTTACAATCTTTTTTCTGATTTAGAAGTTTTAAAAATTAAACTGTTTCAAACTTAAAATGTAAATAACTGCCATGTTTCCAACATGTGTAGTGGAAAAAAATGGTTAGTATATGCAGAATTTTGCAAACCATTAAGAAATAAATGTCCCAATAGATAAACGAGCAAATTACATAGACAGGTAATTGACAAAGTCCAAATAACCAGTGAGTAATCAAAGAAATACAAATTGAAATGAATCACCATCAAACAAAAAAAAAGGGATGGCATTTTGTTACTCATGAAATTGGCAAATTTTTTTTTAAATGATAATATCCAGTGATGGTAAGGTTGTGGGAAAACAAGAAATTTCATAGGATACTTTGGTAAGTTGATATGACTTTCTGGAGGGCAATTTGTCAGTGCAGATGAAAAGTCTTCCCATTTTAAAGATGGGAAACTTAAGGCCTAAGAATCTAAGTGACTTGCTTAAAGTTACAAAGTCATGGCTGGGCGCAGTGGCTCACACCTGTAATCCCAACACTTTGGGGGGCCGAGGAGGGCAGATCATGAGGTCAGGAGTTCGAGACCATCCTGGCCAACATGGTGAAACTCCGTCTCTACTAAAAATACAAAAATTAGCTGGGCATGGTGGTGTGCGCCTGTAGTCCCAGGTACTCAGGAGGCTGAGGCAGGAGAATTGCTTGAACCTGGGAGGCAGAGGTTGCAGTGATCTGAGATCATGCCACTGCACTCCAGCTTGGCGGCAGAGTGAAACTCTGTCTCAAAAAAAAAAAAAAAAGTTACAAAATCACAGAGCAGTAAGGGACCAAGCCAAGACTAGGACTAAGCCATCTGATTCTAGCCCTCAATCCACTGTCACTTATAGCAATGTTTATAATAGCGATGTATTGGAAAACAACCTAAATGTCCTCAATATAGAATTATTTTAAAGCTTTTACATCTTATATCCTAACTTCTAAAATTCTATGTCCATGATGGAATCCTAAAGTCATGTAAAGAAGATTTGATTGCCTTGGGAAATGCACATAATGTAGCACTTGGTGAAAATATCAGGTATCAAAACAGTATATAAAGTATTTATTTACTTATTTATTTAAGACAGGGTCTTGCTCTGTCATCCAGACTGGAGTGCAGGGGCGTGATCATGGCTCACTGCAGCCTTAACCTCCTGGGCTCAGGTAATCCTCCTACCTCAGCCTCCCAAGTAGCTGGGACCACAGGCACATACCACCACAGCCAGTTGATTTATTTTTATATTTTTTTGTAGCAACAGGGATTTGCCATGTTGCCCAGGCTGGTCTCAAACTCCTGGGCTCAAGCAATCTTCCCACCTCTACCTCAAAGTGCTGGGATTACAGGCGTGAGCCACTGTGCCCAGTCATGGTTTTTGTTTGTTTGTTTTACAAAAAGTTATGTACATGCATAGAAAGAATATTTATAGAAACATTATCTTTGGGTGGAGGAATTACAGATGATTTGACATTTTTGTCCTTGTTTTGGATCATTTCCAGATTTTCCTACAATAAGTAAGACAGAAAAAGCCCCAAACTGTGGCATATACATTGAACTTTAGGAAGTGAAATCATATTTTATATTTGTTGGGGAAAATTTCTTTGTAAAGGAGTTCCATGATAATCACTCAGTAAAGTGTGGTGGTCATTTGCTCATTTTATAACTCATGATACAGGGCTATATAGGCATGCATTCATTCATCTGTTTATCCATGTTTTACATTCTATCTGCTTCCAGAAAGGATCCCGGCAATTCACTTGCATGGTACCCTGAAGTGTGTATGATTGCCTTTCCTGTTCTAAGTGTAAAAGAGAATAATACCTACTTTTCAGAGATGTTGTCAGTACTGAAGACAATATATATGGAGAAACAACAAATGCAATAAATAAGAACTATTATTGATTTAGAGCAATATCATAATTAGAAACATATTTATGATTTAGTGTTACTTCACAGCCATTAATAGGATGTTGACTACTATAATATTGATATGTTACATGTTAGAAGAGATGGAGGAAGGGGCCATCCTGGCAAACTAGATTAGAAGAATAAATCCTGGAGGTCAGTATGGTGACCAGATGGTTCTTACATCTGTGTAAGAAAATATGAAAAAAAGGACCTGGTAGCACTTCTTACATGGAGTGACAATCTAACAGAAGGACTTCATTTGCTTTTTATTTCCAGCATCTGGTGCAAATCATTTTACATGTATTTTCTTTGATCCTTACTATAACCCTATCTATGAGGTAGGTACTATTATTAACTTCATTTCATGTGTGAGCAAGAGGAGGTTTGGAGAAGTAAACTAACCTGTCTAAGGCCACCAGTTAGGAAATGGCAGAGCCAGGACTTGAACCCAGGCTGACTCTAGAGCTCATTCTTTTTTTAAAAAAATTTTTTTTTTTTTTTGAGACAAGGTCTTGCTTTGTTACCCAGGTTGGAGTGCAGTGGTGCAATCACAGTTCACTGCAGCCTCAACCTCCCAGGCTCAAGAAATCCTCCCACCTCAACCTCCTGAGTAGCTAGGACTACAGGTGCGTGCCACCATGCCAAGCTAATTTTCTTTTATTTTTTGTAGAGATGGAGTCTCACTATGTTGCCCAGGCTAGTCTCTAACTCCTGAGCTCAAGTGATCCTCCTGCCTTGGCCTCCCGAAAGTGCAGGGTTATAGGCATGAGCTACCATGCCCAGCCTAGAGCTCACCCTCTTAACCACTTCATAGATTGTCTGAATCTTGGAATATGGGTCCATAGAGGTCTCCTTCTATTTGATTTCAGGCAGCCTTGGGTTAGCTTGGAGCTCTGGGTCACTCTGAGCATGTCTACCCAGGGTGTGCTTCAGAGTCACTAGAAAGTTGAGGGGTTTTGGGATTAGGGATAACGCCAGGGAATCCTGGGCCCTACTTCCACCTTCAACCATAATTGATAAAATAGAGAGCTTTTCTCATTTACTTAACTTCTCTTGTCCAGTTTTTGAGTAGCTAGTAACCTATAGGAAAGTGGGTGGGACAGTCACAAAAAAATGTGTCCTAATGTGATCCTAACCTCACTATGACCTAGTGCTATGTTGTCATTTGCTTAGAGGGGTATGTTGTATAAAATATGATTTAAAGAAAAACAAGAACAACCCTAAACCAGTGTGCTTTTTGCCATGAGAAAACAGAATTGGGTGTTTAAAATGAGAATGTGTTCAACGCTAGCTTCATCTTCAGTTTCCCAGTCTCCCTTTGACACCCCCTCCGTGTGTCATGACCTTTTCCATGACCTTCAGGGACTGGGCCTTCTGACTTATACAAAAGCCTCCTCTTTGGAAAGGATTTGAACCTTGGAGAGAATTTAAGAGATGAGTTGCCTTTTCCTAGAGCATTTACATTTTAAACTTTATGCTCACTTGTGGCATGAGAGATTCTGTTTCCTGCTAAAGCAATTTCAGGCAGTAGCAAATAGGTGGGGAAAGAGCTTTACAGGAGGAAATCCTTTAGGGTCTCCCTGTGATTCATGCACACGGTCATCTGGACCTGCTAGGGATAATTTTCCTCACTTGGTTAGTAATAATAACAACAACTACACACTTATGAGCAGTTGTTCTGCCAGGCATTTGTGGCCAGTGCTTGGCAGGCAGTATCTTTTTGAACCCTCACACTCATCTGTGAGGACAGTTTCCCTTCATAGATTAAGAACCCGAGGTCCAGAGATGTTATGCAACCTTCCTAGGGACACAGAGCTAGTAATAGGTAGAGCTAAGATTTGAACCCAGGTCTTTCCAGCGCCAGACCCTGAATTTGTAGGATTAGTGCCTTCAGGATGACATGGAGGGACCTCACTGCCTTGATCTGTTATTTATCAAGAGTCAAACTGGAAAAGGCTGTCAGGGAAACCTCCAGGCTGCATCTTGGGCAAAGATTGGCTTGAAACAGGCATTTCCCAAGCCTGGCCTTGGACACCAACTGTAAAAAAAAGGCCATTACTGGTGTTTCCTTGGTTAGTTCTGGGTATAAGTTCTGGATCCTCACTCATCTCATCTGCACTGACATCCTCACTCACGGCATTTAGAGACTTAACACGCCAGCCTCTGTGTGAGCATTTACCTCTTTCAACCCTCACCATAATCCCACAAGGAGGCACAGTTCTTTTACCCATTTTGAAGATGAAGAAACACAGTCTCAGAGAAGTTCGGTCACAGTATCACAAGGAGGTAAGTAGCAGAGCTGGGATTGGAGCCCCGGCCTTTGTGATCCCAGAGCACCAGCAATACCGTCTCGGCCTCGGCTCCTGGGTTATACCCTCTGTCACGCCAAGCCCATCAGCCCGCTTGTGCTGTCTCCCTCTGTCTGTCCTAGTTCGGATGGAGATGGCGAGTTCTGCTGGCTCCTGGCTCTCTGGCTGCCTCATCCCTCTCGTCTTCCTCCGGCTGTCTGTGCATGTGTCAGGTAGGAGTTTCTGATCCTCTTTCCCTGCCTGGTACATGTGATATTGGCGTCCCCAGAATAAGGAAGCTTGGCTGGAAACATTATGTCTTTTGGGGTTCTGTTCCCCCGGCCCTGGCAATCCTTTCCAGAGTCCTTCCTGGGCTCTGTCCGTCCCCGGGATATCCTCTTCCTCATCCCTTCCCAAGCTTTCTCCTGCCGTCCCTCCCAGTTGGCCTTGTCTCTTTTTTTGTCCAGGCCACGCAGGGGATGCCGGCAAGTTCCACGTGGCCCTACTAGGGGGCACAGCCGAGCTGCTCTGCCCTCTCTCCCTCTGGCCCGGGACGGTACCCAAGGAGGTGAGGTGGCTGCGGTCCCCATTCCCGCAGCGCTCCCAGGCTGTTCACATATTCCGGGATGGGAAGGACCAGGATGAAGATCTGATGCCGGAATATAAGGGGAGGACGGTGCTAGTGAGAGATGCCCAAGAGGGAAGTGTCACTCTGCAGATCCTTGACGTGCGCCTTGAGGACCAAGGGTCTTACCGATGTCTGATCCAAGTTGGAAATCTGAGTAAAGAGGACACCGTGATCCTGCAGGTTGCAGGTTAGAATGGGTTTGAGGTGCCCAGGGTCATTTGTGGCAATTGGACAAGCTTAATCAGGACCTACTTTGTCTCTCCATGTCTAGACTTTTCTTTCATCTGCAGTGTAGTTTTTACTTGCCAGGATGGCTCAGCCTTACCCAGCCATGTCCATTGATCTCAGCTGAGGCTGTGAAGCTGGCCTAGGCATTTCTGATAAGGAAGGAACTCAGACTTTGGAAAACACTGTACAATGCAGGTCCTGGTTAAATAGGGCTTGGAGGCTCAGATAATAGCTTTTCCTCCCTGGGTCATCTTTCTATGCTCCATTATCAAGGAACTCATTACATGGCTGTAAAGAAATGTCTTCAAGGGACAGATCCCCTGCTGTGACAGGATTTACTTAATGGGTCCTCTCCTGGGGTTCCTGAGAAAGTAAAGGGTTAGGAAGGGAGAGATAGTGTTTTTTTTTTTTTTTTTCTCTTTTTTTTTTTTTTTTTTTTTGTTTTGAGATAGGGCCTTGCTCTGTTGCCCAGGCTGGAGTGCAGTAGTGCAATCATAGCTCACTGTAGCCTTGACCACCTGGGCTCAAGTAATCCTGCCACCTCAGCCTCCCAAGTAGCTGGGACTACACATACACTACCATGTCTGGTTAATTTTTTTTTTTACTTTTAGTAGAGACAGGGTCTCCCTATGTTTCCTAGACTGGTTTCCAATCCAGCAATCCTCCCCGCTTGGCCTCCCAAAGTATTGGCATTACAGGTGTGAGCCACTGCACCCAGTTGAGAGTGTTCTCAAACTAGCTTCAATATTTAAAAAAAACAGTTTACTGAAAATCAGTCCACAAAAATCAGTCTACTAATATTTTAAAAAATCAGTCTACCAAACCAAACCCAACTCAACCCAACCCAAACCATGTCTTTGCATTTGCTTGAATGACACTGGCTTCACATGGTCACATGCTGATTATCTTTTGGTCATAATTTGAAGTCACACACCATGAAGTGGGGATGAATCAATTACTTTAAAACACTCAGTAGTTGGTAGACAGACTTTCCAAATTGGAGTCCTTTGGGGTGAAAATTAATTTTTTTTTTTTTTTTTTTTTTTTTTTTTGAGATGGAGTGTTGCTCTTGTTGCCCAGGCTGGAGTGCATTGGTGCAATCTTGGCTCACTGCAACTTCGCCTCCTGGGTTCAGGTGATTCTCCTGCCTCAGCCTCCTGAGTTAGCTGGGATTACTGGTGCCCGCCACCATGGCCAACTAATTTTTTTTTCTTTTTTCTTTTTTTTGGAGATGGAGTTTCACTCTTGTTGCCCAGGCTGGAGTGCAATGATGCTATCTGGGCTCACCACAACCTCCGCCTCCCAGGTTCAAGTGATTCTCCTGCCTCAGCCTCCCGAGTAGCTGGATTACAGGCATGTGCCACCACGCCCGGCTAATTTTTGTATTTTTAGTAGAGACGGGGTTTCTTCATGTTGGTCAGGCTGATCTCAATCTCCCGACCTCAGGTGATCCTCCCACCTCAGCCTCCCAAAGTGCTGGAATTACAGGCATGAGCCACCATGCCCAGCTGAAAAGTAATTTTTAAAAGGGGACCGAGGTGCCCACAGGAATCTGAATCATGTGATACAGTTATTGCTATGGGTGAATTTTTAAATGTCTGAGAATAAAGCTAGAGACTGGCTTATCCCATTAGGAGGAGCGTGGGGAGAGAGTGGAGAGAGGACAAGTTCCATTAACAGCTGCCCCTGTTCATCACAGGAGGCTATGGGGGAAGAGGGCCATGGCCAGGACCATACCCTGGCAGAGGCCCTGCTGGTGTGCAGATAGGTGGGATGGTTCCCAGAGCCCTGGGCCAAGTGGAGAGAACCTCAAGGCAGGGTACTTCCATCCCTGTCAGAGGCCCACTCTCTGGAAAAAGCTGGGCTCTTCCAAATAGCAGTGTCTAGCAGAGTCAGGGACAGCACACTGGGGAATGTGTCCTGAACCATCCACAACATGGCCCTTGGCCAAGAGAAGACCACAGCTGTGGTCATAACAAGTAAAAGCTGGGGTGGAAACAGGTTTGAAGGCGCTGGTGGTTCCTGAGGAAATTCCTACCCTAGCAGGAACTTTTTGAGGAATTTTCAATTTTTTTAAATTCTAAGAATAAAGCATATATATTGTAGAAAATTTGAAAAAAATCCAAAATATTTAAAGGAAACTGAAAAATGGCCTATAATAGCTTAAATTAGAGAGAACTGCTGCTAACATTTTTGTATCTTTCTTGCAAGACTTTTTTGTATATATGTATCTCTGAGCATGTATGTTTACACATGTGTATTCTTGTGCCCAGGATATTTTTCCACTTATGATATCATGAGCATTTGTTTTCTTTGCCCATGTCCCTAAGTAATATGATTTTAAGGGCTGCATAGTATTTTGCCATGTGGCTATAGAATAATAAAATTAATCAAAGCCCTGTTTCTGGGCATCTGGATGCTTTCCAAATTTTCCTCATATTATAATGAAGGGTGCAATGAACATCTTTGAACGTATTTTGGAAAGTGATTTTGATTTTTTTTTTAATAATGTACTTCTGGCAGTAGAATTAATGGGTCCAAGGGTTCAAACCTTTTACTTATTTTTTCTTTTTTATTTATAATAAAGATGAGCTCTCACCATGCTGCCCAGGCTGGTCTGAAACTCCTGAGCTGTAGTGATACTCCTGCTTCAGCCTCCCAAAGTGCTAGGATTACAGGTGTGAGTCACCACACCTGGCCTGAACCTTTTAATGATCCTTGAAACGAACTGGAGACCAGCCTGGCCAACATGGCAAAACCTTGTCTCTACCAAAAAAATACAAAAACTAGCCAGGCATGGTGGCATGTGCCTGTAATCCCGGCTACTTAGGAGACTGAATGCTTTATATGACTGACCTCTTTAAATCTCTCCAAACCTCAAAGAGATAAGGAGTCCTGTCATGCACACATTTTACAGATGAGGGACAATGGGCTGGGAGGTGCTCAGTCTCCTGCTTTGGGTCACACAGCATTGAGCAAGGACATACTCCCAGCTTAGGCTCTTAACTACTTCTACCCATAGCCCGCTTCTGCTCGTTTCCTCTCCTCTATTTCCTCTTTCTTTTCCCCTTTCTCTCCTGCCTAGGCTTCAGGCCTACTGCTGCGGCATCATAGAAATTGCTTTGCCCCCGTGGACAGTGCTCAGGGCAAAGAGGTTGCTGCCTGCTCTTCTAGAGCAGAGTGAGGATTGACAGGGGTAAACAGGCAGGTGCTCCTGGGAAGACTGGAGGTGTGTAGTGAGGAGAGTGCCTTCAGTCCTCTGAAGTCCCGGGCTTATTTTTCCATTGAATTATAGGGCAGGATGAGATTGTGGTCAAGAAGTTTGTTTAAGTCATCATCTTGAGGCAGGACCATCCAAACCATTCCCGAGAGAGGAACATCTCAGTTTTTGTTTGTTTGTTTGTTTGTTTGTTTTTGAGATGGAGTTTCACTCTTGTCACCCAGGCTGGAGTACAATGGTGTGACCTTGGCTCACTGCAACCTCTGCCTCCCGGGTTCAAGGGATTCTCCTGCCTCAGCCTCCTGAAGAGCTGGGATTACAGGTGCCCGCCACCACACCTGGCTAATTTTTGTATTTTTAGTAGACACGGAGTTTCCCCACATTGGCCAGCTGGTCTTGAACTCCTGATCTCAGATGATCCTCCTGCCTCTGCCTCCCAAAGTGCTGGTATTACAGGCGTGAGCCACCGTTCCCAGCCTCAGTTATCTTTAATGCTATCCAGGGCTTGAGTTATCAGAGAAGCAAAGAGCCTCTTGGCCGGAGCTCTCTCCCTAGAGGTGATGGAGAGTGTTGGGATGTGCTGGAGCCGCCTGCCATCTGAGGCATGCCAGAAGCTCTTAGACATCTCCCTGAGGTCAGTCGTTGGTGGTTTCTGTTTCAGCCCCATCTGTGGGGAGTCTCTCCCCCTCAGCAGTGGCTCTGGCTGTGATCCTGCCTGTCCTGGTACTTCTCATCATGGTGTGCCTTTGCCTTATCTGGAAGCAAAGAAGAGCAAAAGGTAATTAAATGGTAAGGGAGCTCAGGCTGGTGGGAAGTGGGACTATGACTGCTCTGGGAAAGGGCCAGACGGAAGTAGATGTAGACCTGACACTTCTCCATAGGTTGGGGACACTGCAAGTTGGCTGGGAGAAAACTGGTAGAGCCATGCCCTGGGGACACACATTGCAAAGGGAGTTCAATAAACTGCAGAAAGGCCCCTGGGCAGAGCTGTAAATTCTCATCCTTTGAAAAATAAGAAAATAACCGACTATGCCAGCCTTCTAATTAACTAAGAAATGAATTACAGCCCTTTAATAAAGAAATCCAATTATATCCATTGGATAAGACTCTCATAAAAAATGGTCACATTTCACAGGATCTCAGGGCTGCAAGGGACTTTGAAAGTCACAGTCATGTAATCCAACACTCCTGCCCTTATCTGATGGTTTGAAGACTCTCTAATCCTTTCAAATGCCCGCTTACCTGTAGTGACAAGGAGTCAGTCCTACTCAGGCAGCTGGGGGCATCTTGGGACACTTGTGCCTGTTAGAAAAAGCCCTTCCTAAGCTGAGCTGGCATTTCTCTCTCCCTTTTAGAAAAGCTTCTCTATGAACATGTGACGGAGGTGGGTAAGTGTTCTTGGCTGGGGGGCAGGGGAGATGTTTCTTTTGTTGTTAATTTCTGTGCCCCCCATACCCACTAACCTGGATTCTGTTCCTGAAAATTCCATTATCTGCTATCCTTGGTGATGGTGGCAATGTCTAAATCCGTTGCTTCCAGTTTTTACTGCCTCTTACTTGTAATAGCTTTGCCTTCCTGTATGTTTAATGATTTTTGCCTGTGAGCTCATTGCTTGATCTTATTCTATGGGAGTCGAGTAGCTTGAACATGGGGGAAGCTTTTATTTGTTCAACAAATACTTGATAATTATCTACAAAATGCCCTGGACAATACTAGATTCTGGGGATGCAATAGTGAGTAAAAGCAGACACAGTTTTTGCCCTCCTGGAACTTTCAGTGTAGTCAGGGAAATGAGATGAATTAAATAGTTAACACAAATAAATGTGTACAAAAGCTACACAAGAAAGCTCCTGGTTCTGTGAAGGCTATGACCAGAATGAACCAACCAAGCTTGAGGGTTGAGGGTATGAAGTTTGTCCTGAAGGACTAGAAGTCATGAGTGAAGAGGGAATGGAAAACCAGCCACCGCAGAAAGAACAGCTTCAGAGAGAAGCATGGTCGGGGAAAGCAGCACTCACTGGGGAGTTGAGGAGGTGCAGGAGTGAGGGGAAAAGTGGCAGGGGTGAGGCTGGGGAGTGAGGCGGAGCTGAGCCTCCTGAGGCCTGGTGGGTCACATTCAGGATTTTAGTCATTCTCGTAAGAGCAGTGGTAAAGCAAGGAATGGGGATATCAGATGTAATTGTGCTTTGAAAAACTTGGCCGGGCATGGTGGCTCACGCCTGTAATCCTAGCACTTTGGGAGGCTGAAGAGGGTGGATCACCTGAGGTCGGGAGTTCAAGCCCAGCCTGATTAACATGGCGAAACCCTGTCTCTACTAAAAATACAAAAATTAGTGGAGCATGGTGGTGCGTGCCTGTAATCCCAGCTACTCAGGAGACAGACAGGAGAATTGCTTGAACCCCGGAGACAGAGGTTGCAGTGAGTCAAGATCGTGCCACTGCAATCCAGCCAGGGTGGCAGATTTTTAAAAAAAATCTGCAGTGAGTCAAGATCATGCCACTGCAATCCAGCCAGGGTGGCAGATTTAAAAAAAAAAAAAAAACTAAACAATTCTCTCAGGCTGCAGAGTTTAGTAGAGACCAGAGGGATTAAGACAGGATGTGGGAGACAATTTGGGCTGCCATTTCTGTTGTCCAGGTGAGAGTTGATTAGAGACCGGATCAGGGAGGTGGAGGTGAAGATAGAGGTGGACAGGTCCAAGGGCAGGTAAAATCAATAGGAATCAGGGATCCTCAAGGCAGTGGCAAAAAATCTCATTATCTTTTCCTTTCTTCCTCTAGACAATCTTCTTTCAGACCATGCTAAAGAAAAAGGTAATGATATAAAAGAGTAAGGGGTAGGGAACAAAAAACACATTCTTTATTTTTCTATGTAAATGTTGACAGTCATTATTATAAGTCTATTTTTATAATACTGTACACACATGCACACATATATCCTCCATTGATATTACTGGAATTTAGTGTGCAATGTTAAGGGGCTGTGGAGCTTGTGGCAGTGGGTAAGGAGGTGCCCAGGTCAAAATTCACAGGCCTAGATTACCATAAACTCCCTTCATTAGCCTTTCCGCCAACCATTTTAAAAAGAAGTCTACATATTATTGAAAAGTATATTAATGTGGTCATATGGGATATATGGGAATTTCAAGAATCCACACAACCTTTGCATAGAGAGAGGTGGTATGATACAAAGGAAGGGTCGCAGGCTCTGGGGTCAGTGACACCTCAGATCATTGGTCTGCCACTTAGGTTTTGGTTTCCTCATCAGCAAAATGCAGATAACTTCCCCTTACCTGATTGTTTTCAGTGTTAAAACAGGCAACCTTAAAAAAAAATCTGTCACAGTGCCTGGAACTCCTTTTCCTTATTGCCATTTTGTCTTCATTAATTTGACATTTACTGTGGGCCACTGAGTTGGACACCTTGTTGAAGTCTATCTGGGAAGACAAGTCACTGGCTCAGATGACTCCAGATTCAATGATGTCAGCGTCTCCTCTCTTCCCTCCTTACATTTCCTCCAAGCTGGTGCAAGCGTGGCGTGTATCTGGCAGACACTGGCTGTTCTGCTCAAGTGAAGAGGGAACAGTGTGGGGTAAGGGAGAGGGCCTCTAACTCAGGAGTCAGACAGACTTAGATTGAATCCTGCCTCCTTGGTCACTTACTAGCTGGAAGACCTTGGGCAAATTTTGTGTCCCTTTGAGCCTCAGACCACCCCCCTATAAAATGGCAATAATAATTCTAGGCATCTCACATTATTGAGAGGATTCAGTGCCTACTTCAGTATAAGCACAGCAGACAGTAAATGGAAGCTGTTAGTAGTGGAGATGGTAACAATAAACCATAAGCTCCTTAGGAGCCGTGTCGTATTCGGCTGCATTGCTCCAATGCCTAATGCCTAACACATGCCCGGCCCTTAGCACAGGGACTGGTGGTGGACTCAGGATGTGTAACTTCAATTGTCTAGCAGGGCCAATGCTGGGTAGGGGGAAATGTGGGCCACATGGCCCTCCAGAGAAGCTGCAAGTACTCCCCAGAAACACATGTCTCATACACATGTCCCCAAATCTTCTGGGACCTCCAATTTGTGAAATTTATAACCTCAGGGGAGTTACTGTAGAGAATAATACAGCCATATTAACAAGTTCATGCTAGGCCTTTAGCTAGTTTTACACCTTAGATACCATAAACGGTGGGCTATAAAAGGACAGCAGTGCATACACTCATGTACCGCAGTTACAAACATATAGAAACACTCATGCCGACAGCAGAAATGAAACCAGACAGATGAAAAGGAGGGGAAGGGGAAGGAGGAACCAAAGTCCCGGGCAGGCTGGGTCACTGGGACAGTGTCACCAGCACCATCAGATTTCTGGGTCTGAACTCTGGGACACGGAGCTGGACTAGGGACATAGAAGCGTCACCATCATTTTAATCTTGTGGGTTGGAGTGATGAGGCTGCCACAGCTCTGAGGAAAAAGAGGCAGGATCTGATCACTCACTCTTCTCTCTCTTTCTGGTTTTTAGGAAAACTCCATAAAGCTGTCAGTAAGTTTTGCTCCTCATCCATGGCACAAGCTCCTTCTGCTGACACTTTTGCTTTGGGATGAGCATCTCAGTTTCACTTCCTGGGGCAGAAGGGAGGGGGTACTGGTAATTCAAGCCATGGGGACTGGGGCTTTCTTGGCTCTCAAAGGCCTCTTTTCTCAAGTATTCTCTGCTCCTCTTTCCTGCACAACTATTATTTAGTCTTTAAATGAAAAACGTTTCACCAGGAAGAGATAGATGCATCTCCCATAGGTGAAGCCATCTGGAAGTCCCTTTTATCACCCAGGCATGACATTTCCTTAGATGGGGTCCAGGAGGACAGGATCCTTATTAAACTGAATATGCTGGAGCAGTACTTCTCCATCATTTCATGTGTGAGGACCTCTTTTTAACATTAAAAAAAAATCTGGCCAGGTGCAGTGGCTCATGCCTATAATCCCAGCACTTTGGGAGGCCAAGGCAGGTGGATCACTTGAGGACAGGAGTTTGTGACCAGCCTGACAACATGGTGAAACCCCGTCTCTATTAAAAATACAAAATTAGCTGGGTGTGGTGGTGCACGCCTGTAATCCCAGTTACTTGGGAGGCTGGGGCAGGAGAATCGCTTGAACCTGGGAGGCGGAGGTTGCAGTGAGCCGAGATTGCACTATTGTACTCCAGCCTGGGCAAAAAGAGCGAAACTCCATCTCAAAATAAAAATAAAAATAAATCTGTAGACATGTGACATATCTATGCATTAATTATTACATTGAGAAAATATACATGATCACAAAGTCCAATACTCAGTGATAGTTTTAAATGAAGTAATATTTCCTACAACATCTACATAATTTATGTTGTCATTACCTGTAGGTGTGAGATGTGTTATTTATTTAGCCTGCAGATAAGGTTTGGCTCACATAGGAATTTGCTGATCCTCTGCAGTATCTCTGGGGATACTCCCATGGTCCACAGCTGGGATCTACTGCTCTTGCAAACTCTTCTGGGGAAGTTCCAGGGTATAGCTATTGAGTATCTGTCTGCTCATGGTTGGGATGGGACTGTAGCATTATGGGAGGGCCTCTACATAGAGGCCCTCCTTCTGATTTGCCAAATTGTTTTCATTCTTTAGAGAAACTCCGGAGTGAACTGAGTAAGTTTCCCATGTTCTTGTAACTTCCGTACCAACTTATCTCCTGTTGCCCTAATATTTGCAGTGATAGCTCATTCCCCTTGTTTCTTCTTTCATAGAGTTGAAAAGAGCTGCAGCAAACTCAGGTGAGATGCACTTTCTCCACATTTGACCACCACCCTACAGGAGTTCTTGATGTCTCTGGTACTTTAATGATCCCCTTTTCTCATTTTTCAGGCTGGAGAAGAGCCCGGTTGCATTTTGGTAAGTTATACCAATCAAATAGGTCCATATCTCAGAGCACTTCCTCCTTATGGCTTTGTAACCTTAGATTTTGTTCCATTCCTCTGGAATGCAGGTAATTTAAAAATTTTTAAATCAAATCTGTATATCTGACTATCAAATTAAAAAAATCTTTGTGATCGATCTTGAGGTCATATTTAGATTTAGAAAGTATCCCCTCTTTTAGAGCACTGATAATATTAGGTTTGGTCTTCTTAAGGGTTTTCTGTGGTTTTTGAGATTTTTCCTATGTTTATCAGTTATTTGTATTTCTTCTTTGTGTGACTTGTCTGTTCCTGTTCTATTTGGGCTTTTTTTTGATTTGTGAAGACTCTTTCTAGATAAAGTATATTAGCTCTTTGTCATATTTGTCACCATTACTTTTCATTTGTACTTCCTTATAGTATTTTTCTGATGCATAAGTGTTTTATTTTTACGTAGTCAAATTCATTCATCTTTTTCTGTGTAGTCTCTTCCATGCTTTCAGGTTTGGGAAGTCCTTCCTATCCCACAACCAGATAAATAGCCACTGCTTCCGCCTCTTTCTACACATTTGCTTTTTCTTCTTTCTCTGCAGACCAATTTGCTTAGGGGTGGTGATTGAGATTCTCAGAGAAGAAGGGAATGGGTTGAGCAGATGCCCCAACAATATACATTATGAAAAGATTTGCACCTCTCTTTCAATGTATTCCTAAATAGTTTGCATTTTTTGCTGCTGTTCAAATGGGACCTGTTTTTTTCACTGCTTTGGGATCCTTATCAATTTTCTAGGCTTTTATCCTCCTCCTGTTCACACCATCTTCCTTCAGGCAGAGTACAACAAATTATGAGTTGGCCACTCGAGAGAACTCCAGGTCACCTTGGCTGGCATTCTGGGAACTTACAAACCCTTCTGTCTCACATTTACAGTCTGGCTTATTGCCACCATCTCAACTGTGTATGGTTTATAGACTTAACTCTCTAAGAAGAAGCTGTTTCCTGTATTTGGGGAAGGAAGGAGACTCACTGTGACACTCATAATCCACAATTTTAGGGAAGAATCCTTCTCTCTATATTAACATTTAAAAATAATAATTTCGTCCTACGTACTTGGGAGGCTGCAGTGGGAGGTTCACCTGAGGCCAGGAATTCAAGGCTGTAGTGTGTTATGACTGCATGCCCATGAATACCTACTGCATTCCATCCTGGGAAACATAGTGAGACCCTTCCTCAAATAAAATAAAATAAAGCAGATAATTATAAGTAATAATTTTAGGTGACAGAATGAATATCATGCACTCACTGTAGGAATGAGGCACTATATCATTAGTTCATCAAGTCTGCACAATAGCTCTACAACACAGGTTCTGTTACTATTTCCATTTTACAGATGAGGAAACTAAGGTTCAGAGATGAGTAACAAGCCCAAGGTCACATAACTAGCATGTGGCAGAGCTGGGATTCAAACATGCTATGTGGCTACAGGATCTAACAACAAACCCTGTATTTATCATCACACATTTGATTATTTTGGAACATCAAAGACAAATGTGGTGTCTTACTCTGTTTTCTGTTGCTATAACAGAATACCCGAGACTGGGTAATTTATCAAGGAAAAAGGTTTATTTAGCTCATGGTTCTTGGGGCTGGATGGTCCAAGATTGGGCGACTGTATCTGGTGAAGGGCTTGTGCTACTTCATAGTATGGTGATAGTTGCTTCTGGAAGAACAGAAGGGCAAGTGAGTGCCTCCAAAAGCAGAGAGGAGACAAAGTGCCCTGACCTGCTTTATCATAACCTGCTCTCCAGAGAAATAAACCCAGTGTTGTGAAAACTGCATTCATCTCTTTGTGAAGGACCCAAACACTTCCCACTAAGCCCTACCTCTGAACACTGCAGCAATGAGGGATTAAGGTTCCAACACGTGAACTTTTGAGGGACACACTTAAATCATAACAGGTAGTTATTTCCTGAGGATTAAAGCAGTTTCACAGACAGATGAAGAAGAACTTTTTCTTCTATTACTTAGTAATCGACCAGGAGACCTATTCTTTGAAAGAGAATATTCTTTGGTTCCAGTACACATGGTGGGGGCGGGAATCCATGAACTAAAATGGGCTAATGACAGTGATGGCAGACCTAAGATTCTTTTTCCCTCCAAAGCCATCCCCAAATCCCTTAAGACCTATACTTCCAAGCCTCACCTGTCTGTGTCTCTTTGCAGTGGCAGTGACCCTGGACCCAGACACAGCACATCCCAAACTCATCCTTTCTGAGGACCAAAGATGTGTAAGGCTTGGAGACAGACGGCAGCCTGTACCTGACAACCCCCAGAGATTTGATTTCGTTGTCAGCATCCTAGGCTCTGAGTACTTCACGACTGGCTGCCACTACTGGGAGGTGTATGTGGGAGACAAGACCAAATGGATTCTTGGAGTATGTAGTGAGTCAGTGAGCAGGAAGGGGAAGGTTACTGCCTCACCTGCCAATGGACACTGGCTTCTGCGACAGAGTCGTGGGAATGAGTATGAAGCTCTCACATCCCCGCAGACCTCCTTCCGCCTTAAAGAGCCTCCACGGTGTGTGGGGATTTTCCTGGACTATGAAGCAGGAGTCATCTCTTTCTACAATGTGACCAACAAGTCCCACATCTTTACTTTCACCCACAATTTCTCTGGCCCCCTTCGCCCTTTCTTTGAACCTTGCCTTCATGATGGAGGAAAAAACACAGCACCTCTAGTCATTTGTTCAGAACTACACAAATCAGAGGAATCAATTGTCCCCAGGCCAGAAGGGAAAGGCCATGCTAATGGAGATGTGTCCCTCAAGGTGAACTCTTCTTTACTACCCCCGAAGGCCCCAGAGCTGAAGGATATAATCCTGTCCTTGCCCCCTGACCTTGGCCCAGCCCTTCAGGAGCTCAAGGCTCCTTCTTTTTAGGGATATGCCACATTACCTGCTCCCATCACCATCCAGCCCAGCACCCTGGACTTCAGTCGCCTGGCCCAACCCCATGATTATGGAACGTCTCTTCACCTTAACCCAAATCCAGACCCTTTTGTGGTTTCTATTTGTACCACTTTTCTCCCAGGCCTCAGTTCTGAAGCTTACCTTTCTTCTAAGGAATTGAAGCTCCCAGTGACCTGGAGGGAGGATTCCTGGAAACCAAACAATCAGTTTAGGTGCAGGTGGAGATGTTGAATATGTGTTACCAAGATACAGCACAGGTTCAGGGAAAAGAGTTCGCTACTCCAGGGGTTATTTAGAAGACACTTTCTCTGCCTCATCCTGCCCTCAAGCTTTAGTCAAGAAGTTATGGCCCCCAGTCCCTGACTTCTTACTTATCCCATTGAGGACTGCCTTTCTCTCTCTCAGTTCTGGCCTCTGCCCCCCAAAGTCAGCTCTCTAAAAGCAAGCATGTTTTAGACCACTCACTCTTTCCCTCTTTCTTCAGGAATGAATTGGGAAAGGCTGATGAGTAAAACATACCATCCTTTTCTATTTTCTTGATGCTGTTTACAACATAGTTTGGTGATATCCAGAGCTAATGTACATGCTTTCAAAAGCTAATCTGCCTGTTGATGGTAACTAGGTACAGCGACTTTAAATACAGTTGCTATAATCCTGAAAAGCCCCAGGAGCACATCAGGGAGCTGGGAAACACAGTTGCAGAGAACTCAGCTGTATGTTGCCCTCTGACCTTGGCCCAGACCTTCAGAGGCTCAGTCTGTTGAGTCTGTTGTGACTGTCTTATGAATCAATCTGTTGTGCCAACCCTTTCTGAGATTCAGAGAGGTCCAGCTAGAAAAAGTGGCAGTTTTAACCACCAACGTAGAAGCTTTTTTTTCCCCACAAGACCATTGTACTGCAATACTTGAGTATTTGTGTAGCAAACAGCCTCTTAGGTTGGAGAGTATTGATTTCAAATAGGAAGTTGGTAGACTAGGTGTGAGGATGAAATAATGACCTTGATTTTTGGGTGTGTATTGCAGAAGCCTCGTCGCTTTCAAGTCACATCATATATGCGATCTGGCCTAACCATGGAGATATTGGTTATCAGTTTGCAGATGAATACACAGTTCTATCCAACAGAAACTGTATCTTTCTGTTTGTCAGAAGTTCTCCGTTAGTTCCTGTATTAGTCAAGGTTTTCCAGAGAAACAGAATCAATATATATTGGGGCAGGGGGGCGGTGGTTATTATAAGGAATTGGCTCACGTGATTATGGAGGCGGTTAAATCCCAAGATCTGCAGGATAAGTCAGCAAGATGGAGTCCCATGAGAGCTGATGGTTTAGTTCCAGTCTGATGGCAGCAGGCTTGACGCCAAGGAAGAGATGATGTTTAATTCAAGTCCGAAGGCAAGGAAAAAGCTGATGGTCCTGTCCAAAGGCTATTAGGCAGGAAGAATTCTCTTAGGGCAGAGTTAGCTCTTTTGTTCTATTCAGGCCTTCAACTGATTCAGCAAGGCCCGCCCACATTTGGGAGGACAGTCTGCATTACTCAGTCTACTGATTTGAATGTTAATGTCATTGAGAAACACCCTCACAGGAACACTCAGAATAATGTTTGACCAAATAGCTGGGCATCTTGTGACCCAGTTAAGTGGATACATAAGATTAACTATCACAGTGACTCAGTGGAATTTTTTGTTTGCTTTTGTACAGTTTTAAAATAAAAGTTTGGTATTTGTGTTTTGGTATGCTGTTATTTTCATTGTGAATGAGGAGTTGTGGGGAAGGTAAGAGATTGGTTTCCAAAGAGCTTTGAGTCCCCCAAGGCAAGGTTTAGCCACCGTTCATACTAAAGCCATAGTTTTATTCCTGAGTCTGCTCTCTAGTATTTTATTTTATCAATTTATAAACAAATAGTGTTCATAAGGCACACATATTTCACTCAACCATATTCAGTTCCAAACATGCATTCCTGAATATCCCAATCTTAAAACTAACTCACATTGTCAGCTTGTGGAGGCAGAATACATGCATACATATACACATACATACATGAATATACATATAATATACACACACATATGCATACATACACATATACACATGTATACATGTATGTGTATATACATATCTGTACTACATAGGTGTATATATATGTATATGTATTTAGCATGTATGCACGTGTATATGTATACACATATATACATATGTATGTATAATACATATTCACACATGTATGCATGTATATACACATGTATACATTAGTATATGTATATACACATGTATGTGTATTATACATGTATATATGTACATACATATCAGTCTACTGATTTGAATATTAATGTCATCAAGAAATAACCTCAATATATGTATGTATTATAACCTTACAACTATATAAAACATACATACATATATATGTATATATGTATACACATACACATGCATGAGAATATATGTATGTATATATAATATCCTCACAGTAATTCTGCCAGGGATTTTATGGGGGAGGGAGTTGGTACTCCAAATGGCTAGGTGGTAGAGCCAGAGTTTTATACTTGGTTTATCTAGCTCTGAAGGCAATGCTCCTTGTTCTTTGCACTGAAACATTGTGCAGATACGAGAAGCCTGTAGTTTACGTATTTCATTAGCCTTTTATTATTTTAAAAAATAAAACCTGAAAAAAAAGACCTAGTCCTGGATACTTTGGTGATCTTGTTGTGTCTGGATTGACGAACACGTGTCAGGCTTAATTAGGGATGCACGCGGAACCCGGGAAAATCCCTGCTCAGGGGGGCTGGAAGACCTGGAGGTTGATCCTTGAACAGGGTACTTTTAGCTTCTCCGATAAGGAGATTGGGTTATTTTATCTTTAAACTCCCTTCCAGCTCTACCCTCCTTTGATTTTAAGTTATAAACCTTGAGTGAGGTGCCAGACTCTAGGCTTCGTTGGACGTCTACAGGACGGTCAAGGATTACCAACTCAAAGTAAAGAAGGAAATTTGAGTACTTGCCCCCTTGGAGGTTGTGTAGGTTGGCTATACAGATTCTACAACTTCCCAGACGAGTGGCCCTGAGACTTGGGGCTGAACGCGCGAGCACGGAAAGAAATCCCACCGTAGGACGGAACCCAGTCTCTTCAGCTCCATCCTAAACTTCGCAAGTTTTCTCTGAGTCTACGCGCTTCCTTAGGACTACAACTCCCAGCATGCCACGCCAGCGGTCAAAGCTTATTGGTGGTCCTGCCAGGTCGCTTGCGTTGTGGCAGTCATGGTAGCCAATGGAAATAAAGAATTATCCCAAGAAACCAATCCTGGAGTAGTAGGGCGGATCCTTCCTGGGTTCCGGCTCCGGCTCCAGCTCCTTCCCTCGCCTACAGAGGCGGCGCTGTCCCTGATCGAGCGGCGGGAGCGAGGTGGGTCCGGGTTGGGCCCGAGGTCGCGGGGGGAGGCGGACACGACTTCGCGGGAAACTCTGTACACGGCCACTTCCCTCTCACCGAGGATCTGGATGCTGCTGCTTTGCTCCCTGGACCGAGTGGGAAGCCAAGGGGCCTTGTGGTCCCTCCGCCGCGACCCTCGCCCTGGCCCCCGGCCCACGCAGCCAGGTGGCTGTCCCCAACCCATTCCCCGGCCCTTCTGTTGGGTTTGAGTATACAGCCTTCCTGCCGCTGACCATACGTTTAGGATCAGCCCCTCCTCCTCTCCCACCTCTCTGGCCCCAAGCCCGCCGGCAATCTCTGAAACCAGCTCTTGTACCCTTGGACCTCCGCCATTGGCTTCTCCCCGCCCCGCAACACACAACTCAGCTCTTGGGCCCTGGCCTGTGACACTTCTGGCAGCCTTTGCTTCCTCTTCCCTGACCGTCTCCTGCGACCCTCTGACTTCCTTGGTCCTCCTGTATCTCTGACCCGTTATCTAGCTTCCCTGTACAATTACCCTGTTAGCACCTTGCTCTTGGTCTTTCATAGCTCCTCTCTCCTCTTCCTCCCTGCAGCCCTTGACTTGGCCCCAAAGACCTGTAACTTCGGACCTCCATACCGCACTATGGCTTGGCCCCTTGCCTTTAACCTAGGCGCTTCACCTTCATCATCTGTGATCACTAGCCCCATCTTCTTGGCTCTTAACTTCTTAGACCTGGCCCCTCCTCCACTTCTCAGCCCCTTCCACCGTTGCTTCTCTCTGTGCAGCTGAGCCACCAGGAAGACAAAGCCCAATAGACCCCTTTTCCCCCCAGATCTCTGCAGTGTGATATGAAAGTGCCTCTGTACTTCAGCTGCACTGTCTTCTCAGTAGGTAGTTGCCTCTTTATCTCTGCAAGTCCCAGTCTTACCCATCCTGCAAACCTTAGGTCAAATACCTACTCCTCCTTGAAACTTCTCAGCCCTGATTTCATCAGGGAGATACATCTGTATCATGTGAACTTCAGTGGTACTGTTTTTATTTCCTTCCTTCCCGTCTTCTCTCCTTTTTTCCTTCAGTAATAGTATAATGGTTAAAAGCACTGACTTTGAAGTGATGGGCATAGGCCCCAGTTCTGCCACTTACTTGCTGTGTGCCCTTGGGCAAGATACTTAATTTCTCTGAGCCTCAGCTTTCTCATCTCTAAAATAAGGATGATGTGAAGTGAAATTAGATGATTCATATATGGTCCTTAGTCCACAGCTTAGCACTTGATTCGAGCTTTAAAAAAATGTTAATAATGTGCCAGGTGCTGTGTTAGACACTGAGGAGTGGGTACAAAGGTGACTAAGGCACAGTTCCTGCCCCTGTCCCCTGAACTTAACCTTCTGCATTGTATGACAATTTCTGGAGTTCACGGTCTGTTTCAGTACACTGTATCACAAACTGAGTGGTAATCATAATCCTAAATCCTTTTGCTCTTACATTGACCTAGCATCCAGCCCCGGGTAGAGCTGGAACTTGGTAAATTATAGGTTCTCAGAATAGCAGTTTCGGAAGTGAGTGGAGGCTGAATAGCTCATTGCGTAGAGATACTGTAGCTGTAGGTCAGATGGGAGCAGGGCAGGGGGTGGGGGATGGGATGGTGGCGTGAATTAAGATCACATCCTGTCACTTATACATTCAAAAGACATTTGAGCACCCAGCTTTATGCTGCAGAAGGAGATTACTAATATGACCCAGTCCCTTTCCTCAAGTTGCTTATAAACTACTAATAGAAACAGACATGTTCTACTAGTAGTTGCAAACCACTATAAGCCAAGCACAAGATTCTGTGACTGCATAAAGGAGAAAGTAGGCAGGAATCAGGAGATTGCTGAGGAAAAGTGGGTGAGACAGTTCATGGTTACTTGTGTCCCATGAAGACAGAGCTGGTGTTTTATTCAACTCATTCAACAAATACTTATGAAGGATCTACTGTATATGGCTGCCACTACTCTAGGAGTTTTGGTTACATTGGTAAATTAAAAAAAAAACAAAAAAACAACAAAGACACCAGCTCTCATGGAACTTATGTTTTAGGGAAGCAGACAATAAATAATAGACATAAAGAGAATGTCAGAAGGTAAGATGTGCTATGGGGCAGGAGGACTGGGAGTGTGGGAGTGATTTTAATTTTTTAAAGGATGGTCAGGAAACAGTGTCTAAGTATCAAGGAATAGTTTCTCATGTTTACTTGCATTTTTGGAAGTAAAGCAAACCAATTATTTTTCATATTCTTATCTAAATTCTTCAAGGAACACTAACAGGGATTGGCAAACCACAGCTCACCTCCTGTTGCTTTAAATAAAGTTTTATTAGAGCACAGCCACACATTCCTTTATGTCTTGTCTATGGCTGCTTTCATGATTCATGATACAGTGGCAGAATTGAATAGTTACAGCAGATATCCCATGGCCATAAATATTTACTAAATATTATCTGGCCCTTTACAGAAAAAGCTTGTCAACCTCTGGTTCTTAAAGAGTTGAGGTTCTGTCTGTATTTCACATTTTAGAAGGTTATATACAGTTTTATGCTATTTTTAAGTTAAAAGTTTTTTCTTAATGAGATCATTTAAAAGATCTTTTTCTTGTATTCTTCACAGGGCCTGGACGTAGTGTCTTCAACAGTTGTAACAGCAGCTGCCATTTGCTGAATGACAGCATGTGTCACACACTCTGCTGAGTATTACAGGCATTTTTTTCTAATACAAAGTCTTGTAGTGTGGGTAGGTATCACAATTTTAGTGAAGAGGGAGTTTAGGCTCAGAGTGGTTGAATAATTTGCAGAGAGCGATAAAGATAGTATGTGTCACAGTTGTAATCCAACCCTAAATGTAGTCAGTACCCCTTTCTTTATTCTGTGTTTCTTTTTTCCAGAAATACTTGCAGACTTGAAGGAATTATCAGTCTTTCATTTTCTATCATCAGTGTCCTATGATAGTTTGTGCTTCCCTCCCTCATCCCTTTGTTCATGTCACTCTGTTCACCAACCCACTCTGCTGAAATGTCGTTATTTCTTCAAGGCCCGGAGGAAATGCTACCACTCTCATCAGAGGTACTTTTCCCCCCAACTCTTTCCCTGTCCTTGGCTGTAGGAACCCAAAGGAGTCTGTGCAGCTTAGCACACATTAGTGATGTTTGCACAAATCAGGACCTGTACTGGGCACTCTTATGTGTTTAGTTTTGGGGTGGGGTGTGGGGAGTGTGGTTTGTGTGTCTGTGTCTGTGTTTATCTTTGTGTGTACTTGGTATGTGAGTGTGTGTCTGTGTGTGGTGTATGGGTATATGTGTATAGACATGTATGTAGCTATATATGTGTGTGGCTGTGGTATGTGGCTATATGTGGTATGAGTGTGTATGTAGTATGTATGTGTGTGGTGTGATAATGTATGGCTGTGTGTGGTGTGTAGGTGTATAGCTGTTGTGTGTGGTATGAGAATGTGACCGAGTATGTCAGGTATGTGAGTATGACCGTGTTACGTGAGAATATGGCTTTGTGTATGGTGTGACTGTGTCTGTGTGATTCTGCTTGCTTGTGTGCATGCATGCGTGTGTGGGCGGGGGGTGTGGGTGGGGCTTTGTATGGTGTTTGAGAATGTAGTGGAGGGCACTGACTGATCAGAAGAAACACAGCCCAGGCCCCACAGTAGGTCCTGGAGGTCCCAGGTATTAACCCAGATGTTTACTTGCTAGATTCTGGTGTGGGCTGGAGAGGGGTAGAGTGGCAGAAATCTCAAGAAAAGCCAAAGCTGGGCCTTGTCACCTAGGAAAGCCTCAAGATTTAGAGGTTTTGTTTTGTTCATTTTGAAAGC
Organism: Homo sapiens; assembly: GCF_000001405.40. Taxonomy (NCBI): domain Eukaryota; kingdom Metazoa; phylum Chordata; class Mammalia; order Primates; family Hominidae; genus Homo; species Homo sapiens. Next base: position 42,850,500 of record NC_000001.11, read on the forward strand.
AGGCATATAGGTAGATACTTGTAAGGAAGGTTTTTCAAAAAGGATTAAACATAAAAAGAGTTACAGTTAACTTACAGTTAGGCAGAAAAATTGAACTTATCCCAAAATGAAAGCTCTTTTACTTGCCCATGAATTATAGTCTGGATTGTCATTGCTTAGTGGTTTCAAGAAGAGTGACATTATTCAAATGGCACAAATATCATCTGGTGGTGGTGGACAAAGCCGGTGCCTTCTTTTTGCTCTGGTGGGTAGCTTTAAATATCTCTGAAAGTTTGTCACTTAAAAGGTAGCAAGTAAAGGTATTCTATCCAAGTATTCCAGTTGATTGAGGTTATTTCTAATGGATGGTCCCATGGGGAAGGTGTATACCCTTCAAACTGAACAAAAGATTCCCTGTGATCTGGCCCAACCCAAAGAATAAAGGTGTTGGCCATTTGTGTTCATTCTCAGGGTTCAGAGATGGGCAGTGAGAAGGAGCAGAGTCCAGAACCACACCTGCCTGAGGAAGGGGAAGGGGGTAAGCCTTGGAGAGTGGATGACTCAGAGGGTTCTTGGATCCCACCTGGGGAGAAGGAGCATGGGCAAGAGAGCCTGTCGGATGAACTGCAAGAAACTCATCCAAAAAAGCCATGGCAGAAAGTCACTGTCCGGGCTCGAGAGCTAGGGGACCCCATTGCTCATCCAAGGCATGAGGCAGATGAGAAGCCCTTTATATGTGCCCAGTGTGGCAAAACCTTCAATAATACCTCCAACCTGAGAACACACCAGCGGATCCACACTGGTGAGAAGCCTTACAAGTGTTCTGAATGTGGCAAGAGCTTCTCGAGAAGCTCCAACCGCATCCGGCACGAGCGGATCCACCTGGAAGAGAAACACTACAAATGCCCCAAGTGCCAGGAGAGCTTTCGGCGGCGCTCAGACCTCACCACGCACCAGCAAGATCACCTAGGCAAGCGGCCATACCGCTGTGACATCTGTGGCAAGAGCTTCAGCCAGAGTGCCACGCTAGCTGTGCATCACCGGACCCACCTGGAGCCAGCACCCTACATCTGCTGTGAGTGTGGGAAGAGCTTCAGCAACAGCTCCAGCTTTGGCGTGCATCACCGCACCCACACAGGTGAGAGACCTTATGAGTGCACTGAGTGTGGGCGGACCTTCAGCGATATCTCCAACTTTGGAGCACACCAGCGGACCCACAGAGGGGAGAAGCCCTACCGGTGCACTGTGTGTGGGAAACACTTCTCCCGGAGCTCGAATCTCATCCGCCACCAGAAAACTCACTTGGGCGAACAGGCTGGGAAAGATTCCAGCTGAAGGAGAGCCCCATTTAGAGTGAGGGAGAGAGAGTGAGAGACCCTAACCTATTGGAGGAAGATCTTCAGCATCTTTTGCTGCTACCTTGACCTCAAGCCCTTCATCCCACTTTGGAGAATGGTTTTGTATAGCCTCTGAAGTCAGGATCTCAGGAAGTCCTGAGGAGGGACTCTGGAATAAAAACCCTTGCCTCTTTCCAGGCCAATTTCTCGTGTTGGAAAGTCAGAAGACCCAGTCTTGGCTTTACTTTCTTGGGGTGAAAGAGAAATAGGGTAGGCTCAGAACATGCTCATGTTATTAAGGCAGCAGTCCCCCTGGCCTTTGAGGAAGTACTTATGAGATGGGTGTCACTGTCTGAAGGTTCTCCAAATTGTCTGTGAACTGCTTAGGTAGGAGTGCACTGCAGTTTCCTGCTAGTTCCCACCTGTTGTGCCCCAACTTTGCTTCTAGATCTCTGGGGTGGGAGGAGTGACCTTCTCAATGGAAGGGGCCTCCTTGGTCTGGAGAAGAGATCTGAGGTCCCACCTTAGAAATGAAAGGGAAACCCTCAGGGAGCCATGACCCAGGGACCTTCACACTCCCCCATGTTTGTTACTTGTTATCCCTCCCCCAACCTGCCTCTGTTTTCCCCAGAGTGATTAGCAGTAAAACCCTTCAATGAAAAGGACCCGTGTACTTATTTGGGGAAGTGGGGAGCTGGGGAGATTGTCCCACTGAACCCACTCTGGAAGGGATTTGAATTCTAAGAAAGACAGATGGGTAGATGCTCTGAAAAGCAAAGGAAAGCAGACTGAGTTTCTGGGGCCTTTGAGGAGAAGGGGGAAAGGAAAGGAACTAACATTAATTGAGCATCCACTACATGCGATTAATTCTGTCAGTCACATTTACATTCATTATCTCATGTAGTTCTCACAGCAACTCTCAAAGGAATAAGAAGAGGACATGAAAGTGAGGGAAGATAAAGTCACTTGCTGTGAAGTCATACAGCAAGTACGTTGTGGAGCAGAGTTCAAACTTGGGCCTCCCTGACTGCCAGCTGTTGCTCTTTTCACTACATTTACCTTTTGGCTTCTGAAGGAGGAGCCACTTAGGAGACTTGCCTGGAGTTAGGAGCCAGTGTGGCCTCTTCATATGGCCTTGGGCCATTTGCTCTATGGCAAGTCAGTGCCAAGCATGAGAACGTTTTCAACTTTATTTTATTTTGAGGTCAACTTTATTTTATTTTGAGACAGGATCTTGCTCTGTCGCCCAGGCTGGAGTGCAGTGGTGTGATCACAGCTCACTGCAGCCTTGATCTCCTGGGCTCAAGTAATCCTCCCACCTCAGTGTATGGAGTAGCTGGGACTGCAGGTGCACACCACCACACCTGGCCTCAATGTTATTGATTGAGCACTTACTCTGTGCCAAGGAAAAACGGCAGTGACGGGGAGTACAGGGTGAAGGGTGGGATAAGGTGAGAGAAATCTTAAAACCCATAATGAGAGTCTTTGCTTTTAGTAGCAATAGTTTAGTCCTCAAGGCTGGAACAGCTTAGCAGGGATTATGTCTGGTTTCCTGTCCTCCTGGTTTAGGCCTGGCTCCACATGGCAGATTTCAGTGTTTTCTACATGGAAGTTTAGTGTTCACCCAGTTTTCCTCTAACAAATACAAAAGAACCCTTCCTCTAACAAATACAAAAGACCCCTATCTACCTCTCTTGTGAATCTGGGGCCCTACTCTTCCAGAGTGAGGGGCCCTCTTCATTTGTAGCCAGTTGGCAGAGTGTGATTCTGGCACCGGGCTTGGAACTGACATCACCCATAACCTTACCTAACATGGGGACCCTGCCGTTCACCAGTAAGAGATGTGCCAGGAACTTTACACTCATTATTGAATTCTCACAGCAACTAAGAGTGACTTGCATTTGCCGTATGTAGAAATAGGCTGATAAAGAAAGGGACTTGCCCAAGGTTACAGAGCAAGTAAATGCGGGGTGTAGGACCTGAACTACTGCCCAAATTCAAGTCCTGTATTTTATCCAACTATAAAAGACTTCCCAAATGATTCATTTATATTTATAGGGTACTTTACTGTTTACCAAGCACTTTTATTTCATACACATTTTCTGATTCCTTGAAAATCTCCACACAATATATTTTAAACATAGTCACCCAAACTTGTGTGTGTGAGTTGGCACACACCCTAATAATAAAAATCACCATCTTTTAAATACCTACTAAGTGCCAATTATTGTACAACTCTTATCTCTAGTCTTCATACTATCCTGTAAGGTAGTAATGTCCCCATGTTCAAGGCAAGAAAATTCTGTGAGATTAAATAACCAGACCTATTGGCAGAGTGGAGACTTAATTCAGGTATGTCTGATCCCAAGGTCAAGCTCTTCATTATACCCACTATCAAGCTAGGTCTACAGATCCCCTCTCAGTCTGGGAAGCTTAGTCTGACTCCTTCCTGACTTGGAGACTTTGTGACAACCACTGTGATTTTTTTTTTTTTTTTTTTTTTTTTTTGAGACAGAGTTTCATTCTTGTTGCCCAGGATAGAATGCAACGGCGGGATCTCGGCTCACTGCAACCTCCACCTCCCAGGTTCAAACGATTCTCCTGCCTCAGCCTCCCGAGTAGCTGGGATTACAGGCATGTGCCACCATGCTCGGCTAATTTTGTATTTTTAGTAGAGACGGGGTTTCTCTATGTTGGACAGGCTGGTCTCAAACTCCCGACCTCAGGTGATCCACCCGTCTCGGCCTTCCAAAGTGCTGGGATTACAGGCGTGAGCCACTGTGCTGAGCCCCACTGTGACTTTTATAATTATGAGTGTCTGCTGCCAGTTGGGCCTACGACCAATGTACCAGGCTCCTGCTTTGATCTTGGAACAAAGCTCCCCAGCCAATCTCACTTGTCTCTCTCTCTTTTTTTTTTTTTTTTTTTTGTGAGATGGAGTCTCTGTTGCCCAGGCTGGAGTGCAGTGGCGCGATCTTGGCTCACGGCAACCTCTGCCTCCCGGGTTCAAGCAGTTCTCCTACCTCAGCCTCCCGAGTAGCTGGGATTACAGGCATGTGCCACAACGCCCGGCTAATTTTTGTATTTTTACTAGAGATGGGGTTTTGCCATGTTGGCCAGGCTGGTCCTGACCTCAGGTGATCCGCTTGCCTCAGCCTCCCAAAGTGCTGGGATTACAGATGTGAGCCACTGTGCCCGGCTCACTTGCCCTTTTTTGACCCTAACTTATATGCTAACATTTTTTGTTTTAGTCAGTGCTTTTGAGTCCTGACTAGTCCTTTTATTCACTGTCTAACTTCCTTTTAAACTTTATTTTATCCTTCATTCCCCTTATTTTTTCCCTTTCTCCCTCATTCCATCTACTCTTTCTTCTCTTCCTCTCCCTCTTTTCCTCCTTCCCTCTTAGTAACTTGTAATACTGACATTGAAGACAATGTGGCCCCTGATTTCTAGTGTAGGAGATTGCCACACAAATCCAGAGTTGCAATGCAGGATGGTAGGTATCATTACAGTTGTACCCAGGATGCTGTAGAAGCCGGGGGAGTGCCTTAACCTGGCCTGTACTGGACAGTGGGGCCCAGAAGTGAGTAAGACATAGTCCTTCCTGGCTGGGTGCGGTGGCTCACTCCTGTAATCCCAGAACTTTGGGAGGCTGAGGTGAGCAGATCACGAGGTCAGGAGATTGAGACCATCCTGGCTGATACGGTGAAACCCCGTCTCTACTAAAAATATAAAAAATTAGCCGGGCGTGGTGGTGGGCGCCTGTAGTCCTAGCTACTCGGGAGGCTGAGGCAGGAGAATGGCATGAACCCAGGAGGCAGAGCTTGCAGTGAGCCGAGATCGCGCCACTGCACTCCAGCCTGGGCGACAGAGCAAGACTCCATCACAAAAAAAAAAAAAAAAAAAAAAAGACATAGTCCTTCCTGCAAGGAACGCAGAGGAAGTGAAAGTACTCTGAACAAGGTGCTGGGGGAACACAGGTGGGAATGGTTAACTTCACAGGAGAGGGGAATCTGAAAGGATGATTGAATTTGGTCTGAATGAATAGGTGTTTATAGCAGAGAAAAGAGAGGAAAGGGAAAGTTTATTTCAGACAGAAGGGAAGGCTTAGTGTTTTAGGAAATAATGAAATGTTTGATAGTGTGCCCTGTGTGAGGAGGAGAGGAAGCCCTTGTGTTGGATGCCAGGGTAAGAAATTTTGGATTGTGGACAATAAGGAATTTTAAAGCTGGGGAATGACATGATAATATTCACTCTTTATTTAGGAAAAGCACTTGGGCTAGTGTGGAGGATGAACTAAAGGGGGATGAGTGATTTGGAAACATGCTGTCTGTGTAAACCAGGTGCCAATTAGGACCCTCCTGATCCACAGAGAGTTCTGTATGATTGCCTCAGAGCATTGCCAATTCCACAAGATGGGAAAGTTCAAACTTTCCACACAATTTCTGCAGATTCCTTGGGTTTATGACCTCATAATCTCTTGCCTGAGATTCCTGTGATCTGTACAAACCTTTTCTATTTTGTCCCCATTAGTCCTGTCACAGAACTCAGCTCTTTTGATAAGTTTAGAATCCTTCCTAGAGATTGAGAATCTTAGTGAGGAGTTACATTAAGGCATGTGAGTAGCTTCCAATTCTGTCATCTCTGCTTGCCTCCCCACCCTCTCTCTGGATTGCCACAATAAGACTAGGGTGCATCATTGTTTTTTGTTTGTTTTTCTGAGATAAGGTCTCCCTCTTGCCCAGGCTGGAGTGCAGTAGTGTGATCACAGCTCACTGCAGCCTCCACCTCCTGAGCTCAAGCAATCCTCCTACCTCAGCCACCCCAGTAGCTGGGACCACAGATGTGTGCCACCGCACCTGGCTAATTATTTATTTTTGTTAGAGATGGTCTCACTGTCAGGCCTCTGAGCCCAGGCTAAGCCATCATAACCCCTGTGACCTGCACGTATACATCCAGATGGCCTGGAGCAACTGAAGAACCACAAAAGAAGTGAAACAGCCAGTTCCTGCCTTAACTGATGACATTCCACCATTGTGATTTGTTCCTGCCCCACCCTAACTAATGAATCAACCTTGTGACAGTCCTCCCCTGGACAAAGAGTCTCAGGAGCTCCCCACCGAGCACCATGTGACCCCCACCCCTGCCCGCAAGAGATAACCACCTTTAACTAATTTTCCACTACCTACCCAAATCCTATAAAACTGCCCCACCCCTATCTCCCTTTGCTGACTCTGTTTTTGGACTCAGCCCACTTGCACCCAAGTGAAAATAAACAGCCTTGTTGCTCACACAAAGCCTGGTTAGGTGGTCTCTTCACATGGATGTGCGTAACGTTTGATGCCAAAGAACCCGGGACAGGGGGACTCCTTTGAGAGATTGGCCCCCTGTCCTCACCCTCACTTCATGAAGAGATCCACCTATGACCTCGGGTCCTCAGACCAGCCCAAGGAACATCTCACCAATTTCAACTCAGGTAAGCGGTCTCTTTGCTCTCTTCTCCAGCCTCTCTTGCTACCCTTCAATCTCCCTATCTTTCCAATTTCAGTTCTCTTTCCTTTCTAGTAGAGACAAAGGAACACATTTTATCCGTGAACTCAAAAACTCTGACATCGGTCATGGATTTGGGAAGACAGTCTTCCCTTGGTGTCTGATCATAGCAGGGACGCCTGCCTTGATCATTCACCCACATTCCATTGGTGTCTGATCTCCATGGGGACGCCTGCCTTGATCATTCACCCACATTCCACTGGTGTCTGATCTCCACGGGGATGCCTGCCTTGATCATTCACCCACACTCCCTTGGTGGCAGGTCAATTGCAGGGATGCCTGCTTTGCCTGTTCACTCACATTACAGCCCAGGACTCAGTCAAGGATGCCTACTGGAAGCCTGGTAGGTGCCCACCTCCATTTCTCCATGTCTCTACCTTCCTCTTTAAACTTACCTTCTCCATTATGGGCAACTTTCCACCATCCATTCCTCCCTCTTCCCCCTTAGCCTGTGTTCCTAAAAACCTAAAACCCCTTCAACTAACACCTGATCTAAAACCTAAACATCTTATTTTCTTCTGTAATACTGCTTGACCCCAGTACAAACTTGACAATAGTTCCAAGTGGCCAGAGAATGGCACTTTTGATTTGTCTATCCTACAAGACCTAGATAATTTTTGTCAAAAATTGGGCAAATGGTCTGAGGTGCCTTACGTCCAGGCCTTTTTTACACTTCGCTCTCTCCCTAGTCTCTGCTCCCAATGCAGCTTGTCCCAGATTTTCCTTCTTTCTCTCCCGTTTGCTCCTTCAGTCTCCATCCCAAGTTCAGAGTCCTCCAAATCCTCCTTTTCCACTGACCCCTCTGACCTCTCTCCTCTTCCCCTGGCTGCTCCTTGCCAGGCTGAATTGGGTCCCAATTTTTCCGCAGTCTCTGCTCCCCAACCCTATAACCCTTCTATTACACCCCTCCTCACACCTGGTCTGGCTTACAGTTTCGTTCCGTGACTAGCTCTCCTCCACCTGCCCAACAATTTCCTCTTAGAGAGGTGGCTGGAGCTGAAGGCATAGTCAGGGTACATGTGCTTTTTTCCCTATTGGACCTCTCCCAGATCAGTCAGCATTTAGGCTCTTTCTCATCAGACCCCACTAAATATATACAGGAATTCCAATATTTAACTCAGTCCTACAATTTAACCTGGAGTGACTTAAATGTCATCCTGACTTCTACCCTCTCCCCAGATGAGCGAGAGTTTATACCCTAGCCCAATCTCATGCTGATGACTGCCAGCGTCCTGAGCCAGGCCTCCAAGAAGACACCAGGGCAGTTCCCCAGGAGGATCCCCAATGGGGATACCAAACAGGCTCCCAAGATACAGCTAGGCAAGATTACATGGTCTCTTGCCTAGTTGAGGGGCTTAAAAAGGCAGCATACAAAGTTGTTAATTATGACAAACCTAAAGAAGCCACCCAAGGTAAGGACGAAAACCCAGCTCAGTTCATGGCCCGCTTGGTGGCTACCCTCAGACGCTTTACAGCCCTGGACCCAGAAGGGCCAGAAGGCTGTCTTATTCTTAATATGCATTTTATTATCCAGTCTGCTCCCGACATTAGGAAAAAATTCCAAAAACTAGATTCCAGCCCTCAAACCCCACAACAAGACTTAATTAACCTCGCCTTCAAGGTGTTTAACAATAGAGAAGAGACAGCCAAGTGACAACGTATTTCAGAGCTGCAACTGCTTGCCTTTGCTGTAAGACAAACCCCAGCCATGCCTACAGCACACAAAAACCTCAAAACAACAAAACTGCAGCCTCCAGGCACTCCTTCAAAACCTCCTTATGGACCTTGCTTCAAACGCCAAAAGCCCGGCCACTGGGCCTCGGAAGGCCTGCAGCCCAGGATTCCTCCTAAGGCTTGTCCTGTTTGTGCAGGACCCCACTGGAAGTCTGACTGTCCAACTCAGATTAAAGCTGCTCCTAGACCTGCTGGAGCAAAAACCCAGGGCTCTCTGGCTGACTCCTTCTCAGATCTCCTGGGCTTAACAGCTGAAGACTGACACTGCCTGATCATCTCGGAAGCCCCTTGGACCATCACGGACACCAAGCTTTGGGTAACTCTTAAACAGTGGAGGAAGACAGGAATGTCAGGCCTCTGAGCCCAAGCTAAGCCATCATAACCCCTGTGACCTGCACGTATACATCCAGATGGCCTGGAGCAACTGAAAAATCACAAAAGAAGTGAAACAACCAGTTCCTGCCTTAACTGATAACATTCCACTATTGTGATTTGTTCCTGCCCCACCCTAACTAATGAATCAACCTTGTGACAGTCCTCCCCTGGACGATGAGTCTCAGGAGCTCCCCACCAAGCACCTTGTGACCCCCGCTCCTGCCTGCAAGAGATAACCACCTTTAACTGTAATTTTCCACTACCTACCCAAATCCTATAAAACTGCCCCACCCCATCTCCCTTTGCTGACTCTCTTTTCGGACACAGTCCACTTGCATCCAAGTGAATAAACAGCCTCGTTGCTCACACAAAGCCTGTTTGGTGGTCTCTTCACATGGATGCATGTAACACTCACTATGGTGCCCAGGCTGGTGTTGAACTCCTGGGCTCAAGAGATCCTCCTGCCTCAGCCTTCCAAAGTGCTGGGATTACAGGCACAAGCCACTGTGCCCAGCCTGCATCTTACTATATACATGGTGTCTTACTATCACCATTGATCTTTTTTTTTCCACATTGCAATAATTACTCCAATATTGCAGTGTGTCTTACAATTAATGTTTTGGATTAAATGAAATATCACATAAGAAAGAGATGACATGGTGATGTCAGCAAGATGGTACAATAGGAGGTAGGTGTCAGCCTCCATTTCCCTCACAGAGACACTGACTTAACAATATACAGACCAAAATACCTTTATTTTGGTAGAATTCTAAAAACCAATTAGGTTTTACTACCCCAGGCAAGCACAAAGCCAAAAAGAACCACACTGAAACAGGTAAGGAGCTGTTTCACTTTATCTGTGATTGTCTCTTCCTCAAACCAGCACAGCTCAGCTTGGGTCACAGGTTCTTCCTTGGGGGAAAGAGAAGAGCAGAACATACATTTAATGTTCTGGCCTTTTAGAAGGCTGCCCACGGACTGGTTTATTCTCTTGCCTAACTTGATGTACTAATGGAACTGGAATACTCTGGATGCCCGGGGGCCACTGAAAGCAAGGGAGAACGGGGTTGGGAAGTACATCTTGCTGCAACACTGGAGGGCCTGTAGTGCCAGAGACAGAGGTCAGCACACTCAGCACAATTGAGAGAAGGCTCCCAATTTGTGGCTTCTCTCTTGGGAAGGAAGGAGAAGAGCAGAACATGTGTTAGTATTCTGCCTTTTGGGAGAACTGCCTAAGGGACTGGTATTTGTCACCTAATTTGGGGTGCTAATGGGGAGCCAACATAATTTGAATGCCTGGGGGCCACTGAGCACAAAGGAGAGCAGGGAGACTTGCTGCAGTACTACCAGAGAACCTGCAGTACCTCAGACAGACACTAGAAAGAACAGAAAATTATGCACTTCTGAAAGTAACAACAAACTGGCAAAGGTCTGTAATTGGGAAATTAGAAGCATGAGCCCAGAGAAGTAACATCCCCTCTGAAAGGATTCGGAGGTTCCCAGAATCTATCTTGGCTGCTTATTGAAGCCAAGACCTTACTGAAGGTCTTTCTCTGTATGAAGCCAGTCTGTGAAAAATCAGAAAAACAATGTGTGAATGAAATGAGAATGTCAGTAGAGACAGAAACAAATAACCAAACAAATTCTGAAACTGAAGAATACAATAACTGAATTGAAAAATTCACTACAGGGGTTCAACAGCAGACTTAAGCAGAATGAAGAATCAGGTAACTTTGAAGACAGATTGAACTTAGTGAGTCAGAGGAACAAAAAGAAAAAAAAGAATGAAGAAAAGTTAAAAAATCCCAAGGGATTTATGCCACACCATCTAGTGGATCAATATACACATTATGGGAGTTCCAGAAGAAGAGGGAGAGAAAGGGATTGAGAATGTAATTGAAGAAATAATGGCCCAAACTTCCAAAATCTGAGAAATGAAATGGATATCCAATCCCAAGAAGCTCAAAGAACTCCAATTAAGATGAACCAAAGAGGCCCACAATAAGGAGCACTCATTACAATCAAACTGTCAGCAGTCAAAGACAAAATCTTGAAGCTAGCAAGATAAAAGCAAGTCATCACATACAAGGAAACTTTATAAAATTATCAGGGAGTTTCTCAGCAGAAACCTTATAGGCAAGAGGGAGTGTGATGATATAATTAAAGTGCTGAAAGAAAACACACACACACACACACACCCTGCCAAACAAGAACACTACATCCAGCAAAACTGTCCTTCAACAATGAAAGAGAGGCTGGGTATGGTTACTGATGCCTATAATCCTAGCACTTTGGGAGGCTAAGGCAGGAGGATTGCTTGAGGTCAGGAGTTTGAGAACAGCCTGGACAACATAGTGAGACCCTGTCTCTACACACACACATGCGCGCACACACACACACACACACAAAGCTGGTGTGATGGCATGAGCCTGTACTCCTAGCTATTCAAGAGGTTGAGGTGGGAAGATCACTCAAGCCCAGGAATTTGAGGTTAGAGTGAGCTATGATCATGCTAGCCTTCCAACCTGGGTGATGGCAAGACGATGCTAAAAAAAAAAGAAAGAAAAACTTACTAAGATAAGCAAAAGCTTAGGGAATTCATCCCCACAACACCTGCCTTACACGAAATGTTAGGGTGAGTCCTCAGGTTTAACCTAAAGGATGCTAGACAGCAACACAAACACATACAAAAATATATGACTCACTAGTAAAGGTATATCTATAGATAAATACAAAAGACTATAACACTGTAATGTTGGTATGTAAATCCCTTAATAACTGGTATATAATTTAAGAGAGAAAAACATAAAAACTCAAACTGCATTGATGCATACAAAATATAAAAAGATGAAATTTGTGACATTGATAAAGTGGAGGAGACGTAAAGGAGTAGAGTTTTTGTATGTAATTGAAATTGTTATTAGCTTAAAATAGATTGTTATAATTATAAGATGTGTATGTAAATCTCATGGTAGCCATGAAGAAAATATCCATAGAAGATGCACAGAAAAAAATGAGAAAAGAATCAAAGCAAGTCAACACACACAAAAATCAGTGAAACACAAAGGAAGGGCACCAAGAGAAGAAAAGAGAGACAAAATAACTACGAGACAGACAGAAGTAATAATAAAGTGGCAATAATAAGTTCTTTCCTATCAGTAATTATTTTAAATGTAAGTGGATTAATCTCTACAATCAAAAGACATAGTGTAGCTGAATGAATAAAAGTAATTCTGGTTACTAGTTCCACGTGTAAGGAGCTTAGAAGTCACCCCTCTGTTTTAGCAATAAGTAAAAGCTGAACGAACTGAAAGATCAACAACTCTTCTTAGATCCATAAAACAAGTGAGGTCACAGGGCAAATCATTGCCCCCCAAATTGGAGAGACAGGTAGATACAGAGAATCACAACATACCAGAACAGAAACCTGTGTGGAAACCAGTGCCAGGGTAGGAAAACCTAAACTGTAGCTGATCAACTTCTGGAACATTTGGAGAGCTCACAAGGGACTGGTACTTGAAATTCTGTAGAGCTCCTTGTTTCATTTAGGACTTGTACTCCATGCCTTTTCTGAGAAGGGTCTTTCTCTTTCTTAGCAGTGAAAGGAACTAGTCTGTCCTTCCTGGTTTTCTGTTAAACTAAGCCTATTTCATTTTAGCTCCTTCTTGAATTCCAGCCAGCTAAGACTTTCCTCTGGAATAAGTCTCAGAGTTAAAAATGTCAGAGGACTGCAGTGTCCTGACACTAGCTGGAACCAGTGATGTGGCCATGTTCCTGGCACCTGAGACCACTCAGTACCCTACACCCCAGGGAACAGACAGCCCAGCACATCAGGGAGATTGCCCCCAGGACATAGGGAGCCAAAGTTCACACCCCTCAGAGTCTGAGAGCTGCCTGCCTAGGGCCACCATCACTGATAGCAACTCTGCCCCCTTTAGCAGAGGGGTCACACACTGCCTGGGGGCCCAAGGACTGAACTTCTTGGGGCTGCTGCTACCACTGCCACCATGGGTGCCTGTGTGCATGCCATCTTGGGGCCAACGACCGGCCCACCAAGGGCAACCATTTCCACCACCAGCACCTGTGCATGCTGTCCAGGGACCAGAGGACAATCCATTTAGGGTCACTGCTGCCACTACTGATACTTGCATGCACTGCCTGGGGATCTGAGGACTGGCCCACACAGAATCTATATCTACAGCAAAGCTTCACCACAGCCTTCACAAACAACTGCAGCCTAAGCCAATGAGGAACTTGGAGATACTGGTGACACTGATTACAGCTGTAGGAATCATACAGACACTACACTATAATGCTCACTCAGAACCAAAGCTAAACAACCCTACCCAATTGATACTATAGATACATCTACAGGAAAAAGTCTTCCCCTGTGAAAGCTACTTCATAAAATTGGAAGAAGTGACTATTATACTAGATGCATAGATATCAACATAGAGACACAAGAAACAAACAAAAAAGGCAAGGAAACATGACACCTCCAAAGGAACACAATAATTATTCAGTAATAGACCCAAAGAAAAGGAAGTCTACGAAATGCCTTAAAAGGGATTCAAGCCGGGCGCGGTGGCTCATGCCTGTAATCCCAGCACTTTGGGAGGCCGAGGTGGGCGGATCATGAGGTCAGGAGATCGAGACCATCCTGGCTAACACAGTGAAACCCCGTCTCTACTAAAAATACAAAAAATTAGCCGGGCGAGGTGGCCGGCGCCTGTAGTCCCAGCTACTAGGGAGGCTGGGGCAGGAGAATGGTGTGAACCCCGGGGGGCGGAGCCTTCAGTGAGCCGAGATCGCGCCACTGCACTCCAGCCTGGGCAACAGCGAGACTCCGTCTCAAAAAAAAAAAAAAAAAAAAAAAAAAAAAAGGGATTCAAAATAATGATGATAAGGAAATTCAGGAAGCCGGGCACAGTGGCTCATGCCTGTAATCCCGGTATTTTGGGAGGCCAAGGCGGGTGGATCACTTGAGGCCAAAAGTTCAAGACCTGCCTGGCCAACATGGCGAAACCTCATCTCTACTAAAAATACAAAAAAATTAGCTCGGCATGGTGGTGCATGCCTGTAATCCCAGCTACTTGGGAGGCTGAGGCACAAGAATTGCTTGAACCCAGGAGGCAGAGGTAGCAGTGAGCTAAGATCATGTCAGTGTACTCCAGCCTGGGTGACAGAGTGAGACTCAATCTCAGAAAAAAAAAAAAGAAAGAAAGAAAGAAAAAAGCCTATATGACATATAGGACACCATCAAGAAAATAAACATTTGTATTTTTGGTATTTCAGAAGAAGAGATGGCAAAGGCATAGAAAACCTACTTAATGAAATAATCACTGGAAATGTCTCAAGTCTTGAGAGAGAAATATAGACATCCAGATATGGAAAGCTCAGAAGTCTCCAGATTGATTCAACCCCAAAAGGTCCTTTCTGGGACACATTATAAAACTGTCAAAAGTCAAAGACAAAGAGAATTCTAAAAACAAGAGAAAAGCATCAAGTCATATATATAAGGGAATTCCCATCACACTAACAACAGCATAAACCTTACAAGCCAGGAGAGAAAGGACTCATATATTCAAAGTGCTAAAGGAAAAAAAAACAAAACAAAACTACTAGCCAAGAATACCCACCAAAGGTATCCTTCAGAAATGAAGGAGAAATAAAGTTTTTCTCAGATAAGCAAAAATTGAGGGACTTCATCACCACTAGACTGGTCCTAAAAGAAATGCTTAAGGGACTCCTACATCTGCAAGCAAAAAGATTATATCAACACTTATGAAAACACAGAAAGGTATAAAACTCACTGGTAGAGTTGATATACAAATAAAAAAAAGAATCAAATATTATCACTAGAGAAAAACCACCAAATTGCAAGGATAAACAATAAGAAAGGAGTAAATGATATATAAAACAATCAGAAAACAATTACAAAATGACAAGAGTAAATCCTCACCTATCAATAGTAACCCTGAATATAAACGTTTCAAATTCCTCAATTAAAAGATATAGAACAGCTGGATGGATTTAAAAAAAACCAAACTATATGCTGCTTACAAGAAAGTCACTTCACCTTTAAACATATAATAGACTGAAAGTGAAGGGATGGGAAAAGATATTCTACACAAATGGAAACCAAAAGCACGCAAGGATAGCTATACTTTTATCAGACAATATACACTTTAAGTGAAAAAACAGAGACAGAGGTCATTATATAATGATAAAGGGATCAATTCAGAAGGAGGATTGTGAATATATATGCATACAACACCAGAACACCCAGATATGTAAAGTGTATTAGAGCTGAAGAGAGACCACAATACAATAATAGATGGGGACTCCCACACCCCACTTTCAACATTGGACAGATCATCTGGACAGAAAATCAACAAGGTAATATCAGAATCGGAAATTCATTTTTCTATTTTTTTCCTCCTTCTTCCTTTACATAGAAATATGTTTTTCTATGTTTAACTTTATCTATTAACTTTTATCTATAGCTGGTTAGATTTTTCTCTCTTTTTTTTCTCTTTTGTTTTTTATGACCACAAAGATCCAGAAGATATCTACAGTTGGTTTGAAAGTTATATTTTATACTTCTGGAGGTTTCCCTAACTTACCTACACTCACTTTTATACTTTTTACATACATAATCACAAGGTCCCACAATAGGCTGTCTGCAAGCTGAGGAGAAAGGAGAGCCAGTCAAATTCCCAAAACTGAAGAACCTGGAGTGCAATGTTTAAAGGCAGGAAGCATCCAACACAGGAGAAAGATGTAGCCTGTGGTCATTTCTCCAGTGCCAGAATGCATAATTGGCATAGACATACTTACCAGCTGGCAGAACCCCCACATTGGCTCCCTGACTGGTAGGGTAAGGGCTATTACGGTGGGAAAGGCCAAATGGAAGCCGTTAGAGCTGCCTCTACCTAGAAAAATCAAAAACAATATGGCATCCACGGAGGGATTGTGGAGATTAGTTTCACCATCAAGGACTTGAAAGATGCAGGAGTGGTGATTCCCACCACATCCCCATTTAACTCTCTTATTTGACTTGTGCAGAGGACAGATGGATCTTGGAGAATGACAGTGGATTATCATAAGCTTAACCAAGTCATGACTCCAATTGCACCTGCTGTACCAGATGTGGTTTCATTGCTTGAGCAAATTAACACATCTCCTGGTACCTGATATGCAGCCATTGATTTGGCAAATGCTTTTTCCCCATTCCTGTCCATGAGGCCCACGAGAAGCAATTTGCCTTCAATTGGCAGGGCCAGCAATATACCTTTACTGTCCTACCTCAGGGGTTTATCAACTCTCCGGCTTTGTGTCATAATCTTGTTTGGAGAGACGTTGATCAATTTTCTTTTCCACAAGACATCACGCTGGTCCATTACATTGATATCATTATGCTGATTGGATCCAGTGAGTGAGAAGTAGCAAACACGCTGGACTTATTGGTGAGACATTTGTGTACCAGAGGATGGAAAATAAATCTGACTAAAATTCAGGGACCTTCTATCTCAGTAAGATTTCTAGGGGTTCAGTGGTGTGGGGCCTGTCAAAATATTCCTTCTAAGGTGAAGGATAGGTTGCTGCATTTGGTCCCTCCTACAACCAAGAAAGAGGCACAACACCTACTGGGCCTATTTGGATTATGGAGGCAACACATTCTCTGCGTGGGTGTGTTACTCTGGCCCATTTATTGAATGACCTGAAAGGCTGCCAGTTTTTATTGGGGTCCAGAACAGAGAAGGCTCTGCAACAGGTCCAGGCTGCTGTGCAAACTGCTCTGCCACTTGGACCATAAGACCCAGTAGATCCAATGGTGCTTGAGATGTCAGTGGCAATAGAGATGCTATTTGGAGCCTTTGACAGGACCCCATAGGTGAATCACAGTGGAGACCTCTAGGATTTTGGAGCAAGGCCCTGCCATCTTCTGCAGATAATGTCTCTTCTTTGGAGAGACAGCTCTTGGCCTGTTACTGGGCTTTGGTGGAAACTGAACATTTGACTATGGGTCATCAAGTCACCATGCAACCTGAACTACCTATCATGAACTGGGTGCTTTCTGACCTGTCTAGCCATAAAGTGGGGCATACACAGCAGCATTCCATCATCAAATGGAAGTAGTATATATGTGATTAGGGTCGAGCAGGTCCTGAAGGTACAAGTCAGTTACATGAAGAAGTGTCTCAAATGCCCATGGTCTCCACTTCTGCCACCCTGCCTTCTCTCCCCCAGCCTGCACTGATGGCCTCATGGGGAGTTCCCTATGATCAGTTGACAGAGGAAGGGAAAACTGGGGCTTGGTTCACAGGTGGTTCTGCATGATATGCAGTCACCACCTGAAAGTGGATAGCTGCAGCAGTACAGCTCCTTTCTAGGACATTCCTGAAGGACAGCGGTGAAGGAAAATCTTCCCAGTGGGCATAACTTTGAGCAGTGCACCTGGTTGTGCACTTTGCATAGAAGGAAAAATGGCCAGATATGCAATTATGTACTGATTCATGGACTGTAGCCAATAGTTTGGTTGGATGGTCAGGGACTTGGAAGAAGCATGATTAGAAAATTGGTGACAAAGAAATTTGGGGAAGAGGTATGTGGATGACCTCTCTGAGTGGTCAAAAACTGTGCAGATATTTGTATCCCATGTAAGTGCTCATCAATGGGTGACCTCAGCAGAGGAGGATTTTAATAAGTGGATAGGATGACCCGTTCTGTGGACACACTCAGCCTCTTTCCCCAGCCACCCCTGTCATTGTCCAATGGGCCCATGAACAAAGTGGCCATGGTGGTAGGGATGGAGGCTACACATGGGCTCAGCAACATGGACTTCCACTCACCAAGGCTGACCTGGCTACAGCCACTGCTGAGTGCCCAATTGCCAGCAGCAGAGACCAACACTGAGCCCTTGATATGGCACCATTCCTCGGGGTGATCAGCCAGCTACCTGGTGGCAGGTTGATTATATTGGACCTCTTCCATCACGGAAAGGGCAGAGGTTTGTCCTCACTGGAATAGACACTTATTTCAGATATGGGTTTGCCTATCTTGCATGCAATGCTTCTGCCAAGACTACCATCCATGGATTCATGGAATGCCTTATTCACCATCATGGTATTCCACAGAGGATTGCCTCTGACCAAAGCACTCACTTTACGGCTAAAGACGTGCGGCAGTGGGCTCATGCTCATGGAATTCACTGGTTTTACCATGTTCTCCATCATACTGAATCAGCTGGATTGACAGAATGGTGGAATGGCCTTTTGAAGTCACAATTACAACACCAACTAGGTGACTGTACTTTGCAAGGCTGGGGTGAAGTTCTCCAGAAGGCTGTGTATGCTCTGAATCAATGTCCAGTATATGGTACTGTTTCTCTTATAGCCAAGATCATGAGTCCAGGAATCAAGGGGTGGAAGTGGAAGTGGCACCACTCATCATTACCCCTAGTGACCCACTAGCAAAATTTTTCTTTGTGTTCCTGTGACATTATGTTCTGCTGACCTAGAGGTCTTAGTTCCAGAGGGAGGAAGGCTGCCACCAGGAGACACAACAACAGTTCCATTAAACTGGAAATTAAGATTGCCACCTGGACACTTTGGGTTCCTCCTACATTTAAGCCAACAGGCTAAGAAGAGAGTTACAGTGTTGGCTGGGGTGATTGACCCAGACTATCAAGATGAAATCAGTCTGCTGCTCCACCACGGAAGTAAGAAAGAGTATGCATGAAATACAGGAGATCCATTAGGGCATCTCTTAGTATTACCATGCCCTGTGACTAAGGTCAGTGGGAAACTACAACAGCCCAATCCAAGCAGGACTACAAATGGCCCAGACCCTTCAGGAATGAAGGTTTGGGTTACTCCACCAGGCAAAAAATTATGACCTGCTGAGGTGCTTGCTGAAGGCAAAGGGAATAAGGAATAGGTAGTAGAAGAAAGTAGTCATCAATACCAGCTATGACCACGTGACCAGATGCAGAAATGACTGTAGTTGTCATGAGTATTTCTCCTTCTTTTGTTAAAAACATGTTTGTGCATGTGTACACTTGTACTAAGAAAATTTTCTTCATTTTTATTTCCTTTTTTCCTTTATCATGTGATATAAGATTTATTGACTTCATATCAGCATTTAAGTGTTGTTAATTTTACGTAATAGCATTTGGGTTGGGGATTGGTGCCCAAAAGATAGTTGTATTATGTTAGGTGTAATTATGTCTTTATTTGAATATTATGTTTTTATTGTCTTATTTGAAGATTATGTATGATCTCAGGAGATGTGTATGGGTTCAAGTTGACAGGGGGTGGACTTGTGATGGTTAATACTGAGTGTCAACTTTATTGGACTGAAGGATGCAAAATATTGTTCCTGGGTGTGTCTGTGAGGGTGTTGCCAAAGGAGATTAACATTTGAGTCAGTTGACCGGGAAAGGCAGATCCACCCTTAATCTGGGTGGGCACAATCTAATCAGCTGCCAGCGTGGCCAGAATAAAAAGCAGGCAGAAGAACATGAACAGAGTAGACTGGCTTAGCCTCCCAACCTACATCTTTTTCCTATGCTGGATGCTTCCTGCCCTTGAACATTGGACTCCAAGTTCTTCAGCTTTGGGACTCAGACTGGCTTCCTTGCTCCTCAGCTTGCAGATGGCCTATTGTGGGACCTTGTGATTGTGTGAGTTAATATTCCTTAATAAACTCCCCTTTATATATACATCTATCCTATTAGTTCTGTCCCTCTAGAGAACCCTAATACACATACAATGGAAGATTATGCAGCCTTTGAAAAGAATGAAATCCTGTCATATGCTGCAACATGGATGAAACTTTGGGACATTATGCTAAGGGAAATAAGCCAATCACAAAAAGCAAACACTGCAACACTGCATGATTTTACTCAAATGAGTTATCTAATGCAATCAAACTCATAGAAGCAGAAAGTAGAATGGTGGTTGCAAGTCTATAGAGTGAGGGAAATAGGAAGTTATTATTCCATGGGTACAGAGTTTGAGACATGTGAGGTGAAGATGTTCTGAAGATCTGTCATATAACGATGTGCACATAGTTAACAAGACTGTAGTGTACACTTAAAAACTGAGAGGGTAGGCCGGGTGCGGTGGCTCATGCCTATAATCCCAGCACTTTGGGAGGCTGAGGTGGGTGGATCACCTGAGGTAGGGAGTTCGAGACCAGCCTGGCCAATATGGTGAAACTCCGTCTCTACTAAAAATGCAAAAATTAGCTGGGCGTGGTGGTGGGTGCTTGTAATCCCAGCTACTTGGGAAGCTGAGGCAGGAGAATCGCTTGAACCCGCGAGGCAGAGTTTGCAATGAGCCGAGATTGCACCACTGCACTCCAGCCTGGGTGAAAAGAACAAAATTCCGTTTCAAAAAAAAAAAAAAATTGAGAGGGTAAATTTATTTTATGTATTTTTTTTTAACCACGAAAAAATAAAAAGAAAGAAATGAGCTAAGGCAAGAATTGGCTTGACCGTTTATGTCCTAGAATGCACAGATTTGGAAGGAAAGATATGATAGGGGTTCAGGAGTCTCAAACAGCAAAACAAGACTGCTCAAAACTTTTGTAAAGCACCCTTTACACTTCTCAGTTATGTAATGGGAAATAAGTCTGTGTCTTGGATTAGACCAGGGATATTGCTTTTTCACTCAGTACTATTGTTTCAGTTGTCCTCCAGATAGCAGCCATTAAACTGAAGAATAGAGGGATGGGATGGATGGTATAAGGAAATTAGAAATGGTCTTTGTTGTCTAAATAATTAAATGCCATTTTAAAAAGATTAGATTTCCCTAACAATCTAGAGTTAAAGCTTCCAATGATTTCAAAGTGTCAGGGAGGTAATCAAGAGACAGAGAGAGAGAGGTAAATGCATGCCAAGATTGTTAATTTGTTTGGGGTAAAGATTTAGATGCCATGAGTTTTAGGCAATCATAAGAAAAAAAAAAGTATAAATGTGAGTGTAGGTAAGTTAGGGGAAACCTCCAGAAGTATAAAAATATAACTTTCAAACCAGTTGTAGATATCTTCTGGATCTTTGTGGTCAGAAAAAAGAAAAGAGAAAAAAGAAAAATCAAACCAGCTATAGATAAAAAATTAAACATAGAAAAACATATTTCTATGTAGAGGAAGAAGAAGGAGAAAAACAAAAATGAATTTCCAATTCTGGTAATTCTGTGGACTAAAAAACCGTTTATAAAGCACCTACAGTTGTGCAATTGCTACATAAAACACAGCAAATATCCACTTAGATGCATGCAACTTTTTTTCTTTAGTTTACAGAGACTCAGTTTGTATTTATTTATTTTTTGATTATACAAGTAAATTTTAATGAAAACAGTGTGCATACATTTTGTGGCTAAATCTAATTATAATGCTCATTATTGGCATAGAACTTTCCAGTTTATAAAGAACTTAAAAAAAACCTTGTAGTTATGAGGTACATGTGCAGGTTTGTTATATAGGTAAATTGTGTGTTGTAGGGGTTTGCTGTATGGATTATTTCATCATTCAGGTAATAAGCATAGTACTCAGTAGGTGGTTTTTCAATCCTCATCCTTCTCCCACCCTCTACTGTCAAGCAGGCCCTGGTGTCTATTGTTTCTTTCTTTGTGTCCATGTGTACTCAATGTTTAGCTCTCACTTATTAGTGAGAACATGCGAACATGCAGTATTTGGTTTTCTATTCCTGCTTAGTTTGCTAAGGATAATGGCCTCCACCTCTATCCATGTTGCTGGAAAAGACATGATCTCGTTCTTTTTTATGCCTCAGTAGTATTCCATGGTGTATATATACCACATTTTCTTTATCCAGTCTACCATGGGTGGGCACTTAGGTTGATTCCAGGTCTTTGTTATTATGAATAGTGCTGTGATGAACATATGCATGCATGTGTCTTTTATGGTAGAACAATATATTCCTTTGATTATATATCCATTAATGGGATTGCCAGGTCAAATGGTACTTCTGTTTTAAGTTCTTTGAGAAATAGCCAAACCACTTTCCACAGTGGCTGACCTAATTTACACTCCCACCAGCAGTGTGTAAGCATTCCCTTTTGTCTGCAGCCTTGCCAACATCTGTTATTATTATTATTATTGCTTTTTAATAAAGCTGACTGGTGTGAGATGATATCTCATTGTGGTTTTGATTTGCATTTATCTAATAATTCGTGATGTTGAGCATTTTTTCATATGCTTGTTGGCCACGTGTATGTCTTCTTTTGAAGTGTCTGTTCATGTCCTTTTCCCACTTTTTAATGGGATTGTTTTTTGCTTGTTAATTTGTTTAAGTTCCTTATGGATTCTGGATATTAGACCTTTGTCAGATGCATAGTTTGAAAATATTTTATTCCATCCTGTGGGTTGTCTGTTTATTCTATTGATAGTTTCTTTTGGTGTGTGGCAGCTCTTTAGTTTAATTAAGTCCCATTTGTCAATTTTTGTTTTTGTCACAATTGCTTTTGGCATCTTTTCATGAAATCTTTGCCAGGGCCTATGTCCAGAATGGTATTTCCTAGGTTTTCTTCAAGGATTTTTATAGTTTTAGGTTTTACATTTAAGTCTCTAATCCATCTTGGGTTGATTTTTGTATATAGTGTAAGGAAGGTTCCAGTTTCAATCTTCTGCATATGGCTAGCCAGTTATCCCAGTACTACTTATTGAATAGGGAGTCCTTTCCTCTTTGCTTGTTTTTGTTGATTTTCTCAAAGATCAGATGGTTATAGGTGTACAGCTTTATTTCTGGGCTCTCTATTCTGTTCTATTGGGTTATGTGTCTGTTTTTGTACCAGTACCATACTGTTTTGATTACTGTAGCCTTGTAACATAGTTTGAAGTTGGGTAATGTGTCATGCCTCCAGCTTTGTTCTTTTTGCTTAGGATTCCTTTGTCTATTCAGGCTGTTTTTTTAAGTTCCACATGAATTTTAGAATAGTTTTTTCTAATTCTATGAAGAATGTCATTGGTAGTTTGATAGGAACAGTGTTGAATCTGTAAATTGCTTTGGGCAGTATGGCCATTTTAACAATGTTGGTTCTTCCTATCCATGAGCATGAAATGATTTTCCATTTGTTTCTGTCATGTCTGATTTTTTTCAACAGTATCTTGTAATTCTCATTGTAGAGATCTTTTACTTCCCTGGTTAACTGTATTACTAGGTATTTTATTTTATTTTCATTTTTTGCAGTTATTGTGAATGAGATTGTGTTTTTATTTGGCACTCAGCTTGAATGTTATTATTGTATAGAAATGCTACTGATTTGTGTATTTTGATTTTATATCCTGAAACTTTGCTGAAATTGTTTATCAGGTCTAGAAGCTTTTGGGCAGAGACTACAGGGTTTTCTAGGTATAGAATCATATCATCTGCAAACAGAGATAGTTTGACTTCCTCTTTTCTTATTTGTATGCCTTTTGTTTCTTTCTCTTGCCTGATTGCTCTGGCTAGGACTTCCAGTACCGTGTTGAATAGGAGTGTGAGAGCAGGCATACTTGTCTTGTTCTGATTCTAAAGGGGAATGCTTCCAGCTTTGGCCCCTTAATTATGCTGGCTTTGGGTTTGTCATAGGTGGCTCTTATTATTTTGAGGTATGTTCCTTCAATGCCTAGTTTGTTAAGAATTTTTAATATGAAGATATATTGAATTTTATTGAAAGCCCTTTCTGTATTTATTGAAATTAACATGTGGTTGTTTTTAGTTCTGTTTTCATGATGAATCACATTTATTGATTTGCATATGTTGAGCCAACCTTGCATCCCAGGGATAAGGCCTTCTTGATCATGGTGGACTAGCTTTTTGATATGCTGCTGGATTCTGTTTGCTAGTATTTTGCTGAGGATTTTCACATTGATGTTCATGAAAAATATGGTCTGAAGTTTTCTTTTTCTGTTGTTTCTCTGCCAGGTTTTGGTATCAGAATGATGCTGGCCTCATAGGTTGAGTTAGAAAGGAGTCCCTCTTCTTCAATTTTTTTGAAATAGGTTTAGTAGTAATGGTACTAGCTCTTCTTTATATATCTGGTAGAACTTGGCTGTGAATCCATCTGGTTCTGGGCTTTTTCTGGTTGGTAGACTTTTTTTTTTTTTTTTTTTTTTTTTTTTTTGAGATGCAGTCTTGCTCTTGTTACCCAGGCTGGAGTGCAATGGCGCGATCTCAGCTCACTGCAACCTCTGCCTCCCATGTTCAAGCTATTCTTCTGCCTCAGCTTCCCAAAGTGCTGGGATTACAGGCGTGAGCCACCACACTTGGGTGGCTTTTTATTACTTACTTAATTTTGGAACTCATTATTAGTCTGTTCAGGGTTTCAGTTTCCTCTTGTTTCAATCTTGAGAGGTTGTATGTTTCCAGGAATTTATCCCTTTCCTGTAAGCTTTCTAGTTTGTGTTTGCATAGAGGTGTTTGTAATGGTCTCTGAGAGCCTTTTGTATTTCTCTGGTGTCAGTGTTAATGTCTCCTTTGTCATTTCTGATTGTGTTTATTTGGATCTTCTCTCTTTTTCTTTGTCTATCTAGCAGTCTATCAATCTTATTTATTTTTTCAAAGAACCAACTTCTGGTTTTATTGATCGTGTGTGTGTGTGTGTGTGTGTGTGTGTGTGTGTGTGCATGTGTGTGTGTTTCATTCTGTTCAGCTCTAATTTTGGCTATTTCTTGTCTTCTGTTAGGTTCAGGGTTGGTTTACTCTTATTTTTCTAGTTCCTCTAGGTGTAATGTTAGGTTGTTAACTTGACTTACATCTTTGTAACTTTTTGATATGGGCACTTAATGCTATAAACTTCCCTCTTAACACTGATTTAGCTGTGTCCCAGAAATTCTGGTATTTTTATATCTTTGTTCTCATTAGTTTCAAAGAATTTCTTGATTTCTGGCTTTATTTCATTGTTTATGCAGATGTCATTCAGGAGCAGGTTGTTTAATTTCCATGTAATTGTATGACTTTGAGTGATCTTAGTATTGATTCCTATTTGTATTACACTGTAGTTCAAGAGTGTGGCTGGTATGATTTTGCTTTCTTAATTTTGCTGAGAATTGTTTTATGGCCAATTTTGTGGTCAATTTTAAGGCGTGTGCCATGTGCAAATGAGAAAAATGTACATTCTGCTGTTTGGGGTAGAGAGTTCTGTAGATTTCTGTTAGGTCCATTTGGTCAAGTATTGAGTTCAGGTCCTGAATATCTTTGTTAGTTTTCTGCCTCAGTGATCTGTCTTATACTGCTAATGGGGTGTTGAAGTCTCCCACTCTTATTGTGTGGTTACCTAAGTCCCTCTGCAGGTCTCTAAGAACTTGTTTTATGAATCTGCATGCTCCTGTAATGGATGCATATTTATTTATGATAGCTAAGTGTTTCTTGTTGAATTGAACCCTTTACCAATATGTAATGCTCCTTTGTCTTTTTCCATCATTGTTAGTTTAAAATCTGTTTTGTCTGAAATTAGAATAGCAACCCCTGCTTGTTTTTTTTCCTTTGCTTTGTTGTATATGTTTCTCTATCCCTTTACTTTGAGCCAATGGGTGTCACTGCATGTGAGATAGATCTCTTGTAGACAACATAGATTTGGGTCTTGCTTCTTTATCCAAATTACCACTCTGTGCCTTTTAACTGGGGGCATTTAGCCCACTTACATTCAAGGTTAATATTGATTTGTGTTTATTTGATCTTGTCATCATGCTGTTAGCTGGTCATTATGCAGACTTGATTGTGTAATTACTTTATAGTGTCAATAGTCTGTGTGTTTTTGTGGTGGCTGGTAATGGTCTTTCCTTTCCATATTTAGCACTCTCTTAAAGACCTCTTGTAAGGCAGGTCTGGTGGTAATGAATTCCCTTAGCATTTGCTTGCCTAAAAAGGATCTTATTTCTCTTTCAGTTATGAAGCTTAATTTAGCTGGTTATGAAATTCTTGAATGGAGTCTCTTTTCTTTAAAAATGCTGAATGTAGGCCCCTAGTCTCTTTAGGTTAATAGAATTTCTGCTGAATGGTCCACTGTTAGTCTGATGAGGTTCCCTTTATAAGTGACCTGCCCCTTCTTTTTAGCTGCCTTTAATATTTTTTCTCTCATGCTGACCTTGGAGAATCTGATAACTATGTGTATTGGGGATGGTCATCTTATATAGTATCTTGCTCAGGTTCTGTGCATTTTCTGAATTTGAATGTTGGCCTCTTTTGTGAGGTTGGGGAAATTTCTGTGGATGATATCCTCAAATATGTCTTCAAGTTCTTTGCTTTCTCTCCCTCTCTTTCAGGGATACCAAAGAGTCATAGATTTGGTCTCTACATAATCCTGTATTTCTCAGAAGTTTTGTTTATTCTGTGTTTTTTTTTTCTGTTGTTGCCTGAGTTAATTCAGAGAACCAATCTTCAGGCTCTGAGATTCTTTCCTCTGCTTGGTCGATTTTGCTGTTAATACTTGCAATTGTATTATGAAATTTTTGTAGCGTTTTTCAGCTCTATCAGATTAAGTGTGCTTTTTTCTTTAAATGCCCACTTTATTTTTCAGCTCCTGTATCATTTTATTGTGTTCCTTAGATTCTTTGGATTGGGTTCAACTTTCTCTTGAATCCCGATGATCTTTGTTCCTATTTATATTCTAAATTCTATGTTTGTCATTTCACCCATTTCAGCCTGCTTAAGAACCATTGCTGAGGAACTAGTGTGGTCATTTGGAGGTAAGAAGACACTCTTACTAGGGTTTTTGTGCTGGTTCTTTCTCATCTATGTGGGCTGATGCTCCTTTAATATTTGAATGTGCTGTCCTTTTGATGGGGTGTTTTGCTTTTATATTCTTTGATGCCCTTGGGGGTTTGATAATGGCATAATGTGGGTTCAGTTGACGGGCTTTGTTTCTAGAAGATTTCAAGAGGCCAAGGCAGAGCTCAACACTCCTGGGCTTTGTACTCTAACTCTGGGGGCGTGGTACTGAGCCCCCAGCTTTGTTGTCTGGTCCCCCAAGGTTAGGAACTTGTTACACTGGAGAGGCTGAGGTATTCCCAGACTGCTGGCCACACAACATTCCAGTGGAGAGTGCCAGCCAAAGTACTTCACAGGGGCAGTGGCAGCAGGATCTGTGCTCACTTGCACATGCTAGCAGCTGCAGAGGCACAGTGGGGTGCACGCACATTAGCTGGGATGGGGCACTGGCAGGAGTGGAGCAGCAGGGTCTGTCATTACCAGCTTTCAAGAAAATAAGGAAAATTCCTAGAGGTAAAAAACAAACAGAAAGCTGAAAACCAAGTGATAAGTGGGTGCTGACACTTTGGATGTTCTGAGCATGTTTACTGGTCTTGTAAGTCAGGGCTGTGAGTCTAATGACAAGACAATGACAAGAAAATGGGGACTTGGATTTATGCAGGGTGAAGATTTGTAACTGAGATCTCTGGACAAAGATGATACCCTCAATTACCTACACCTTAGTGAAAAAGTGATCTAGGAGAAAAAGAAAACCAAAACACTTTGCTTGCTTTTGTGGGCTTGTGTTGAATGGTATTGATCTGGTTTATATATTGAAATAATTAGAAGAAGATGTTTGCAGTAAGGCATTTAAAATTCTGTAATTATTCAGGTAAAGGGAAAAATATTAATTTTTGAGATTAAGCATTCCTGTGAAAATGGTAAGGAAGGCACTAAAGCAATAAATTGAATTCCAATTAGTAAAGGGGAAAACCTGGATTAATGAAAACAAATCAATCCCAAAGAAAAATAGGACAAATAGAAATATTTGTCTAAATAAATGTGAAATGGAATGAACTAACCAGTTAAAACACAAAAATTTTTCAGATTAGTTAAGAAAACCCCTGTGGCTTACTCCTGTAATCCCAGCACTTTGGGAGACTGGGGCAGGAGGATTTATTGAGGCCAGGAGTTCCAGGCCAACCTGGGCAACATCCCTGTAATCCGAGCTACTCAGGAAGATGAGGCAGGAGGATCTTTTTACAGGAGTTCGAGGCTGCAGTATGCTATAATCATGCCACTGCACTTCAGCCTGGGCAACAGAGTGAGACCCTGTTGCTAAAGAAAAAAAGGAGGAAAGAAAGAAAAAAAGAAACCCTCAAATCCTGTTATATGTTATTTATAAGAAATAAACCTAAAATGTAAGCACACAGAAAGGTTGAAAGTACAAGAATTTAAAAAATTATCCCAAGGAATTACCAATTAAAAGAAATTTAGTGTGTAGAAAATATAGACTTTAAAGAAAAAAGCATTATTAGGGATACAAATGGCCACATAATGAGGAGTTACAATTCACTAGTAATATATATTTCCAAAGTTATAAGCACCTCAAAAGTTATGTGTAGCCTTGTTTCTTTGAGTGGAAGCTCTAAGAATCAGTGTGTATTTTGCCACAGTGCTCTTTTTTCCACTGCTATGGCAACCAGGATTGTTCTAGGTAGTACCTTCTCCATCAGCCCAGGTCCCAGACTGAGGACGAGGACAATACTCCTAGCCAATTCATGATGGACATGTGTCATGAGCAAGAAATAAATCTTTGGCTGGGTGTGGTGGCTCACGCCTGTAATCCCAGCACTTTGGGAGGCCGAGGCGGGTGGATCACGAGGTCAGGAGATCGAGACTATCCTAGCTAACATGGTGAAACCCCATCTCTACTAAAAATACAAAAAATTAGCTGGGCATGGTTGCGGGCACCTGTAGTCCCAGCTACTCGGGAGGCTGAGGCAGGAGAATGGCGTGAATCCGGGAGGCAGAGCTTGCAGTGAGCCAAGATCACACCACTGCACTCCAGCCTGGGTGAAAGAGTGAAATTCCATCTCAAAAAAAAAAAAAAAGAAAGAAAGAAATCTTTTATGGGTTCTTCTTTTTTGACAGCTTTATTGAGGCACAGCTGACACAATTTGATAAGTTTTGACATAGGTTTGCACCTATAAAGCCATCACCACATCAAGATAATGAACACATCTATCACACCTAAAAGTTTCTTCATGCCCTTTGTGATCCCTTTCCCTCATCCCTCTTCTCTGTCCATTGGCTTTCAGGTGAATGTTGAATCTGCTTTTGTCACCGTAGATTAGCTTACATTTTCTAGAATTTTGTATAAATGGGATCATGCAGTATGTATTCTTGTTTTGGTTGGTCTGCTTTCTTTCACTCAGCATAATTATTTTGAGATTCATGCATTATGTAGTGTATATAAATATTTATCCATTTTTATTGTTGAATTTTATTTCATTGGATAGCCATACATTTATATGTTTATCCATTCACCTCTTGATGGACATTTTGAGTGTGTCCAGTTTGGGGTTATTACAAATAAAGCTGCTATGAACATTTCTGTAGAATTCTTTGTATAGCCAAATTGTCACAGGATCCTTAGGGTGTCACTTTTCCAGCTGGAAGCCTCTGTGGCCAGTGGCACCTTTGCCCGAGTTGTGCTTGGGTCTACTAGGCTCATTCTGCCCACTCAACCTCACAGGCTGTGCTCAGCTTGTTCTACTGGCCCGGATCCCATGCCTGCCAAGGGTGAGCCAGGTGCAGAGTGATGAGAGGTGCATGAGAGAGGTGCATGGGGTCCAGCCACTGCACACAGCCAGGCACACCAGCTGCTGTGGGTGGGCAGCTCCAGGCGCTGGCCCAGGTGCTGGCTCCATGTGAGGCTGTGGCTGGACCAGGCATAGTGCATGTGGCTTCCACTGTGGGCTCCAGGGAATGTGGTGCCTCCAGGAAGCTTGGAGATACCAGGAACCACAGAGCCCCAAAGAGGGTGTCACAGCCCTGGCTCAGAGAGCCCTTAGGTTTGGACTCCCTGAAGGACTGCAGCTCTTCTCTCCTTCTCATCACTTGCAATGTGGCAAGCCAGTGGGAGGGGGTGGGATGTGTTTCAGCCCTGTTTGTGTTACAGCTCTTTCAGCCCTACCATTTGGCGGGTCCCGAGTTCTTGTCCTGCATCCAGGAAGAATGAGGTATGCAGACAACTGGAAGGTAAGCAAGGCGAAAAGGTGCTTTATTGACCAACAGTACAGCTCTCAGGAGACCCAATGTAGGTAGCTCCTTTCCACAGGCAGTTCATCCTGTCAAGTGCAGCCCTCAGAAGAGAGGAG
Source organism: Homo sapiens (assembly GCF_000001405.40). Taxonomy (NCBI): domain Eukaryota; kingdom Metazoa; phylum Chordata; class Mammalia; order Primates; family Hominidae; genus Homo; species Homo sapiens. The sequence goes on from NC_000001.11 coordinate 42,880,553, forward strand.
ACCCAGAGTGGGTAGCTCCTATCTGCAGGCAGGTTGTCCCAACATCTGTGTGACTCTGAGTCTGGCTGAGTCTGGGTTTTTTATGGGCTTCAGAAGGGAGGAAGTGTGTGCTTATTGATCCATGGGTGGCCACACGTGGGCCCAGAAAAAGCACCATAAGTTCTCATTCCAGGCTGCAGACTCCATCCAGAACTGACAGCCGAGTTCCCATGCTCCAGGACGTTTCTGGCATGAAGATGGGGCTTCACCGGGGACCTGCCCAGAATCCTGTCAGCCTCCTGCCACCATCAATCATGTCATCCACAGTGCCCAGGCTGTTTGTGCTGAAGGGTGCCTGCAGGCCCATGCCTAGATGCCCTCAGAACCCCCTCAATCTCAAAGTCTGGAGGTGGCCGAGGCGGCAGGGGGCTGGTGTGTCAACGCCACCCTGAGTGCACTCCCACACCCTGCTGGGTTGTGACAGTGCCCAGGCTTGGCCTCAACTTTGTTCCAAAATCAGAGCATGCACTGGATACAGGGATAGGCCAGGCAAGGGGAGCAGGTACTTCCAAGCCTGCAGGGGCAGGGGGGCTTCCTGGGCCCCCGAGAGTGCAAGGATGCCTGGATCCATAACCACAGCTGGGTGGCTGCAGCTGTGCCTGGGATAGCAGGTCTCCCACCCTGCCAACTTGGAAAAAGGTGGGGCTCCTACCTGTTTCCAGCTCCCAGCTCTTTGGTGCATGCAGTTCCAGCTGGGTCTCCTCCATTGCAAAGCCAGCAACTTTGCAGTGGCCACTCTAGATGGGCTGCAGCTGCCATCAATATGCTTTCATTTCTCTTGGGTAAATAAATAACTAGAAATGGCTGGCTCAAGTGGTAGGTATATGCTTACCTTTTTAAAAAACTGCCAAACTGTTTTCCAAAGTATACCGTTGTGATTTTCATGTTTGTTTCCCTAGTGGCCAATGATGTTGAAAATATTTTTATGTGCTTATTTGCATCCATATATCTTATTTGGTGAAGTGTCTGTTTACATATTTTTTTCCATTTTTTATTGGGTTGTTTTCTTTTTCAATTCAAAATTTCTGGTCTTTGAAAGATACTTTAAACAGAATAGAAAGACAATTGGGTATGTGTGAATATAAATAGTAGCACAGGGAGATCTTTATAATAATATAATTGTTCTGTATCTTGATTGTTGTGGTGGTTACACAAATATACACATGTGATAAAATGATATAGAACTATACACATACATTGTATCCATGTGTTATTCCTGGTTTTGATAGTGTACCTTAATTATGTCAGATACAACCATTGGGGGAAACTGATTGAAGGGTATACAGGGACTCTCTACTATCTTTGCAACTACCTCTAAATCTAAAATTATTTCAAAATTAAAAATTTTAAAATAGACAATTCACAGACCTTCTAAAGTAAATTGTATGTGGATGATTGATTATAAGGGGAAAAATAAAATGGATCCCTATCTTACAACATACACAAAAGTCAATTCCTAGAGTATTTGAGACCTATATATAAACAGAAAAATTGTTATACAAGACAATATAGAAGATTATCTTTTTGACTACTGGATAGGAAAATATTTCTTAATTTGGTCAAAAATGGACAAACTAAAAGAAAGAATATCAATGAATTTGACTACATTAACATTAAACATTTCACATAAAAAAAGTGAAAAGGGCCGGGCACAGTGGCTCACGCCTGTAATCCCAGCACTTTGGGAGGCCGAGATGGGCAGATAACCTGAGGACAGCAGTTCGAGACCAGCCTGGATGACATGGTGAAACCCTGCCTCTACTAAAAATACAAAAATTAGCCGGGCATGGTGGCACATGCCTGTAATCCCACCTACTCGGGAGGCTGAGGCAGGAGAATCACTTGAACCTAGGAGGTGGAGGTTGCAGTGAGCTGAGATTATGCCATTGCACTCCAGCCTGGGCAACAGAGCAAGACTCTGACTCAGAAAAAAAAAAAGAAAGAAAGAAAGAAAAAAAGAGTGAAAAGATGAGCTACAAAATGAGAGAATAATTGCAACACATAAAGCTAAGTAAGATTTGATATGTAGAATATGTAAATAATTTCTTAAGTCAATAAGAAGAGACAATTCAGTTAGCAAAATGGACAAAAAAAAGCATTATTTCCACTCAATAAAAAGCATAAACAATATGTAAACATATTTTAAAATGTTCAGGTTCATTCAAAGTCAGGAAAATGTGTGTTGAGACCACAGTAAAATCCAGTTTCACAACCGCCAAATATAAAAGTTGGATAATACCAAATGTTAACGAGAATATGGCATAATAGGAACTTTTGTATGTTTCTAATATTGGTATAAATTGGAAAATTCCCATAGGAAAATTGTATGGCATTACCTTAAAAAGTTGAACATGCATGTACCCTACAATCTAGCAATTCTACTACAAGGTATATTCCCTAGGGAAACTCTTGCATGTGGGCACCAAGAAACATGTAGAAGACTGTGTATAGTGGCATTGTCCATAATGGCAAAACAAACAAAAATAACAAAAGCAACTGGAAAAAACTGAAATGTCCAATATTATAGTTTTGAGATTTATCTATGTTGTCACATGTATTCTTTGATTTTTACTGCTCTATAGTTTTATAGAGTATGAATTTTATTGTATTCTTTTTAGGGGAATGCTTCAAATTATTTATTATCATTAAAGTCACTAAAGCCAGACCATTTGTTTTTTTGTTTTTTTTTTTGAGACGGAGTCTCACTCTGTCAAGAAGGCTAGAGTGCAATGGCACGATCTCGGCTCACTGCAACCTCCACCTCCCAGGTTCAAGCCATTCTCCTGCCTCAGCCTCCCAAGTAGCTGGGATTACAGGTGCCCACCATCACGCCCGGCTACTTTTTTGTATTTTTAGTAGAGATGGGGTTTCACTATGTTGGCCCAGTGGGTCTTGAACTCCTGACCTCGTGATCCGCCCACAAGCCAGACCATTTTACTAGTGAGCTTTTACTAAACTTTCAAAGGAACTGATGATTCTTGTCTTATACATGTTGTTCCAAAGGGGAAAAAAATTTTCAACTCATTTTTAAGAGGTTGAAATAATATTGATAACAAAAACATTTAAGGGCAATAGAATGGACAATCTTATTTATGACATGGATGCAAAAATTTTAATAAAATATTAATTTTAAGTCCAGTATTAAATTTAAAAATAACGCATTCACAAAGTATAGCTTATTCCAGAAACGTAAGGAGTTTTCAAAATTAGAAACTCCATCAGTGCTTTTGGCTTCCCAGCCTAGTCTCATTACTTCATCTGAGGCAATGGCACAGGCAACGAGAACAATGTAAGCAATCAGCCACTACAATTACTCTGATCCAAGCCAAATTATACAGAGGACTAGGGGAATGAACATTTGGGTTCATTCCAGACAATAAGGCTAATGACTTCAACACAGAGATAAAACAGATGTGTAACTGCATGATTTATTTATTTATTCATTCATTTTTGAGATTGAGTCCTGCTCTGTCGCCCAAGCTGGAGTGCAGTGGCATGATCTCAGCTCACTGCAACCTCCACCTCTCAGGTTCAAGCAATTCTCCTGCCTCAGCCTCCCGAGTAGCTGGGATTACAGGCACACATCACCATGCCCAGCTAATTTCTTTGTACTTTTAGTAGAGATGGGGTTTTGCCATGTGGGCCAGGCTGGTCTTGAACTCCTGACCTCAGGTGATCCGCCTGCCTCAGCCTCCCAAAGTGCTGGGATTGCAGGCATGAGCCACCGAGCCCAGCCCAACTGACGATTTATTAACATAAACTGACTTGGCTAAAGTTGACAGGAGAAACAACTGTCCTATGGATCTAAAACCTAGAAACTTTCTTGACTGTAGAAACTCAAGATAATCTTTTCATTTATGACATTATCTCTTTGTCTTCTGCTTGAATCTCTTGAAAATGCCTCCCCAGTCCTCCTCCTAAGGTAGAGCTAAGTTCTCTAATAGCATTTGCATGTGGTATTGCCTTAGAAGATCACTATTTTACAATCATGAGCGTAATAAGCAGATTCAAGCAAGAATCATCAATGGATGCTAAAACCAGTGGGTGAAAGATTGTTGCAGAAGAGGATGTTCACACAGTTTCGAAGTATATTCTATAGGTTATGTGATTAATTACAAACAGGAAAACATGTTTGTAATGGAGATCTGATGGACACTACCTTAACCAAGTGGTCAAACTTATCACCAATAATGAGACAAACTGACATTAGGTGCCTCTTGATGTGAAGTAATAGGAAGTATGCAGCATCATGTATGTAGTATTTTTGCCAAAATGATTAACCTGAATCTAACTATGGGAGAAGAGTGAGATGAATCCAGATTGTAGAACATTCAACAAGGCAACTTCTTTGGACTTTTCAAAAATATTAGTGTTATGAAAAACTATATATATGTGTGTGTGTGTGTGTGTTATATGCATACATGCATTTGTGTGTATACTATTCTAGATTAAAGATTAAGATTCAAGGGCTAGGCATAGTGGTTCATGCGGTGTAGTGGTTCATGCCTATAATCCCAGTACTTTGGGAGGCCAAAGCAGGAGGATTACTGGAGTTCAGGAGTTCGAGACTAACCTAGGCAACATGGCGAGAACTTGTCTCTATTTTTCAAAAATGTAAAAAGAAAAATTAAAGGATACTAAAAATGCCTGATAACCATATGCAATGTGGTATCCCTAATTAGAACAAATAAGAAAGAAGTTAGAAAAGAAATTTTGGGGAGAATTGATGAAATTTTAATATGTTATATAATTAGATACAATTATATTAATGTTAAATTTATTGGATGTGATAATGGCATTGTGGATATATAGGAGAATGTTCTTGTTCTTAAACAGAGGCATGCTGAAGTGTTTTGATTTAAAATGCCATGATGTCTGCAACTCTCAAATGGTTCAACAAAAAAGAAAAAATTATATAGATAAGTAAAATGTGGCAAAATGTTAACAATCAGTGAATTTAGGTGATGGAGAAACTATTAATTCATTATACTATAATTTCACCTTTTGTGGAGATTTTTTTTGTTATTATTTTATTTTATTTGAGACAGAGTCTTGCTCTGTTGCCTGGGCTGGAGTGCGATATCGTGATCTTGGCTCACTGCAACCTCTGCCTCCCGGGTTCAAGTGATTCTCCTGCCTCAGCCTCCCTAGTAGCTGGGATTACAGGCACGAGCCACCATGCCAGGCTAATTTTTTGTATTTTTAATAGAGACAAGTTTTGCCATGTTGGCCAGCCTGGTCTCGAACTCCTGGCTTCAAGTGATCCGTCCACCTCGGCCTCCCAAAGTGCTGGGATTACAGGCGTGAGCCACTGCACCCGGCCGATATTATTTTCCAAAATAAAAAGTTGGGGAAAAAAAACTGAAAACAAAACAAAACAAAATGCACCCTTTTTCTGACACCATTCACTTGAAAAAAAAATTAACAAAATAGAATCTTATTGTAATTGGAAAGAGGCAAGAGCAGTAAAAGATAGAAAGAATATATGCAGTGCAGCCATTTCGGAGACGTTAATCTTACTTGGTTGACCACCCACTGTGTTCTTGAAACTCTCACAGTGATGGTCACAAGAATAGAAACATTCCATAACTTTTGTTCGTTTCTCTCCTCTCTCTTCATAAGATCTAGCTGATCTGTATAGTTTCTCTTGAATTTGCTGACTTAACTAATTTTATTTCTTTTAGTTAATCTTGATGCCTTTCCCTCTTTCCCTCTTCTTATATGATAAATTCACCTTCTTAATGATGTCTTTTCTTTTCTGCAAAACCCCTTTAATCAGAATAAATAGAGTCCCAGGCAGGGCAGAGTTCACTGGGGGTGTCCAAGTCGGATTCACCCACCCTTTCGGTTCCAGCCTAGGCACGGCTACAGCTTTCGAGAGGAGAAGCAGACTCTTCCTTGTCCTGGTGTCCCAGCGGGGTCACTGGGAGGGACCAGTGTGGTCTCAGGGCGCTGGGCGGGCCTGCGAGGCCCATTGCCGGCCCCCTAGGCATCCCGTTCGTCTGAGCAGGGCAGGGGGTGCCGCAGCCTCCTGGGTTGTCCCAACCCTGCTCCTCTCCTCCCTCTCCTTCTTCTTGTAGATGGAGTGAAGCTTGTTGATTAAGAAGATTTTGTCTTCCCCCTCGTTGCTGATCTGCTCCTTGAGCAGGCAGATGACCTTCCTCTGGTCCAGCACCACCTGGATGTTGAGGTAGATCACAGCCAGCAGCAGGGCCAACACCAGGAAGACGAAGAAGGTGTTTTCCACCAGGTACCGGTGCGCCCAGGGCAGCCAGGAGCCCCTGGGGCCCGCTGCCTCCAGTTGGGGCACCCACATCCTGCGGGCCTCGTACATGGTGTCCAGGGTCCGGAAGGGGCCGCAGATGGCTGAGGGTGTAGCAGAGGCCAGACGGCATAGCAGAGGAAGAGGTGGCGCCCAGGAAAGCGGGGAAGCAGAGCAGCGTGAGGAAGATGGTGCTCACGTGGGAGGCCAGCCAAGGCCGGAGCAGTGCCTGGCAGTTGGCCAAAAGGCTGGTCTACTTGACGTAGAAGACGAGCAGCAGCTTGATGATCTGCACCGCGTGGAGGAGCGGCGAGA